>NC_000012.12:127095758-127397382 GCF_000001405.40 Homo sapiens | reverse complement strand
TTTCCTTCACTGTCTGAAGTCCAATTTCTTGAAATTGATTGTTTTCTATATTGTTTCTGATTTTCTAGAAAATTTGTTTCAGGTAGGAGGGGATATCCGGTCCCTATTATTCCACCTTGGTTAAAAATGGATCAAAATTTTATATTATAATGTCATGTTAAACATAAGCAAAACCAAACAGTAGTGGGTGGGATTCATATTAAACATGTTATTCAATCCAATATAGCCAAAATATTAACATTTCAACACGTAATCAGACTTAAAAATATGAATGAGGTATTTTATACAATTACATTTGCACTAAATCAACCATATCTTCGTGCATTTCACATTTACAGCACATCTCACTGCAGACTAGCCGCATCCCACATGTTAATATCATCTGTGGCCAGGAACTACCTTATTGGCAGCATAGCTCTTGACCTTCAAATACCAATGACTGCCTTTCCTGTCAACCTGAAATATTATTTTCACAGCAAGAGCAGAGAAAGCATAACCGCCCTTGACAAAACGGAAATGAGGATGTGGTGCCTGGATTTTATGCAATTTCAGGAGGAGGTTATTTGCTCATGTCTGATTCTCAGAGCCAGCCATTAGATCCTGATGAAAAAAAAGTTGTGTGAGTGGGAGAGAATTAGATGAAACGACCTCAGGGCCATTGAAGGAATCCGTGAGCGGGAATGTGCCCCGCTCCTCTCCAGGACACCAGTGTTGTTGGAGACTCAGGGAGTGGGAAGGATGTCAGGAGGGGAAACGGGGGTGATGAGGGGACCCCACGCAGTGGGGCTGTGGCAGCTGCCTGTCATCTAGCCCAGTCCTCAAAGCTCAGCCACAGCCCAGCCTCCCCGGGAGCCTTCCCTGGCCTGCCCGCCTACGCAGGTCTGTCTCCTTCACTCACCTGCAGCTCAGGGGCTCTGCTGCACTCGGCACATGCTCCTCTGAGACCTGCTCAAACTGTGTTTAACACTCATTCATTCATTCAGCAGAGTACCTCCTACGTCCCAGGCAGACTTCATTCATTCAGCAGAGTACCTCCTACGTCCCAGGCAGACTTCTACGTTCTGGATATATTAGTGAGCAAAACAGGCAAAAATTCCTGCCTTCAAGGCATTTCATTCTAGTAGAGGAATGGAGACCTTGCGCATAACAATATCTACGTTGATATGTTAGAAGTGAAATGATACAGAAAGAAATAGGGCAAAGAATGCAGGGAGTTAGAATCGCAGAGCTAGAGAGCTCACAGTAAGACTGGCTGCTCAGAGTGTCGCCAGGACGTGACCTTTGAGAAGGCATCTCCTTTTCACTTTATATTCTCTCTTTGTATTCATGCCAGTGAGTTGGGATAATTACTACACTGCCAGGACCACTTTTTTTTCTTAAGTTAGATTTACTCATTTGATCTGTAAACACTTACTGGGGATGTGGCTGGCTTCCACTCATCCTTCAGGTCTCAGCTCAAATATCACCTCCTTATAGAGACAGTCCCTGAACACCCTCTCATGCTCTCCTATTGTAGTTTATATTCTGTGGGTGCAAAAGTAATTGCGGTTTTTGCTATTACAGGTAATTGCAAATTACTTTTGCACCAACCTAATATTCTTTTATAGTTTAATTTATATTATTTATATTATATCTTTATTTTAAATTCAAATTTGATGGTCATATTATTATTTTTATTGATATTATTTTAAATTGACAAATCATTGTACACATTTATGGGGTACAATGTGAGGTTTTGATATATGTATACAATGTGAAATGATTAAATCAAGCTGATTAATACATCCATCAACTCATTTACTCATTTTTTTGTGGTCAGGCTTTGACATTTACTCTTATTTTAAATTATACATTACTATTGCCTGTGGAATCTAAAAAAGTCAAACTCATAGAAGTAGAGAGTAGACAATGGCTATCAAATTTAAATTTGTATTTAACTTTTGAAGCTTTATATTTCAAGATAATTGCAGTTCACAGGTGGTTGTAAGAAATAATACAGAGAGATCCTGTGCAAACTTCACCCAGTTTCCCTCAGTGGCCACAACTGCATAACTATAGCACAGCACTTAAACTAGGACATTGAAATGGACACAATCCATGGACCTTATTAGAATTCCCCACTTTTACCTGCACTTGTGCGTGGTGATTATTCTATGCAGTTTATTCTATGCAATTGTACACATGTGTAGACTCATGTAATCACCCTCATACTCAAGATTCAGAACATTTTCTTTCTCCTTTCATAGCTACAACCACTCCTCTCCCTCCCAGCTTCCTCCCTAACCCTTGGCAAACCCTAATTTTTTCTTCATCCCTATGTTTGTGTCATTTTAAGAATGTTATGTAAGAAGAATCAGATAGTATGAAACCTTTTGAGATGGTCTTTTTTTTTTTTTTCCATTCATTGTAATTCCTTTGAGGTCCATCCAGGATGGTACATGCCTCAATAGGGTGTTTCTTTTTGTTTCTTAGCTTCTCTGGTGCAGATTGTTTAAATATTTAGCCGTAAAGAACATTGGTTTGTTTCTAGTCTGGGACTATTACAAATAAGACTACTCTAATCATTCATGTACAGGTCTATAAGGGATCTACTTTCTTTGCATTCTCCCCAGCATTTGGTATTATTATTATTATTAATTTTTTTTTTTTTTTGAGAAACAGTCTAACTCGGTCACCCCAGCTAGAGTGCAGTGGCATGATCACCACTCACTACAGCCTTGAAATCCTAGACTCCAGCGATCCTCCCACCTCAGCCCCACCAAGTAGCTGGAACTATAGGATGTGCTGCCACACTCAGCTTTTTTTTTATTATTATTATTTTGTGGAGATAAGGTCTTGCTATGTTGTCCAGGCTGATCTCAAACACCTGAGCTCAAGTGGTCCTCTCGCCTCAGCCTCTTAAAATGTTGGCATTATAAGTGTGAGCCACTGCAACTGGCATTTTGTTACTTTTTAATTTTAAGCATAAGTGTGTGTTGGTATCTCATTGTGGTTTTAATTTTCTATTTAACTCTCTAAAAATTAAACTGCTCTGTTGGACTTTTATTATAGCAATTATATTTTACTTGGCATGATTTTATTTATTAATACCTATTAAAGGCAAGGGAGACTTGTCTGTTTTGTTTGCCTCTGAATTCCCATTTTCTGGCATTTAGTAGGTACTCAACAAATAAATAGTACCCTGTAGATAAATATGCCAGTGACTGTGCTAGCCCCTGGGGTGACTAAGCTGTTAATAACAGGCTTGGCCTTTAAAATGCTTACTGCATTATGCAGAGTTTCTTAGCGTTGGCATGACTCACATTTTGGGCCAGAACATTATCGTGGGTGTTGGAGAGATGGCTGTGCTGTGTTATGGGATGTTGAGCAGCATCTCTGGCCTCTACTTGCTAGATACCAGAAGCATCACCCAGTTTGTGATAAACAAATTTGTCTCCAAGTATTGTCCAATGTTCCCTGGGGGTTCAGATGGCTCCCAGTTGGGAACTAATGTTTTATTAAGAGAGATAGATGCGTTTTCCATGAAGCCAAGTGTATATAAATATACTTACCAGCTAGGTGTGAGGATATGGCTCAAGACTCAATCAACTAGTCATTTCTTGTCTCCCAGAATGCAAATTACGTCCCCAGAATGTCACAGAGTATCCTGTCAGATCTTTGAGTATACTCGATGAATTAAACAAACACTGATTAGAGGATTCCTACACTTTGCCAGGCACCATGCCAGCCACTACAGATGGTGCAGGGAGCAATACACACATAATCTAGTCCTCAAGGAGTTATTGTCTACTGGGGGAAGTCAGAGATTGATCAAGTTATCTTAAACATGATGCTCATTGGGAGGCCGAGGCAGATGGATCACCTGAGGTCAGGAGTTCGAGACCAGTCTGGCCAAGGTGGTGAAACCCCATCTTTACTAAAAATACAAACATTAGCCAGGCGTGGTGGCAGGCACCTGTAATCTCAGCTACTCAGGAGGCTGAGGCAGGAGAACTGCTTGAACCCGCGAGCCGAGATCATGCCATTGCACTCCAGGCTGGGTGACAGAGCAAGACTCTGTCTCAAAAATAATAATAATAATTATTATTATTATTATATTATAATTATGATGCTTATTTGGGAAGTGAAGTGAAGTCAAGGGTGCTTTGGGGCTGCTTACCAAAGAGGTGGGCTGGACTGGCCTGAGAGCTGTTATTAAGAAAGATGAAGACTACATAAGTAGAGAAGATGGGATAATGACCTAAATCAGAGGGCTTTGAAGATATTAGCATACAAGGTTTAGTTTAAGATTGGTCAGCCCATGGTTTTCATACTGAATTCCATAAGACCATATAATGCAGGAAAATGCACTGGGGGACCCTATTGGAATAAAGGAAGTGCCAAGAAGGCATAGACACAAGTCTCCTTCCCTAAGATTCAACAGAATAGCCATACTTTTATCTTTTTTACAGTGGAGTTGCATTTTGGTGTGGTGGTGTGCATCCTGTGTTCTAATATTGGCTCATAGGGTACAGATAGCTTAGAAGCAAAATGATCCATGAAAACCTATGCAGGAAAACATGGTGCAGAAGACAGACACATTTATCTGTCCAATTCAGCATCAGTAAGTCCACACAGCCAGCTCTTCCTCAAGGTTGAGCACAGTCCTTGGGTTGAATACCAGGTGGAGCTGGTGTAGGCCTGGGCACCATGCTGCCTACACAATAGACACCATTAGTAGGCTACAGAATAGCCTAGGAGCACACTCAGTGTAGAAAGAGGCTCCCATCCTAAGAAGTGCCTGGATGCTGAGCCTGAGTGAGAAAATGACAGGTCCTCATCTTCCAACCCAGGCTCACTGCAGGACGCTTGCATGTTGAAGGAGACTGAGCCTGCTTTCCCCAGATATCCTCATAATTTATACTCCCTTTTTCCTCCTCCTCTCCCTTAATATTGTATGCTGTATGTGTTTTGGGGGGAGGAGAGAAGAAGCTTGGTGGGTTCCATATAAGTGAAAAAGACAAGGGCTATTCTTAATATTTTAATACACAAGGCGCCCCTAATTATGATAAATTGCAGGCTATTGCACTGTCAAAGAAGTCACCTAACAGAGTTAAAACAAAAGCCATCCAGCACAGGATTGTGAATGACCCGGTTTCCATCACCCTGAATTGAGCTTTACCCCGATCTAAGAAAGGCGATGGCAGAGCAACTGATCCACAATCTTCCTGAGGCTGGAATCACACATGCCAGCTTGCTCCTTCTCTGCCAGTGTGCCCGCCAGGACCAAAGTAGGCTGAGAGATGTTCTATTCACAGGGAAGCTCTTTAAAACTCAGTGCCCAGGGTTTTTACTGTGGGCCAGTCACCTAGGTATCCCCTGCCTAGCGGATTCCAAAATTCCAGACCCCTAGAGAGAAAACGAGTGTTCAGCATGAACCATATTGTTTGCACAAAGAGATTAGGCATAGTGAGGGAATGGTGGGAAGCCTCCTCCTGAAATCTGAGTTCCTGGACATGGGCCAAGCATCAGCTTTGCCAGCAGGCTTTCTAAGGAGGGCATCCTTAGGCCTCCTGCCATTAAGAAGCAGGATAAACAGGTGAATATGTGGGGGAGTTCTTATGACAGGGAGGAGACTCTTGGTCTGAGCATAGTGGGTGGGAAAAGGGGTGACTAAAATCCCTAAGTGAGTGTCCTTTTATGCACACGTGGGAAACAGGGCTTATGGGAAGAAAGCCCTTTTGGAAGAAGGCTGTGTGCTCTAGCTTGAGGGAGAAACAGCCAAGCAGTGTGGCCACTTCACACCTGACCCCTTCTAGCACACACACATTCACACACACACACTCACACCTGCGCTTCTTCACCCCAGCAAAAATGCCTAATGCATATCTCATGGCTGAAACTCTGATAAAAATTCCTCAAAGGCAGTGGTAATTATTAAGTTGAGAGTATCATGAAGCACTTTTCTAAATTGGAAAGGCTTATCAAGAATAGATCGTGAGCAGATGAAATTAATAGCTATGAACAAACTTCCATAGAAATGGACTTATTACCAAGTATGTCTACTCCCCAAAAGTACAAGAAGTCTTTCCTCTGGATTGAGAGAACCAATTCAAAAAAAAAAAAAAAAAAAAAAAAAACAACCCACTTTACATAGAAGTGGCTCTGCCTTACTTGTTATTCCATTCATTGCTGGACTTGGGCAGGTTCCCGCAGCTGGTCCAGTTCACAGGCTGGGAAGTCAGAGAGCAGCAGGACGTGCCCACAGTCAGAGGGGCTGACCCTGTCATGCAGACCTACCCTCTTTGCCCAAAGACTGGCCACTTCTCTTTCTTTACCCCACGACCAGAGTGTGAATTTAACAGGATGAAATGGCTGGTGGCAGAGCTCATTTCTCCTCTCACTGGATCTTTGCTTCCCTGGCATTAGCTTCTCTGAGGTCTACGGAATGCTGAGAACCTGGCAGGTGTTGGAAGCAGTTCCCTAGTTCTGGTTACAAATCACAGCGCAGCCCAAAGAGAAATTGAAAATTTGATCTTACAGGACCAAGCATCCCTTGTAGGAAGTGATTTAATCGATGGATTCGTGGAGAATTCCTGTGACTAGGGAAGAGGCTTTTTAGCCTGGAATGCTGTGGATGGGAAATGGTGGTGGGGTGGAGGCTTCACAGAAAACTGGACACCTAAGTTTCTAAGTTCCTGCATCTCTTCATCAATTCAAAACTCAACCCTTAAATTCTCTTTTTATTTGTCTTTTCACTAAAGGTATCAAAGTAAATAGGGGTCCTCTAGTGGGGAAGATGGTTCTGTGTGCACTCACTTTCAGTTCTCTCGTGGTTCAGAAACCCTTATTCAACACAAATTTTCTTCCCCATGCAAAGTAACTTGTACCAATTGATATTTGAGGAATCATAGCACCCATGTATCCACACCCAGCTTGAGCTCAGCTGGGACCATTTGGTTATGTCATTGTAATAAATTTATATTTCAATTTAAATAGCCACTTCTGGTTGATGGCTGCAATATTAGAGCAGCATTTGGAAGTTTCTACAACCTTAGCTAAGTGGAAAAAAGTTGGATATGACCAATCCTATATGAAGTCTAACATAGCTCAATTGGGGGTAGAATTTGATATTAGGCAGGACAGTGCATTTTGGTTTTGTCAATGCCATGGCTATATTCCAGTGTTCCTCTGTTACCTCTTGGCAAATGCAAAGAAGCAGATAATTGTGGTTTCCTCACCCACATTCCTACAGAAGTCCCAGTGCAGGGAGCTGTCCGTGGTAGGAGATTTCGTTAGACAAGCAACAGGCATCAGGTTCTTTTTCAAAACTCTTTCCACACAGGTTGGGATTTGGGAGCCCAGACTGCAGACCTTGCCTAGGCCCCCAGAGGCAGGAAAAGACTTCTCAGCCTACATTGGTCCTGGCAGGCTTATTGGCAGAGAAGGAACACCTGTGTGTAGCTCAGGCCTGGGAGGAGCTGGTGGATCAGCCGCTCTGCCGTCACCTTCCTTGGATCTGGGTGCAGGTGGATTCACGGGGACAGAAAGAGGCTGATGGATCAGGATCATTCACAAGCCTGTGCTGCATGGCTTTCTGTTTTAACTCTGTTCAGTGACTTCCCTGACAAGGTGATAGCCTGCAATTTACAAGTCCATGTCAATGACAAGGGGCTCCCTGCACATGCAAATACCACAATCACACTAGTCTTTTTCACTTATAAAGAATTCACCAACTTCATAGCTCCCCCCTGCCCCCACCTCCAAACACACATACAATGTTGCCATTCTATGAATTAAGGCAGGTGGGATTTTCTTGCATTACTTCTAATCCCATTTGGTGAAATGAGAAGTCCAGTGTAGTACCTTCTTACATTGCTCATAGTTTATGTAGCAAATCGTGTAGTGTATGAAGTTCTTTCTCACGCTTGGTCTCCTGATGCTTCCACATACCATGAGGTCCCCACTATTCTCTGCAAATTCTAAAGCTCGGGAAGTTTAAACCTCTGGTCCTTAGACCCCAGGTAAGTAGAAGCAGCATAGGTCAAGGTCCAGGGTGTGCTTTGTGATTGGAGGAGCGGTGAAGCTACATGAAATGATCCGGGCGGCTTTTCTGTGTGTGGAGCTAGGATTGTGGCATGCCCGTGCCTGGGCTGGGGAGGGAAGAGCTATGCGTGGCATGCACAGAGGTGAAATGCTGGCTAGGTTACTCATCCAGTGAAGGGCAGCCTGCTTTCCACAACACGGAGCCCTAGAGATGGATCATCAGCCCATTCTGAGCTGTGGGCTGCTGATGGACAGCTGTGTATTAGGCTCCACAACACTGCCATGTGACTTACTGAACTTGACAGTCATTCTTTTGGTTGACAAAGAAGAATGTAGCAATTTATTACATTCCTGACGTTCTGCTGAGTCTCAGATTTTAAATGGAACATTAATATGTTTGTTTTCCAGAACAAATGGCTCCTTCTGTTAAATCTTGCACCAGACGTGGCCTTACCAGGGCCCGGCAAATTACCTGGCTGGGGAGTCCCTGACTGAGGACTCCACGAGTGAGCTGGTCGTCTCTGAGATCTTCATCAGCCAGACAACCTTTGTGGGCATCATCCCTCTTGCCATGGTGAGAAATTGGGCTTCAGAAAAAGTGTCACAAAGAAGTCTTTTTTGCATATGCTTAATATTCACAGAAACATTAAGCATTTTTATAACCTGCTGTTTTCCAAGCACCAGATATATTTGTTTAAACGAAGAAAATACAGTTAAATTAAATTTAATTTACCTGTTTCCATAATGGCTCCTTAGAAACTATTTAGGGTCTACTGTGTAAATCCTTTTTCATTTGTGTATATTGTGGAACTGTTTCCTGGGGAGCCGTTATTCTTTATTTTCTCAATCTGCGTGCATATCAGGACCAAGTGCTGCGTCGAGTAAAGACGACTGTTGAAATGCATCAGGGTTACATGGTGGGAACAGCAGCTCTGTATGCCAAGTAACTGTCCCCTTGTCAATTGGTTTTGCCCAGAGAGTCACCAGGTACCTTGTGGACTGGAAAATTCTAAAATGCAGATGGACTGAAAGAGCCTTGCTGGGAACTGACCACCTTAAGCTGGTAGAGCCCCGGCATCTACAAAACTGCCTGTGTTTCTGTTTTACTGGCCTGGAGGTGACTGGACTTCATTTTCTGATCTTAGCTGAAGCTCTATGCATGACCAGGATTGGGGCCAAATCTGAGAACAGGGTCAGAGACAAGGTTGTAGAACCTAAAAAGAATGGTGCACTTTGGGCTGTGGAGGAGGGGCATTATAGGGATAATAAACCAGTGGGAGCACTTATAGAGGTATGGAACCCTGGAGGCATCCTGGTGACCCATCTATGCAGGCCACATAGGAAGAGACTCCAGCTGCAGCTAATGTCAGTTTTGCTAGAACACCTTACGGCCCTCCAGGACCACAAAAGGGTGAGAGGGTTAAGAAGAGCCACTCTGACACCAGGCATGGTGGATCACACCTGAGTACATTGGGAGGCCAAGGCAGGAGGATGACTTGAACCCAAGAGTTTGAGACCAGCCTGGGCAACATGGCAAAACCCCGTCTTTACAAAAAATACAAAAATTAGCCGGGTATGGTGGCATGTGCCTGTAGTCCCAGCTACCCTGGAGGCTGAGTTGGGAGGATCACCTGAGCCCAAGAGGTTGAGGCTGCAGTGAGCCATGATGGCAGCACTGCACTCCATTCTGGATGACAGTGAGACCCTGATTCAATAAAAAGAAGAAGAGCCACTCTGAGACCATCTCCCACTTACCTCCCTATATGTCCTGGGAGGCTGCCATGTGGGAGTTTCTCGTCACTTTCCAGGTTCCTATGAGGTATGAATTGTCTGTCAGGCCTCCCTCAGGAAAGAGCAGCAGAATAGAAAATTCCTTAGTAGCAGCCGGGCGTGGTGGCTTATGCCTGTAATCCCAGCACTTTGGGAGGCTGAGGTGGGGGGATCATGAGATCAAGAGATCAAGACTATCCTGGCCAACATTGTGAAACCCCATCTCTACTAAAAATACAAAAATTAGCTGGGCATGGGGGCAGGTGCCTGTAGTATGAGATACTCAGGAGGCTGAGGCAGGAGAACTGCTTGAATCCGGGAGGCAGAGGTTGCAGTGAGCTGAGATTGTGCCACTGCACTCCAGCCTGGTGACAGAGTGAGACTCTGTCTCAGAAAAAAAAAAAAAAAGAAAGAAAGAAAGAGGGAAGGAAAGAAAGAAAATTCCTTAGCTGCAATTTAGGGTTGGCTTCTCAGCAGTGGCATAGCCCATGGCTTGCAATGCAATCGTCACACTTCTTGTGTCTTGGCATTGTCCTTTCTTGTGTGGGACAAGGGCCATTGAGAGCTGGCACCTTTGAGCACTCTTCCCTCCTCTGTCCATGGAAGTAGAAACTGTCTGAATCTCAGAGCAGTTCATCGTATCTCTACAGGCTGAGTCAGACCTTTGTCTTGGCCTTGGCCTTGCCTTGCCTTGTGTGTGCCTGGCAGAGTCATATTTATAATTCTGTGTGTCAAACCTAGGAAAGGCCTGGATGTATTCTGTGCTGGTTTGACTTTCCTTTCTGGGACTAAAGTGTGGGGGTATGACAGCAATTTGTCGAGTTTTCATCACCCGTCGCTCAATTTGGTTGCTGGAATCAACATCTTTGCAAATGAAAACGCTTTGTCAGACAGTAGATTCTGCATCCCCGCTTCTTTGTACTTCATTCTTCTTCTTGTCAGAAACACACTTTCTCTACATCTCCCCGTGTCTGGCTCTTCCTCTTCATTCAGGTTCAATTCAACTGTCAGAGGAATCTAAATAGAACCCCCAGCCCCCCCCACTCCCACGCCTGTGGTTGTCTTTCCATCCCATTACCCTGTTCTATGTTCTTTATAGGCCTATCATCGTATAAAATTTAGGATTAATCATCAATATTCCTCACCAGAAGGGGAAATCAATGAGCCTGAGGTCTCGGTCAGTTTTACACATCTACGTTTCCAGCACCTGGGAAAATGCTCGCCTCAGTTAATAGTTGTTGAATAAGTGAGTCAAATGCTTAATTCAAGCTACCAGGGCCATTGAGTTCTGGGTTAAAACTGCTGAGTGTTGTCCCAGACAGTGCTGATCAGCATTCTTCTTTGACAGAGGCCACAACTTGGCAGAAAGGGGCCGTATCAAAGAGGAGAGATTTATTTATTTATTTATTCTGTTCAGAGATGGGGTCTTGCCACATTGCCCAGGCTGAACTCAAACTCCTAGGCTCAAGCGATCCTCCCTCTTCAGCCTCCCAAGGAGCTGGAATCGCAAGCACATGCCACCACATCTGGCAAAGGGTGGAGACACACTCAAATGTAAAACTATAGAACTATAGAGAAATAAACAAATATCTCTGGGAGCTATGCTAGGTGAAGAGATCATAGGCATGACACTGAAAGTATAATCCTTAAAATAAATACTTTACAAAAATAGTAAATTGTACTTCATCAAAATTTATAACTTTTCCTTGAAGATCACCTTGCTTACAGAATAAGAAAAATAATCAACGAGCACAGAGAAAATATTTGTAAACCACATATATGACTAACGTTTTACTCCTAGAATATACAAAGAACTAGAAAAAAGTCAACAGTAAAAACAACAATGATAAAAACAATACAACTGGGGGAGGTGTGATGGCTCATGTCTGAAATCCCAGCACTTTGGAAGGCAGAGGCAGGTGAATAGCTTGGGTCCAGGCATTTGAGACCAGCTTGGACAACATGGTGAAAACCTGTCTCTATAAAAAAAAATACAAATAAAAAAATTAGCTGAGTGTGGTGGCTCTCTCCTGTAGCCCCAGCTACTTGAGAGGCTGAGGTTGGAGGATTGCTTGAGCCTAGGAGATGGAGGTTGTAGTGAGCAGAGGTTACACCACTGCACTCCAGCCTGGGTGACAGAGTGAGACCCTGTCTCACAAAAAAATACAATTAAAAAGTGGGAGGGAGGCATAAATAGACATTTAACCAAGGAAGAAATATGAATAATAAACACATGAAAAAATGTTCAGCATCATTAGCCATTAGGGAAATGCAAATTAAAACCACCATGAAGTGCCAGGAGTCAGAAGGGCTCTAATAAAAAGACAGTGACAACCCCAAGTGCTAGTGAGGATGCTTTCGTATTGCTGGAGTGAAGGTAATACCATAGCTGCTCTGGAAAACAGTTTGAAAGTTTCTTATAAAATAAAACATTTACTTACCAAACAGACCAGTAATCCTCACATTATTTGGCATTTATCCCAGAGAAATGAAAACTTATGTTCACACAAAACCCTGAACACACATTTTATAATTCCTTCACTTAAATTGTCAAAATACTGTAACAACCCAAATACCCTTCAGTGGGCTAATGGTTGGACGCACACTTGTGCATCTATAAAAAGGAATATTATTTAGTGAGGAAAAATAATGACGAGATACAGAGAACTACCTAGATGGACGAGGAAGATATTACACTTAGTGAAAAATACCAATCCAAGCAGATTATATACTGTGAAATTCCAAGTATAGAACATTCTCGAAATGACAAAACAACAGAGGTGGAGAACAGAGCAGTGGCTGCCAAGACAAATGGGCAGAAGTTTGGTAGGTGTGAATACAAAGACAGAACACAAAATAGATCTCTTGCAATGATGGAAGAGTCCTGTATCTAATTTTGCTTTTTGCTACACAAATCTATGGATGGGATTAAATTGTAGATAGAATCACACACATGCAAATGAATGCAGGTTGAAAATTTTTGAAAATATATCAATGTCAGTAGTCTGGTTTTGATAATGTACAATAACTCTGTAAGATATCACCACTGGCAGAATACTACACAAGGTTCTTTTTACTACTTTTGCAACTTCCTGTGAGTCTATAATTATTGAAAAATAAAATGTTTACAAGTAAAAAATAAAATAAGTGTAAGGTAGCTACGTGACTCTAAGATCAGTAGTCAGGATTCTCCCAGGAAGGCTATCTTTCGGCAGTTTATGAGATCTGGAGACAGTCAAAAGTTCTAATTAAAAATTAAACAAATTCAACTTTTCCAGATTCAATGTGTAAGCGATATAATGTGGTCTTTGTGTCTGGCTTATTTTACTTAGCATAATATCCTCCAGGTTCGTCCACGTAGTCACAATCACAGGACTTAAAAATTGCTAAAAGAATGATTTTAAATGTTCTCACTACAAAAATAATAAGTATTAGAGGTGATGGTTATGTTAATTAGCTTGATATAATCATCAAGCAGGTATGCATATATCAAAACATCACATTTCACTCCATAAATATATACAATTATTATCAATTAAAAATTTAAAAAGGCAGGGCACAGTGGCTCACGCCTGTAATCCCAGCACTTTGGGAGGCCGAGGTGGGTGGATCACCAGGTCAGGAGTTCAAGACCAGCCCGCCCAAGATGGTGAAACCCTGTCTCTACTAAAAATACAAAAATTAGCCAAGTGTGGTGGTGGGCACCCGTAATCCCAGCTACTTGGGAGGCTGAGGCAGAGAATGGCTTGAACCCGGGAGGCGGAGGTTGCACTGAGCCAAGATTGCACCACTGAACTCCAGCCTGAGGGACAGAGGAAGACTCGGTCTCAAAAAATAAATAAATAAAAATAAAAATTAACAAAAAAATGAGTTAAAAAAAAAAGGACTACCAACACCGGTCTTACTCTTTTCAGTAGCTTTAATAACTTGCTGTCATTCCAGAGCCAATTTCACAGTAAATCAAGAGAGTCATCATGACACACACACCACCACCACACCCTCAAACTTGCCAGGTTCCAGCAATGGGTATTTAAAGCCATATACACTTCCGTGCTTTGGCAGAAAAATTCTCCGAGTAAATATCAGCTCCTGTCAGAGAAACGCAGCCTGTGTAACACGAACAAAGCTGACCTCCCCAGAGAAGAAAGAAAACCCAGAAAGCATCAGAGGAGAAGAAACCACAAATGGATGTGGTTCATGAGCAGAGGGCAGCCCGTGGGTGTGTTGGGGGGCGGAGGGGGGGAGTGCGGCTTTCTGTGATTTGTTGTCATGTCGTTTTTAATCAACAAACTGCTGTTAGGCTTACAGGCTGCTGGGTCCTTGACTGGATTCCCTCCATTCGTCATACGGAAACCCCTCTTGTCTCAGCGACTTTCTTTTCCTGCCTGCCCCAAACCAGCCAGTGAATACGCTGTTCAAATGACCAGCAATAACTGTCTTTGTTGGGTGATATTTAAGGGCATGCACTTTGTAAATGTCGCTGTATGCAGTTACCGCTCAGTGGACCGCAGCTTTTCTATGGGATCCAATACAATTCAACTACTCACAGGTAACACACACGAGCACCAGTGAGCCCTTCCAGGGAACCGATTACCAAACTGTTCCCACAACAGGGATCAGATGTTACACCATTTCCTAACGCACATTCAAAAATATAGAGGCAGCCCGGTGCAGTGGCACATGCCTGTAATCTCGGCACTTTGGGAGGCGGAGGCGGGCGGATCACGTGAGGTCAGGAGTTCGAGACCAGCCTGGCCAACATAGTGAAACCCCGTCTCTATAAAAAAATACAAAAATTAGTCGGGTGTGGTGATGCAACGGTAATCCCAGCTACTCGGGAGGCTGAGGCGGGAGGATCACTTGAACCCGGGAGGCAGAGGTTGCAGTGAGTTGAGATCACGCCATTGCACTCCAGCCTGGGTTGACAGAGCCCAACTCCCTCTCTCAAAAAAAAAAAAGTTATATATATATATATATATATATATGCCCAAAAGAATTGATCCCAGAATGCAGGTTGACATCAGCTAAGTAGAAAAGAAAAAGGGAAAAAACCTTAAGATGTTTGGTTCAGTTGACCTGCAACTATTTGGGAAAACCTTTGCTGATGTATAATTTCTGAAGGTGAAAGGGAAAAATAGACCCAACTAAGAGAATTCAGGAAAGAAACAGGGGTGGTTGTCAGTCAGAGCAACAAAGTTGTGGAATTCCGGGTGCTTCAATGGCAGGGATGTGAAATGACAAATTTTTTAGACTCTGTCAATACCATTAATATTTATGACCCATCTCACACACACACACAAAAACCAGCTGTCGTGTGGCACATCCATCAGAGACTTCTGCCCTGGAATTGTTCTGCTTCGTTGGGTGATAAGCCCTGAATCACAAAATTGAGGACAATGATGTGAAGGATTTTATGCTGCTGTTTTACACCTCCTTAAAGGTGGTAAAATAATCAGAATTCTGTATTCTGAAGCAGTAACTTTCTTTAAAAAGTCACCTTTACTGTTGACAGGTGAACTAGATTACTGAATCACAGTGCCGAGTCATAAATAAGCACGTGTTTATGAGCAGTGAAAGAGCTCAACTTGCTCCCGAATTGCACCGCAGTCTCCTTTAATTCTGAGATTCTGCTAAGAAATGCCAAGCCTGAACCCTTGCCCCCAACGTATTTCTCTCCTTCTGTATCGTTCAATAAGGAACAATCTCTTCTCCACAGCAGGAGAAATGTGGAAATGCTTGTGGTTAAGTGAGGTCAAGATCTCTTGGTTTAAATCTTGCCTCACCTGTTACTTAAGCCTTATGATCTCAGACCTGATCCTCAGCTTTCTGGAGTCTTGGCCTTTTTTTTTTTTTCCTGCAAAATGGGTAATAGAATTCCCAGAACAATTATTTTGAGGGTTAAGTGAGGAAATTATGTATGTACAGTATGATACAAGTATATTATAAATGACAGCAACTTTTGTAAAATTAGGATTTCAGTGTGCTTAAAAAGGAGGAGCTCAAGAGTAGTGGTGAAATTGAAATGATTTAATGAGAAGGGTGGCTTGGTCCCTGACCATTAGGAGAGACGTGTCTATTACAGCCTCTCTGCCCTGCCTCCCACCCCTTATCCCAGGGCACTCCAGATGCACATCATCCCCGCCTGAGAGAAACAGCTAGGGAATGTTCCTAAACACTCCTTTTTCTTGCGTAGCTGATTGCAGAGCTCATTAGGCCTTTCGCTAAATGACTTGACTTTGACAAGGAGTAGAGATGGCGTTTTGATTGGCATCAGCTTCTCCTCCGGAAAAGGGCCTAGTGGGCGACGGTCCCGGCGCGCCCGCTAGATGGCGCCGCAGACCGGGTTGTGGCCGCGCCGGCCGCGCGCCCTCCCCTCCCCGCGGAGGCTCCCAGAGCCCCTGCCCGGCAGGTCCTCTCCGTGAACTCGCCGCGTCCTCAGGACCTGCGATTTCCAGGCCTTCCCGGTTTCCACCTGAGTGTGAGCAAATGAAGCCTCCCTCCTGCAGCCCGAGCCAGCGCTCAGCGCAGCCCCTGACCCCTGGCTCCTGGCAACCTGCTTCAGCCAAAATCTTAAGAGGCTTTATTACTTTTATTTAAAATGATGCATGCTCGTTATAACATTATTAAACTTAGGAAGAAAAAAATTCTAAGCGCAGCGCCCTCCAATACGACCATTAGACGCATGGATAAGTAACTGACACGTGGACATTATAACAATGAAATCCTACTCTATAAGTTGTATTCTATTTGTGAAAGTGTTCGTTTTTATTTATGATTATAAGAAGACAAAAAATCCAAAGTAGAGTTGATGTGTTTCATTAAAAATAGAGTATTCCATTGTATATGGTGTGTGTGTGTGTGTGCGTGTCTGTGTGTGTGATCACATTTTCTTTACCACTAATCCGTCCACGGGCACATCGGTCATTTCTATTTCTTGTGAATAATTCTGCAAGGAACATGTGAGTACTGAGATCGCTTTGAGATGGTGATTTTCTTTCCTTTGGATATATAACTAGAAGTGGGAATGGGAAATCATATGGTAGTGCTATTTCTAATTTCTAGAGGAACATTCATCCTGCTTCCCATAATGGCTGTATCAATTTACATTATTCAGCCTTTAAAAAAAAGAAAGAAATCTGCTATTTGAGACAACATGGATGAACCCGGAGGACATTATATTAAGTGAAATAAGCCAAAGAAAGAAAGACGAATACTGCATAATCTCACCTCTATGTGAAATCTAAAAAGTCAAACTCATGGAAACGGTGGAGGAGTGGTTACCAGAGGTCGTGGGATGGGGAAAAAAGGGGAGTTAGTGGCCAAACGGTGCAGACTTGCAGTTACAAAATGAGTAAGTTCTGAAGACCTAATGAACAACATGGTGCCTGTAGTTAATAACATGTTGTTTATTTGAAATTTACTAAGAGAGTAGAGCTTAAGTATTCCCACCACACAAAAAACAAAAAAATTAACTATTAATATATGAGTTGATGGACATGTCAGCTTAATTGTCTTAATCATTTCACAGTGTAAATGTTTATCAAAACATCACATTGTACATTTTAAATATGTACAACTTTTTTTTTTTTTCTTGAGATGGAGTTTCACTCTTGTTGCCCAGGCTGGAGTGCAATGGCATGACTCGGCTCACCGCGACCTCCGCCTCCTGGATTCAAGTGATTCTCCTGCCTCAGCCTCTAGAGTAGCTGGGATTACAGGCATGCGCCACCACGCCTGGCTAATTTTGTATTTTTTTAGTAGGCATGGGGTTTCTCCACGTTAGTCAGGCTGGTCTCGAACTCCGGACCTCAGGTGATCCACTTGCCTCCGTCTCCCAAAGTGCTGCGATTATAGGCGTGAGCCACCGCACCTTGTGAATTATACCTCAATAATGTTGAAAAAATACCAAAAATCCCCCAGAAAACATATTAACTGACAATGATATATTTTTAATTTTTAAAATACCCTGGTAATACTGAGGGGAAAAAAAGCTTGAATAAAAAGTAGATCAAGGTGTGGCACAATTAAGTCATTATTATGACCACAGTGGCTGCTCTCACTGCTGTGGCTACTAGCACCTCCACCGCCGTAACCTCTCCTTTCTGTTCCTTTCATGACACAATTTTAGCCCGTAGGATTGACTTCCTGTTTTGCAAGTGCAAGAAATGGCACTCTGAGACTTCACCCACTTCTCCTGTTAGATATTCGTTAGTTTTGTCATTTTTTTCGTGGCCGAGTTTGTGACATGGGTAACCTCTTATAGATCCTAATTCCCCCCTTCTGCTATCGTTGTTTCTCTGCTGGGGAACTATGCTAGGCTTCTCTTTCTCGTTCCGTTGGTCACTAACAGGCCATCTGATTCTTTCCATCCTCAGAGATGATTGGCATCTTTTATCTGCTGATAGCCCTATGTTGTTGCGAGATCACAACTTTCTGTTCATTTATTCTCATTTCAATGTGATCTAGAGGACAGATGAGATGCAGTGATTAGTCCGTAGTGTTCCTCACGTTCTTTCAAACTGTGAAATGCTGCTGAGAGTTAAGGTATTGATGGCAGTCATTCTTTACACACACCTTCACCGAGGGCCTGTGTGCTGACACTGGGCTGAAAGCTGGCATTGGATGAGGGAGGCCCAGTTCTTGCCATCAGGGATGTCAGCAAGGTTTTCTGCCAAGGAACAGAGTTCTCCTATTTTTTTTTTTTTTTTTTTTGTAAAATTCCTTTCACGAAGGAGGAAGAATTCTATTCCATGATTAAATACCAAGCTTAAACACCGTGAGTAAATACCAAGTATAAACTCTGAGCTCCTGGGGTGGAGTAATCATGCCTTTATGCATTTAGACTCAGTTGGAAAAGCTGCTGGGCTCTTTCCTGAGACAGATAAGAAGCAAGAGCATTTAGAAAAGACCGAGAGAGGGGTCACTGTGGACCTTGGGGGAGACATTTCTCACTTTCCCCAGAACCACCTTGGACTCTGGAAAATGTCCTCTTTGGCCAGTGATGGCTATAAGGTCCCACCCTCTCAGCAGAGGAGAGGAGCTTCAGTTGTGTCCAGTACTTTATGGAGAAGAGTCCAGTCTTCTTTTATACCAATTTTTTAATACTAAATGTGGCTTTGAAGCCACGTAAAACAGGTGCCGCTTGGTGAACACCTCCTGGGCACCAGGCAGGAGTTAGGCTCTGCAGTGCATGTCCACTAATCTCACATGCATTTGCTTTTCTATTAATATTTTTTAAAGCACCTTATTGTCGTAATCCATACACCATAAAATTCACCTCTTTACATGTACGATTAAATGATTTTTACTAAGGGTACAGGGCTGTGCAACCGTCACCACCATCCAGTTCCAGGAAATCTCCATCATCCCCAGAAAATCTTGTATGCCTGTTTGTCTTCCTTGCTCATTTTGCCCCATGAATCTCATTTCTGTCTCTACAGACTTGTCTTCTCTGGGTCTTTTATATAAATGGAATCTTGCAATATGTGGTATTTTGTATCTAGTTTCTTTCACCTAATGTAATATTTTTGAGGTTCACCCATGTTGTAGCATGCATAAGAACTCAATGCTGTTTCTTGCTGTCTATGCTAATGTGTGTAAATATCATATATGCTTATCAGTTCATCAGTTGATGGGCATTATTTTCCTATTTTTTGCCTCTTCTAATTAATACTTCTATAAATATTAGTGTACAAGAAGTTGTGCTGATGTTTTTTATTTTCTCTTGGATAGACAATTAAGAAAAATTTCTTCGTGAGACTAAATTGTGTCTAAATTTGTATCTATTCATTTATTTTTAACTTTTTATTTTGAAATAACTTAGACTGTATTTAGTTACACGAACAGGATAGAGGGGTCCCCTGTACCCTTTAACTGGCTTATCCCAATGATAAGATTTTGTATAACCACAGCACAATTTTCAAGATCAGAAAATTGATATTGATAACTTATAGACTTTTTATAATGTCATAAATTTTTCAGTGCACTGTGTTGTGGCTTTGTTTTGTTGGGTTTTGTTTGGTTTGGTGTAAAGTTCTATTATATTTTTTCTGCATGCACAGTGTCACATAACTGTCACCACAATCAGATATAAATACAGGGAGGCAGCAATTCATAGTCATCCCTTCCACATAACCCTAATGCCTGACAACCCCTCATAGGTCCTCCACACTATAATTTGTCATTTTGAGAATGTTCTAGCAATAAAATAATATCGTAAGTGTATTTTGAATCTTTCCCCATTCAGCATAATGGTCATTGAGATCTATCCAAGTTATTGTGTTTCTCAATACTATTCCATTTATAGATGTCACACAAGTCATCTCTTGGCCACTGAAGGGCATTTGAATTGTTTAGGGTTTTAAGTTCTTGCAAACAAAGTTGCTATGAACAATTGTGTACACACTTCTGTGGACATACCTTTTTATTTATATGGGCTAAGTTAATGGGGTACACATGTTGGGCCATGCGATGAGTTTAACTGTATAAGAAAGTGTCAGATGTTTTGCAGACTAGTTGTATCATTTTGCGTTCACACCAGCAATACCTGAGAGATTCAGTTGCTTCGTATCATCACCAGCACTGGACAATGTGCAATGTGTAATTCTAATAGGTATGTAGGGGTATATCACTGTGGTTTTAACTTGCATTTTCCTAAGAGCTAATGATGTTGAACATTTTTTCATTTGCTTTTTTTTTTTTTTGAGACAGTCTCGCATGTTCCCCCCGGCTGGAATGCAGTAGCGTGATCTTGGCTCACTGCAAGCTCCGCCTCTCAGGTTCACGCCATTCTCCCGCCTCAGCCTCTGGAGTAGCTGGGACTACAGGCGCCTGCTACCACGCCCAGCTAATTTTTTTTTGTATTTTTAGTAGCGACGGGGTTTCACCCTGTTGGCCAGGATGGTCTCGATCTCCTGACCTCGTGATCCCCCCCCCGCCTCGGCCTCCCAAAGTGCTGGGATTACAGGCGTGAGCCACCTCGCCCGGCTTCATTTGCTTTTTTGCTATGTGAATGTATTCTTTGGTGAAATGTTCAAGTCTTTTGCCTATGTTTTAATCAGGCTGTTAGATTGCTTATTATTGAGTTTTGTGAATTGTTTATACATTTTAAATGTTAAAGCCTTAGTTGGATATGCAATTTACAAATATGTTATTTCAGTCTATAGCTTGTATTTTCATTTTCTTTATAGTTTCTTCCGCAGAGCAAAAGATTTTAGTTTTCACAAAGTCTAATTTACTGAATTTTTCTTTTATGGATCATGTATTTGGTGTTATGCCAAAGAAATAAAACCCTTTATTATAACCCCAGGCCGCAATAAATTTTCTCTTAAAAGCTTTATAATTCTTCATATTATTTATAGATCTGTGAACCCTTTTGAGGAAGATTTTGTGCAACGTTTAAGAATTAAGTTGTTTATTGAGGTTTTTATTTTATTTAATTTATGTTTTTGCATGTGGATATCTGCTTGTTCAACTTTATTTATTGAAAAGACTATCTTTTCTCCATCGAATTGCTTTTGCACCTATGCAAAAGAATTAGTTTGCCATCGTTATGTGGTTATATTTCTGGGGTCTTTATTCTGCTTCGTTGACCTGTGTGTTGACCCCTCTGACAATCATAATGTTTTCACTATTATTGTCCTCATCTGGGGTGACTTTGCCACACAGGTAACAATTTAGCACCATCTGTAGACATCTTTAATTGTCATGATTTGGTAGGCGATACTGCTACTGGCATCTAGTGGGTAAAGATCTGTGATGCTACTAAAAATTCAATATTGTACAGAAGAGTCCTGCACAATCGCTAGAGTTTGATTCCACAGTGCCTATGTTGGGAAATCCTCTGTAGCTACATACAAAGTTTCAACATTGGACAACATGGTTTTTCTCACTTTTCTTTTGCAAATTGTTTTCCCTATTATATTCCCATAGTCTTTCTTTATACATTTTAAAATAAGTTTCTATGTCTATAAACAATTTCTGCTAAGATTTGGAAAGGAATAGCATTAATCTTACTCATATATTCGGGGAGAATTTTCATTTTTCTGATGTTGATTAAAATGAATGAATGCAGTATATCTCCACTGTGTTTTATCACATTTTGAAGTTTTTAGCATACAATGTCTGTGTTTTGTTAGATTTATATATAAATATTTCATTTTTGTTGCTACTCTAAATGGTATTATGTTTTAAATTCAGTTTCCAGTTCCTCATTCAGATAGAAATACGTTGATTTTTTTCACATTGTCCTTGTATTCTGCAACCTTCTACAACTAATTCCTTTTATGTTTCTAGCAATTTTTGTATAGATTTCTTCAAATCTCCTATGAAGATATTTTTATTATCTGTAAACAGAAACACTTTATTTCTTCTTTTCCAATCTGCGGGCCTTTTTACTTATGTGTCTTGCCTTATTGCACTGGCTAGGACTTCAGTCACTACGTTGAATAGTAGTTGTAACAGCAAACAAACTCATCTTTTTCTGTTTTTTTTTAAAGGGAAAATATTCAGTCTTTAATCATTAAGTATGTTCTTAGCTATTAATATTTTTAGATACTTTTTAATTGGGGTAAAGGAATTGAATTTTATTCCTAGTTTGCCTAGAATTTTTGTCATTAGTGGCTGTTGAATTTTATCAAATGCCTTTTCTGCCTCAATGGACAGGATTTCGTGTGTGTGTGTGTGTGTGTGTGTGTGTGTGTGTCCTTTACACTGTTAATATGGTAGATTACTTAATTGTTTTGTATTTCTGGAATTAACTCCTATTTAAATAGACATCCTGCTCTTGACTTTGGCTCTGAGAATGGATATCATAACTGGGAACAGAGGAAGGGAGGGAAGGGAGAGAAAGTGAGAAAAGTGGGAGGAAAGGGAGGGAGAGGGAGAGAGAAAGTGAGGTAAAGAGGGAGAGAGAGATGAGAGAGAGACTGATTGATTGATGGCATTCCTGGCTCTTTCCACATGACAAAGGCAGAGGGGAGCAGAGGTAGAAGCTGAGTCAGCTTCTTCCTGGATGGGGACATCTGGTCCTGTTCTTGTCTTGGCCAGGCTGAGCAGGGAAATCTAGGAGGTGGCATATCAGGACCACAGATGGCAAAGCTCCTCTAAAGCACAGAGTTAGGAGCATTGGGTCCTAGAGCCAGGCCAACCTGGCTTCAAATATCTGCTCTGCCACTTATTGGCTGTGGGACCTGGGGCAAGTCCCTGGATGTCCCTGAGCCTCAGTGTCCCCGCCTACAACACGGGGATGACAGCACCTCCCCAGAGGCCACTTGACTCCAGAGTCCACACATTCATCCACCACCCTGAAACTCTGCAGATCTCCACACTGCGCCCATCCCCAGCCAGGCCTGCTTCCCCCACGTGCACGCTCGGCTCCTGGTGGCGTCGGCTTCGCCATCCCCATCTCATGTCTCTGTCCGCTGTGTTTCGGCAGCTGAAAGCCCACAGAGTGTATCTGATTTGTATGGAAACATTGTTGATCATCTAATTAAGGTCACCCTCCAAGGGAAACTGAGGCACGGGGTGACCTTTCCCAGGTCATTTATCCTGTTATTACTCTGGTTCAAAGAATGTGTTTATTGTACCCAGCCAGGCAGCGCCTAAACAGACCTTAAAATCCACACCTTCCAAGTCCCAGTTCTTTCCTCTGAAATGTTTGGCAATCGGTGATGAGGACCATGCACTGTTACTGATTTCAGTGATACTGCTGTTGGCCTTCACATTTCAGATGAGACACGCAGACCTTCTTCAGTGGCACACCAGCAAGCACACTGCAAGTGATCAGTTGTTAGACAGTCACTTGGCCACGGGCCATTTGTGTTTTCACCAGAAATTCATTCTTGTTCCACTACTAATAGATTCAACTTTCTGCTCCCAGTCCATGGGCTGAATACTTAGTGATTCTGATGTGAGTTGCCGTTCAAAGGGCATCATTTGTAACTCTAAGAACAAGCCTCTCATTCAGTGAAATTCCTGTTAATTAACTCTGCCTGTGGCATTTGTTTCTGGGAACCTAATTTGTAAAGGGTTTACTAAGCTTTCGGTAATTCCAGAGTTCATGAGGTTCTTCAAGTCCCATTTTTGTGTTGACAGAATTTTCCATCAGTCTCCCCTAATCAGCAAATGGCACCACCATCATCCCACTGCTTGGAATAAAAATAGAGGAGTCACCCAGGATGCTTCTCCATTTTCAAGAATCATATTCAGTCCATCAGCAAGTTCTAGTGGCTGTAACCTCCAAAATATATCCAGAGTTAACCCTCTACTCTGCCTCACCACCAGCAGCGGAGCCCAGCCACCACCATCTCCTGCCAGATGCCTGTCCTCGTCTCCTGCCTGGTCTTCCTGTCCTATCTTTTTTCTTCCTTTCATGGCATTTGGCACTGTTCTAAATCTTATTACATTTATTTGTTTGCTGACTTTTCTCTGTCTTCAGGAGAATGTCAGCTCCATGAGGGCAGCTCATGTTTATCTTCATACTTACATTTATTTTATTTTATTTTATTTCATTTTATTTTTTGAGATGAAGTCTTACCCTGTCATAAGGCTGGAATGTAGTGGCACGATCTCAGCTCACTGCAACCTCTGCCACCTGAGTTCACGCGATTCTCCTGCCTCAGCCTGCCAAGTAGCAAATTTTTGTATTTTTAGTAGAGACAGGGTTTCACCATATTGGCCAGGATGGTCTCCATCTCTTGACCTTGTAATCTGCCCGCCTTGGCCTCCCGAAGTGCTGGGATTACAGGCGTCTTCATACTTTCGTATACGCACCACCTGGAAGAGAACCTGACATCTCATGGATGTTCAAAAAATGTATGTTGAAATAAGAGCTGAAAGAGAGATGGAGGTAACAGTTGCAGCCACCTTGGCTTTTTGGATGCCACCTTCTGAGGAGCATCCCTTCAGCCTGCCTCCCTCTTTCTCTCATTCCATTCCTTTTTCTTTTTTCCTTTATTTTTAAAAATATTTATCTTTTCTTTCTTTTTTCTCCTTTCCCTGTCCCTTCTTCTTATGTCTTCTGCTCTTGCATTTTTCCTATGACGGTTGCATTTGGGGCTGGTTGGTGGGTGGTAGAGGACTAAGGTCAGCTTAACCCTGGAAAAACACATGGGACTTGGCGGCAGTGTGTGTGTGTGTGTGTGCGCGCGCGCACACGTGTGTGTGTGTTGGAGGAAGACATTCATCCCATAAGGATCCCACTAAACACATGATCAAACACGCAGTGGGTGCCCAGTTGACAGCTGTTGAATGAATGACAATCTCGAATGGGCTGACTAGACCTAGGGGGCATGGGGAGAGCATTCAAGGCAGGGAAGAACAATTCAAATGCTCTGCGGCAGGACAGAGAGAGCAGGGGACGTGCAGTGTTGTGGCCAGATAACGGGTACAGGGAAGAGGTTGTTGAGAGGGGCCAGATGCAGCTGGGATCTCAGATGGGTCAGACCGGGAAGGGCCCTGAAGGCCATAAAGATTGGAGTCTGCATTCTGAGCTCAGTAAGAAGCCATATGACGTTAATGCTGGTGGTGCCATAATCAGATGTGAGCTTTGAAAGGATTAAGCGATGTGGCTGCAGTGAGGAGAAGAGTCTTCAGGCTTCAGGCGGGAACAAGGAGCCCACTGGGAAGCTCTTGCAGTGGGAAGTGCTGCTGGCTTGATCCTGGTGGTGGCACTGGTGTGGGGAGAAGAGGCTGGGTTTCATTAAATGTTTCTCAGCTGAAAGGACAGGAGCCTCGATGTGGGGGCTCAGGAAAAAAGAGAAAGTAGGGGGTACACATAGGATTTTGTCTTGAGCACTTGGGTGGAGAATCCAGAATGGCAACTGGCATTATGCCCATTTTATAGTTGTGAAAATCAAGACCCACAAAGTGGATAGATTGGCCCAAGACCACACCACCAGGCCCCTGCGTTCCAGTCAAGCGTTCCTGGGAGTGACATTCAGCATACACCTTCGATGTGTTCAGAATAAAGCAATTAACCTTCTAGTTCAGTTTTATAAAATTATGTTTTATTGTGGTAAAATACACATATAAAATTTACCATCTTAATTATTTTTAAGTGCACAGTTCAGAGGTATTAAACACATTCATAATATTGTATGACCATCGCCACCATCCACCCCTGTAACTCCTTTCATCTTGTAAAACTGAAATTCTACATCTATTAAAATTGGTTCCATGTATCTATATAGATAGGTAGATAGAGATATCCAAATTGTTTTGCTTTACAAACAAAATACAGACCTTACACAAATAGGCTCTGTTGAGACTCATGCTTTCTTTCCTGAAATAATGAGCTTCTAATTCTGGTTTAGGAAACCAGAATGAGAGTAACGAAAAAGGCTTTCTCAGTCACCCCAAAGAGTTTTGAAGTGTCAGTTTTCCAGGCGAGGTGCTTCCCAGGTGGGAGAACATTAGAGGTACCCCAGGTGGAAGAACATTAGAGATACCCCAGGTGGGAGAACACTAGGGGTATCCCAGGTGGGAGAACATTAGAGGTACACCAGGTGGGAGAACATTAGAGGCATCCCAGGTAGGAGAACATTTCTGGGGTTCCGGGCCCACTGGCTGCTGGCGGTGTCTCTGGAACACAGCAGGGAGTGTGTTGTCTGCGGCCACAGCCCCTGCCAAGAACATGGACCTCAGTGTAGAAGAAAGTCAAGAACACTTCTGTGTACAAAGCTCCTGAAACATTTTTTTAAAAAAGAACACTGCAGAATAATTAATCCCAAAGTGTCCATATCCCAATGCCTGGAACCAGTGATTATGTTAACTTACATGGCAGAAAGGACTTTTCAGATGTGACGAAATTAAGGACATTGAGATTAAGGAGACAATCCTGGATTATTGAGGTGGGCCCAATCTAATAGCAAAGCCTTTTAGATAAATAAGTGGAGGCAGAGAGTCAGAGAAGGAGGTATTGTGACAGAAGCAGAGACCAGAGTGACACAACCCGAGGAAGATGGTGCTGGGCATTGCTGGCTTTGAAGGTAGATTCTTCCCTGGACCTCCAGGAGGAATGCAGTGCTGTGGACAATTGATTTTAGTCTGGCGAAACCTGTTTTTGTCTTCTAACCTCCAGGCTCTCAGATAATAAATGTACGTTGCTCTGAGACACTAAGTTTATCATAATTTATTACAGTACCATGGAAAACTAATAAAAACAGGGTTTAAAAAGTGTGGTGTTATTTAAATGTTTATGTTTATTACACCAATGCCTTTAACCCAAATAAAAAATACTAACGTGATTCAAAAGAAAATTACGGGATTTATTTTCAAAAATAGAGTTTCCCAAATGTGCAGGGCTGATATTTCTCTGTGGGCACTGGTGTGTGTATACTGACCTTTTATGTCTGACTTCCACTAGTAGTATGGGCAGGTCCATGCTCTCACAGCTTTAACTATGGTAGATATCACCTCTGCAAATATACAATAGATATATGACACTGGGACTCAAGTACACATTTAGGTGAGACCATATTCTTATTCTAATGCTGATGAAGTGTTTCTGTGGCTATATACCCTCTGTGTACATGGCCTTATTTGGAGATAAGATACAATATCTATCCTTGAGGTTTTTCCTTAGTTAAAACTCAGGCCAATTGTCCCATCTGACTTTTAGTTCTGACGCCTAAAAGTCTTTGAGCAACGATTCCTAGCTTGGAAGTGGAACCTACTGTCAGCATGAAGTGTTTGTGTGTGTGTGTGTGTGTGTGTGTGTGTGTGTGTCTGTTCAGTTGGAGATATTTGTTTTGTAAACACCTGTGTTTAAAGTAAATGAACCCTGCTCACAATTCATGTAATGACCCAAGTCGCAGTACATAAAGTTCCCCCACCACAGGGAGATGCTGGGAGCTCATGAGTGGGTGGTTTGCCTGGAGCCAGGCTCAGTTTCAGGACACCAGGTGCAGAGGTGGTGACCGATAAGGAGGCCAGGAGAGCCTGCTCAGTGATACAGACCTGATGCCACATCCCAAACCGCTTCCTGGACTGGAAAAGTTTAGGGGTAAGAGACCAGCACTGGCATCTGGTGAGTATCACTGCACCCTAAAATCCCAAGCCTCATTCTACCTTTTCCCAGTGGTGGCCCTTGTGGACAGGGCTCATCAGCCCATAGAATCCCAACGCCATTCTAGTTTTCCCTTCTAGAACCTCTAGGGTACAGCAAAAATACCATCCTTCTTGTCTGAGGAGGCTGGGAAAGAATGACAACAGTGCTCTATCTGCTCTTTTTAGAGGAAACTGCAATACTGACCACAGGCAGGCTCTCGCTGAATGCTGCTGACCACACAGTGGGGTATGATGAGGTGTGATGTGGAAGGCAGGCTCTGGCGCCAGACCACTGGCTCAAACCCCAGCTATGCCACTCGTTTGTTGGATGAAGTTGGGTGATGTCACCTTCTCTGTATGTCAACTTTCTTATGTATAAAATAGGGTTCATATCAACACCTAGTGGATCAGCAACTGTTTGAGACAGGCACATACACTGCTCATCATATTTTAGCTCTTTAACTTTAGGGCATGTGGACTGCTGCCCTAAAAAGCATCTGGACTGATTGTGTCCACAAAATTCATATGTTGAAGCCCTTACACCCAGTGGGATGGTACGTGCAGGCGAGGGTTTTTAGGTGATTAGGCCATGAGGTGATTAGGCAGGAGGTGATTAGGCCATGAGGATGGGGCTCTCAAGAATGAGATTTGTGCCCTTAGAAGAGACATGAGACAGATGACCTCTCTCTGCTATGAGAGGAAACAATGAGAAAGCAGCTGTCTGTACACCAGAAAAAGAGCCCACACGAGAACCCAGCCATGCTGACAGCCCATTTTTGGACTATCAGCCTCCAGAATGATGAGAAATAAATGTTTGTTTTTAAGTCAATGAGTCTGTGGTATTTTGTTATAGCAGCCAATATTGACTAAGACAGGTGGGGCTGCATTTCCTTACTGTCTAAGTGCTAGGTGGGGCCATAGAGTCATGCAACGTTGACCACTGATTTGTGAACAAAAGTAATAACATGTCACTCATGCTGCAGGGCATTTAATCACTGTGGCATCCATAGTTCTTTTTTTCTTTCTACCATGATGACTAGCAATATTCCAGTTTCAGCTTCCTGGGTTTTCTGTGGTAACAGTGTGGTTGGGAATATTCAACTAATCAGTGATTGGTACATAGGTCAAGAAACCAGTGAACAAGAAAAACATCTTTGTGTGTGAAGCAACTAAGGTTTGCTGTGATATTTGCTACCAAACTAGGACTGAGAGATACACTAT
Organism: Homo sapiens; assembly: GCF_000001405.40. NCBI lineage: Eukaryota > Metazoa > Chordata > Mammalia > Primates > Hominidae > Homo > Homo sapiens. The sequence goes on along the minus strand of NC_000012.12, from coordinate 127,368,318 downwards.
CTCATAGGGTGAGGTAGAGTCAATGGATTAACACAAATAGTGAGCTTTAACAGTACCTACCACATGACAATTACTTAATTAATTGTAACTATTACAATTATGTCAGCTAACTAGGGCTCAGTCCTCATTTTTTATGGTGAGCCTGGCCTTTTTCATCATTGTTGGATGGAGCCCATGGAGAATAAAAACGATTTGCTCAGAGAAATTGTTGCTCAGAAAAATCCCCATTCCCAGACTAGGACATGGGTCCTGATCTGCAGTCTATGACCTGTTGATTGTGCCTGTACCAACCACAGTCAGTGGAAAGGGCTCTGAACAAAGGGCTGGGAGGCCCAAACTGTGTCACCTGAAGAGGTGCCCCTTAAACTGTCTGAGTTTTAGGGTCCTGAGCCGAGGTGTGCAGGGTTGAAGTAGGTGAGTTCTGAGGCCCAGGTATGCCCAGACTATGGTTTCTAAACTGTTCTGTGAGTTTCATGCAACCGATTCAGATTCTCTCATCAATAGACAGCAGCACTGCTTTCATCAGTTTTCTATGTTGTAGATATTTCTAAGATTTGGTTTTATTAAGGTTAAACCATTGTGTTCAATGTTTGATAGAAGTATGGTGTCATGGGAAGAGCATGTGTAAAGCCTGGAAAACACAGCTAAAATCCTAGCTGTGCTGCTTTTCAGCTATGCCTGCTCAGCTAAGACTTGTAATCACCCTGAGCTCCAAGTTATTCATCTCTAAAACCCAGTAAGTAAATTTATTTAGCAATCTATTTGAGACACTAAGTGTGATGCTGTTTTACGTAGAGTGCCCATAGAAGTCTTTCATGGAAGCATAAGATGCTATTTCAGCAAGGCCCAAAGGAAGTGCAAAAATGAATAAAACTATTATTTTGGAGACATCCATTCCAGGAATGGGAAACCACAATTAGCAAGACCTTGAAATGGATGCCTATTTGGTGTCTTAAAGAAACAGCAAGGAGCTCTGTGTGACCAGGGTAGCATGGAGAGCACACAGAGGGAAGATAGAGGAGGTGATGGGTATAAAGTGTTGACAGATCATGCACAGACAATGAAATGGGGATGATTATACACAGGCATCACAGAGTTCCAAGAATTCAATAACACAGTAAGTATTGAATACCTAGAAAGGCCCCTGTCTTCCAGAGAAGAATAGAATTAGAACAACGGCACTGAGTGAGCAAGACTCAGGTTTGAATTGATTGCTGTTATTGGTCAAATGGCTGCATGACTCAGTGACTATAAGCTTGGGCTTGACTTACAGGAGAGAGGCACTATCAAATGCTGAATAACTTCAAACTTCAGGGCTGTGCGGGCGCCATAATCACAAGGGGAGGAGGCTCAGTGTTGGCATATATAAGGTGCCACAGAGACTGCTGTATTGTGGCAAGGACCATGCATGTGGCTTGCTGCCCAAGGCGAGTTAATGATGGTATAAATGAAGTGACTCAAAGACTATTGCACTTTATACTGCGTCAGGAACTTGCACATGCACTTGCTGCCCATGAGTTAGGTAAGAGGAGCCTTATGGAAATTATTTGTAGTTTGTAGCTGGAATAAATCCTTTCATATCCACTGCAATGGTTGTAGCCATGAGAATCCATGAATCATTTAGAATACATCCTCAGAACATGGAAGATGGCCATAAAAGGTGAGCTTGCTTTTCCTTTCCCAATCATAACACATGGAATGATGTCCATTGCACTGGCCTGCTGATTATGAATTCTTCTGGTCATAACACTCTGATTTTCCTTTGGGAAACCATCTCTTCCTGGATCTTGGACCATGAGGTTTAGCTGGTGATGGTTCTAGTCAACTGGCATATACCATCTCTCTAGCCACCATGATTGGTTCACATCACTTGGCCTATGAGGGCCCAGTGATTATCAGTCCCAAGGCTATTGTCAGAACAACCGAGCTTCCAGCTGCCATCTTCCTGTGAAGGGATAACCTGCCTGAGAGGAAAACCCTCACTAAGGAAGCACGGGTGAAAGATGAAGAGAACAAATTCCCAGTCGATCTTTGACTCCTTAGATTCATCCATACTTAAAGCTATCTCTGGCATGTTCACTTACAAGAGCTTATGAATTACTATTTTTTGATTAGGACAATAAATGGATTTTTTTCTCTTGTGATCAAAAGAATCCTGATTTGTAATGGTTTCAGGACATTAGAAACAAGATTTTTTTAAAAAACAGTTTTATTGAGATATAATTTGCCTACAGTGAATTTCACCTTTCTTAGGTATACACTTCAATCAGCTTTACAAATGTTTACAGCTTTGTAACCACTACTTCCTAGAAGATAGACAATATTCCCATCATATCCCCCAAATCTCCCTATGATCTTTTGATGGAAATCCCTGTTCCCTAACTCCAGACACAGGCAAATGTGATTTGCTTTCTGACATTACAGTTTTGCCTTTTTCTAACATTTCATATATAAGAAATAAATGGAATCTTTATGTTTGTACTCTTTTGCATCTGACTTCTTTTACGTAATAATGTTTTTGACATACATCCATGTTGTTGTATCGGTAAATCCATTCTTTATTATTCTGTTCTATTGGAACATGTTATTATGCTATTCTCTGTTTCTTGTTAAAATGGGCTGTTAATTGTTATCTTGTTTCTTTCTATGTAATGTGTCTTAATACTTATTTTTTTTTTGGCTGAGTTCAGTATTTTCTCTTTCTCTTTGGTGCTTTGCAGATTGACTATGATGTACCTTGACGTGATTTGCTTGTGTTTAAACTACTTGAAGTTCGTTACACTTCTTAGACCTGTAAGTTAACATTTTTCTCCAAATTTAGTGAGTTTTGACTGTTATTTCTGTATTTCATTTTCCTTTCCTTGTCTCTTTCCCTCTTCTGGTCTTCACTTGGCCTCGGATGAATTACATGGATGTTGGGCCATTTGGTATTGTCTCAAAGATCCAAGAAGTCTTGCTAATTTATCTTTAATATTTTTCTATTTATTCTTAAGATTTAATTATTTTTCTTAAGGTGTATTCAACTTTACTAATACATATTTTTGACATCTCAATATGTTGGTGAGTCAATATAGCAAATTTTTCATTCTTGTTATTTTTCTTTTTTAACTCTAAAATTTATATTTTTGTAGTATACATTTCTCTGTTACAATTGCTTTCTCTCATAAATACCATATTTTCCTTTATTTCTTTGAATATGTTTTTTTCTTTAATTATTTGTATATATTTACAAAAGCTTCTGTAAATCCATGTCAGCATCTGGGATCAGGCAGGATCTTTTTCTATTCACTTCTACTTTCCGAATTATGGCCCACACTTTTCTGTCTTTTAAAATATCCCCTACTTTTTGATTGAAAAAAAGAACTTCGTAGACAACAAAATGTAGCAACTGTAGAATATGTTTTGTTTGTCTGTAGATTGTTAAATTTTAAATTTACTTTTGTTTTAGTTGACAGTTAACCTCCCTAGACTCAAACTATGAAATCTACGTCAATTTTTTGTGGTGCTTTCTCCCTGGATTTTTACCAGTCTTCCCTATGCCTCTGTATTTTATCATTTAAGCAATGCCTGGAGCAGAATTTGTATTATGATTTGATGCCCCCTCCCTTTATGTGATTTCCTGTTTTTCTTTTGTTCCCCCTAGATTTCAGTTTCTCTGAAAGTCTCAATTACTGTTCTCTAGATGGCATCATTAATTAAGACATAAAGTACTGATGACTGGTTACAATTATTATCATTGAAGATCTCCTTTAAACTTCCCATTAGGCAACAACAATAATTAGCCCCAAGGAATTTTCAAAAATAAAGCATTTAATACCAACTACATATATAAATATCACATCATCAAACAGATTTTTGACAACTGTTGTTACATATTGTTTATCACTGTAGAGATAAAGTATGCTTGTTGTGATAACCATAAAGTATATTGGAACAGCTGCCAAGCATGTTTAACTTTAATCTCTGTTATTAATTAAGACAAATGCTTCTCAATGACTCTACATCCCCAAAGGCTCAGAAAATCACTCTTCCTTTCACAACCTGTTATGTGAGTTGAGGAGCTTTTCATGAATGTGCTCATTCATTTTATCACTGGAAGGAAGTAGTTGCATTTGTTCCTGTTTTATTATGGAGAGAAAGTAGAAAAACATGCAAGTAGTCCCCATTTCAAAAGTGAGTTTCAGCTGTCCTCGTCCATAAGAATAAAGTACAAAGACGTTTAAAGTCTTTTAGATATAGTTAATTGCTCTATTATCTTGATCTAAAGACCCATGGGAAACACAAATATGAATGAATGTCTTAAGCACTTCCATAAGAGACAGCTTTTATTTTATTTTTTTCACTTCATATTTGACATGCTTTGTGATGTTGACTACTTATCTCCTGTTTTCATTTGCTCCCTTGAAAATTGAGTTTCTGCTAAAATGAATGATCATAACCATCCAGTACATCTTTTCAAATAGAACTGACTCATTGATAACAGATTTAGAACGTACAGAATAACAAAGATAAAATTAACACCATACATAGTGTTGCAAGGTATGACAGGAAATTTCGAATACAGATGTTCTTGAACTTTCTAGAAGAAGTAATTCTGCCAATTCTGTTTGCTGCCTGTCAGCTCCAACTCCACCCATCTGTCCTTGCTTTGTGTGGTCTTGGAGCTGGACCCTGTAAATATTTCTGTTCTGTTGATGCAACATTGGACTTTTCCAATGGGGGGTGCTAGAGAGACAGTGAAAGGGACAGCTGAGGAAGAGCTCTTCTTCCTGATTATAGTGTTTTCTTTATGTTCCTGTCGCATAGCTCCCAGCAGCCTGCAGAGGCCTGGTGGTGTTCACTGTTCAGTGAGTTTCACTGGCCCACCAGTGGGTAACTTGGCTCATTAGCTGGGAACCAGCTCTGGCCCAAGACACTCAGCACACTTCCCAACCAGGCAATGGGGTACAGCCACACCAGCTCAATAAGGTCTGAATTTCAGCTTGGGAGAAAGTACGCTTTATGTTTTTTACTTCTTGGGTACGTTCCTTTAGCCCTACAAGTAGTAGCTGCTCCTTCCATTTATTATTCCTGTTCAAAGAGTCTTCAAAAATTAGTGGAAAATGCATATTTATTGAAAAATTATGCATGGATTTCAAGCCATTTTTTGCATCAAAATAAATTCATACTGACTTTTTGTAGCACATCTGAGCAGGATTTAGTTTAAGGCAGCAAGAATTAAGAAGACATCAGTTTGAGAAAAAGCCTCTGTGAGTGCAATATGAATTCTGCAAACATTGAAGCAAAAACGTCAAATTTATGGTGAAACTTGGGTGTAAGAATGGTGAGATAATTGATGCTAAAAAATGTTTATGGGAATAATGCCTAAAGGAAATTAGCAGTTTACAAATGGTTAAATCATTTTAAGAATGAACAAAATGATATTGAAAATAAAGCCCACAATGGCAGACCATCTACATCAATTTGCAGGAAAAAAGTTCTTTTTGTTTGTGCCCTAATTGAAAAGGACTGAAGATTAACAGCACAAACAACAGCCAACACCATAGACATCTCAAGTGGTTCAGCTTACACAATTCTGGCTGATGATTACAGTTGAGCAAAGTTTCCAATCAGTGGAGTCCAATCAGTGGATGCCAAACTTTGCCCAGATCAGCCATAGAGTACAGCAAAGCTTTCATTCATTGGAAATTTTAAACAAGTGGGATCAAGATCCCGAAGAACTGCATTGAAGAATTGTGACAGGAGATGAAACATGGCTTTACTGGCGCTATCCTGAAGACAAAGCACGATTAAACCAATGGCCACCAAAAGGTGGAAGAGGTCCAGTCACAGCAAAAGTGGACTGATCAAGAGCAAAGGTCATGGCAATAGTTTTTTGGGATGCTGAAGGCATTTTGCTTGTTGACTTTCAGGAAGGCCAAAGAATGACATCTGCTTTTTATGAGAGTGTTTTAAGAAAGGTTGCCAAAGCTTTGGCAGAAAAACACCCAAGTAAGCTTCAATAGAGAGTCCTTCTCCGCCATCACAATGCAAAGCTCCTACTCATTCCTCTCATCGAACAAGGGCAATTGTGCAGTTCAGCATGGTGGCTCACATCTGGAATCCCAGCATGTTGGGAAACCTAGGTGGGAAGATTGCTTAAGCCCATGAAGTTTGAGACCAGCCTGAGCATCATCGTGAGATCCCGTCTCTATAAAATAATAATAATAATAATTCCTTAACTGGCTATGGTGGCGTGCATCCATAGTCCTAGCTACTTCAGAGGCCCAGGAGTTTGAGGCTGCAATGAGCTATGATTGTGCCACTGCACTCAAAACTGGGCGACAGAGGGAGACCCTGTCTCAAAAAAAGAAAAAAATAATAATCAAAACAAAAAAATAAGGAAAAATGGCAATTTTGCCAGTGTTTCCATGGGAAATCATTAGGCATCTACCTTACAGTCCTGATTTGGCTTCTTCTGACTTCTTGTTTGCTAAAATTAAAAAAAAAATCTATATTTAAAGGAACCTATTTACCTGTTTTTCTCCAGTTCATAATTTGAAAAGACTGCATTGACATGGTAACATTTCCAGGACCCTCAGTTCTACAGGGATGGACTAAATATCTGGCATCATCACTCACAGAAGTGTCTTCAACTTGACGGACTTCATGCTCACAAACACAGTTTATATTTTTTACTTTTATCTTTTAATTTCGTTTTTCCACAAACTTTTTGAAGTCCCCTTATATTCTGAAAAGTTTTCATCCCTTTCAATAGATAATTGTTATATTAAAAGCTTAATGTTCAAACTAGTGATGTAGTGTCTGTGTCCTGACTGGAGCCCGATTGTTACGAACACGTATGAACACATTCCGCAAATATATGCATTTTCCCACTATGAATTCTTATTTATCTGTTGTATTTAAACATATTTCCCAAGGCCATTTGTAAGTTACATTTTTGATGAATCGAAGAATGATCTTTTTAAAGCTGGACTTAAGTAATGTAAATACTTGAAAAACATTCCATGATTTAGACTGATGGTTTTCATACTTTAGTGGGATTCAGAAACATCTGGGAACGTCATTTAAAATGTGGACTCCAGGGCTTCCCTCCCAGACTGATCTGGGGCAGTGGGAGTGAACAGAAGCCAGCATTTTAAAAAATATTTCAAGTGATTATGACATAAGTTGTCACTGGACCTCAGGCTGATGTTACTGTGAAGTCAAGTGACAACTTATGTCAGAATCACTTGAAATACTCTCGACAAGTCATTCAGGTTCTTGGCATTTTGAATAAACAATTGCACAAAATGCACAAACAAAGCAATAAAAGAATGAAGCACTGAAAGCAGAGATTTACTGGAAAGTACAAAAGCAGAGATTTACCCTCTGGAGTGGGCGCAGGCTCAAGAGTCCTGGTTACAGAATTTTCTGGGGTTTAAATACCCTCTGGAAGTTTCCACTGGTTAATTGGTTACACCCTATGTAAATGAAGGAGTGGCCTGGGACCAGTCTGATTGGTCGCAGTAGGGGACCAGTCTGATTGGTCGCAGTAGGTGACCAATCAGAGGCTGAAGTGAAGTTACAAAGTTGAACCCCTATGCAAATGAAGACTAGGCCTGTGACCAGTATGATTGGTTGTGGGAGGGGACCGACCAATCAGAGGTACTTTCCATTTCTCATCTGCAACACAGAAAGCGGGGTTGGGTTGCAAAGGGAGTAGCCTCCGATCCTTTTGTTACTTGGGCATAGAAAGCTGGGGTTTTCCTTTTGATTCAGTTCTAGGAAGTCAGCATAAATTGGCCTTAGGTTCCCTGCCTCCAAATCCTATTCTCCTGCTTCACTGAGATATAATTAAAATTTGGATTATTAAATGACCTTCCTGCATAAATGTTTGTATTTCCCCATAATCCCTACAGTTGCCCTGTTAGGTGTCTTAGGCTCGTTTCACTGCTCTGTTGCTCAGAACAGTATCTCCTAGGCAGATGGGGTTGAGACAGAAACCTATCCCAGGATTTTTAATTCCAGATCCAATTTCTTTCTCCCACTAAACAACACTGCTTTGCTACGGTATACCAAAACCACCTCTCTCTTCCATACAAATGACACAAATGAACTCTGTCAGGGAAACAATTCTAGTTTTGTTTTTTGCTGATTGTGAAAGTGACTAATGTTTTTGTTAAATGTGGAAAATTACAAAGAATAAAATTTTAAAATATCTATTTTCCCACTGCCTTGAGATAATCACAATTAACTTTTGACGAATTTATTTCTAGTTTCTTCTCTGCATCTATCTTTTTCTCAAGAAGATGAAAGCATATTTACTATGGTTACCATTCTTAGCATGCTGCCTTTTTAAAGTATACAGCTGTATTGGTATATTATTGTATAATAAAATACCCTTAAGTTCAGTGGTTTAAAAGAGCAGTCATTTTTTTTTTTTTTTGATGAATCTTTCCTACAGATGATCCAGGTGAGTTCATCCTGGGGACTCAGCTGGGGTGGCTCGTGCCACATGTCTCATGTCCTTCTCCTGGGACAGCAGTTCAGCCTGTGTGTCTCTCTCAGGATGATGACAGAAGCACACGAGGGCCAACAGAAATACATGAGACTCCTACAGGTAAGGTTCAGGACAGCCTGACTGCTTTCAGTGCTTCATTCTTTTATTGCTTTGTTTGTGCATTTTGTGCAGTTGTTTATTCAAAATGCCAAGAACCTGAATGACTTGTCGAGAGTATTTCAAGTGATTCTGACATAAGTTGTCACTTGACTTCACAGTAACATCAGCCTGAGGTCCAGTGACAACTTATGTCATAATCACTTGAAATACTTTTTAAATGTTGGCTTCTGTTCACTCCCACTGCCCCAGATCAGTCTGGGAGGGAAGCCCTGGAGTCCACATTTTAAATGAAATTCCCAGGTGTTTCTGAATTCCACTAAAGTATGAAAACCATCAGTCTAAATCATGGAATGTTTTTCAAGTATTTACATTACTTAAGTCCAGCTTTAAAAAGATCATTCTTCGATTCATCAAAAATGTAACTTACAAATGGCCTTGGGAAATATGTTTAAATACAACAGATAAATAAGAATTCATAGTGGGAAAATGCATATATTTGCGGAATGTGTAGGTAGCTCCTCTACCTACCTGTCATGGGCCAAAGCAAGTCACTTTGGAAATTTTAAGTTTCCAAGCAAATCAACAGGGTTGAGCCAAAAGTCAGAGGGGTGGAAAGTATATCCAGCCCTGAGGAGACCAGGGCTCATTGGTGTATGCTGAGATGGAAGAACTGAGGCCATTTCAGTCTGTTGTAACAATATATTGCAAGCTTTTCTCTCGTGTTACTAATACCTTTCTAAATATGATTTTAATGACATATTATATCTCACCATTCAGCTGAGACATGCATCATTTGGCTAATCCTTCTATTGTTGGGTATTTAGAATATTTCTTTATTTATATCATTAACAATGCTGCAGTGAATATCATTTTACATATTTTTGTTCATGTCTCCAGCTATTTCCTTAGGGTGATTTATTCATATGAATTACTGGATCACTTTGCATAAGCAATGTTAAGACAGTTGCTAAATATTGACAAAGTTTTCTGGAGCAAGACTGTGTTAATTGACTTTGAAATTGATAGTATAGGAAATGTTCCTTTCACTATACCCTCCCTGACATAGGATATTACTTTATAAAAAATAAGTCTTTACCAGCTCAATAGTTAAACATGGTATTCCATTTTAATGTTCATTGGCTTTAGTTCTGAAGATCTGAGTGTGCTTAGCCATATGTATAAAAATCACCTGCGTGGTAGCTCATGTCTGTAATCCCAGCAGTTTGGGACGCCGAGGCGAGTGGATCACCTGAGGTCGGGAATTCGAGACCAGCCTGACCAACATGGAGAAACCCGGTCTGTACTAAAAATACAAAAAATTAGCCTGGCGTGGTGGCGCATGCCTGTAATCTCAGCTACTAGGGGGGCTGAGGCAGGAGAGTCGCTTGAATCTGGGAGGTGGAGGTTGCGGTGAGCTGACATCATGCCATTGCACTCCAGCCTGGGCAACAAGAACGAAACTCCATCTGAAAAAAAAAAAAAAAAAAAAGAATTACCTGGAGCTTCAGTATCCAGTCTGCATAGTTAACAATATTGTTCACTCATTTGTTCATTCATTCAACACCTATCAATGGGGCACCTCATCTATTCTAGGAACTGGGGATATAGAAAAGAAAAAAATTAACAGAAATCCCTGGCTCTGTATAGAAAGAAAGTAGACCCAATCTATAAATATATAGACTGTTAGACAAGTTGCTAAGGAGTAAAATAAAGCAGAGAAACACAAAATAATATTTTGATATGTAAAGATTCATTTTTCAGGGAAGTTGCCCTGAGAAAGTCAACTAAAAATGTAAGGAAATGGTTAAAGAAATCCTGCCAACACCTGGAGAAAGAGCAGTTCAGTAGACAGTGTGACATGTGCCAAGGTCCTGAGGCAGGAACGTGTCTGGTGTGTTAAAGGAACACCAGGGAGAACAGTGAGACCAAGGGGAGAAGGAGGAGATAAGTCTGAGAGTAGGAGAGACAGGGAGAGACTGTGTTGAACATTATAGACTCCACTTCTATAAACGCTTTGACTGTGTGTGTGACATGGGTTGAGAAGAAGAGGCTGATAGACGTTTTAACAGGATTACTTTGCTGTCAAGCAAAGGCCGACAAGTAATAAGGGCAAAAGCTAGGGATACTAGGGAGTGCACTGCAGTGATTGAGGCAAAGATGACAAGGGCTTGAGTCAGGGAGGAAGCTCTGGAGGTAGAGGTGGTGAGAAGTGTTCAGATTCTTAATTCATGAAGGTAGAGATGAGATTTGTTGATGGATATCATCTTAGGTGTAAAAAAAATGAGAAATCAAGATTCTTTTTTCTTTTACAAACAGAAAATATAGAGCTGCAATCAATGGAGACCAGAAATTTTACAGGAGAATTGATTCTGGGAGGGTTGGAGGAACATTCATCTTTGGCAGAGGCCAGAAAACTAAAGCCCATGGACCAAGTCTGGTCCACAATGTTTCTGTAAATAAAGTTTTATTGGACTGATATGGTGTGGCTCTGCATTCCCGCTGAAATCTCATCTCAAATTGTAATCCCCACGTGTTGAGGGAGGGAGGTGACTGGATCATGGGGGTGGCTTCCCCCATGCTGTTCTCATGAGAGTGAGTGAGTTCTCATGAGATCTGATGGTTTTGTAAGTGTTTGACAGTTCCTCCTTCACTCACTCCTCTCCTCTTGCAGCCTTGTGAAGAAGGTGCCTGCTTCCTCTTTGCCGTCTGCCTTGATTGTAAGCTTCCTGAGGCCTCCGCAGTCAGGTAGAACTGTGAGTGGTTTTTTTTGTTTTTTTTTTTTTTGAGACGGAGTCTTGCTCTGTCGCCCAGGCTGGAGTGCAGTGGCGTGATCTCGGCTCACTGCAAGCTCCACCCCCCAGGTTCACACCATTCTCCTGCCTCAGCCTCCCGAGTAGCTGGGACTACAGGCGCAAGCCGCCACGCCAAGCTAATTTTTTGTATTTTTAGTAGAGACGGGTTTCACCGTGTTAGCCAGGATGGTCTCGATTTCCTGACCTTGTGATCCGCCGGCCTCGCCTCCCAAAGTGCTGGGATTACAGGCGTGAGCCACTGTGCCCGGCCAGAACTGTGAGTCTATTAAACCTCTTTCCTTTATCATGACTCTGTCTCAGGTAATATTCTTTATAGCAGTGTGAAAACGGACTAATACGTGGACCACAGCCATGTCTCTTTTTTTATGTATTGCCTATGGCTGCTTTCAGCTACAACAGAATTTAGTATTTGCAACAGAGATTCTATGGCTTGTCAAGATATTTACTAAATAGAATAGGCACTATTGGTTCCTTTTAAACTCCTGACCTACAGTACTGACAATTATTCAATGAACTGCATTACTTAAAATTTAAAAATGGGGTCATTTATGAAATTCAAAAGTATCCTATGTGTAAAAATGTGGAAATAATGTTGGATGTTGCATTGTGGAAGCATTTTTTTTTCAGGAAAAATTTGGATTTTGAAAATCATATTCAAACCTGCGTGTCTATATAAGACTTTTTAAATGAATGGCCACAGTTCAGTTTGTGACTGTAAAGTCTGTGTCTTCAAATGAGAGAAAAGCTATTTCTGTCAAGAACGACAAATGGTTCCTTTGCCTTTCTATGGGCCTCCAGGTTCCTCTGTAAGAAGTAAACTTCCAATTTTCTCTTCAGTTCCTTGCAGTAATAGAGGCTGTCACTTTGTATTATATATTAATACCAAAGATCATTTAAAACTTCACCTCATAAAATAACCTGTGTAATTTTCTCCTCAGGTAAAAATGAGAAAAAAAAATAATGACCACTATATTAGATAATGGCACCTTATTGCCTGTAACTGACTCTAAACTCCTGGTGAAAATGCAGATGAAGAAAGTCACCTGCTTGTGTTTTTCTCCTGGACTAATGCAGAGTATTGGATCCCTAGAGGCTCACGGGTCACCGTGAATGACTGCACATTTTCTCAGGAGAGATGAAGAGCGGGGTGCCCTATGGTCTGAGCTTTGGGGAGGGCAGGGGTGGAGCTGCCTTAGCCTCGCTCCGTGTCTAATCACGTCATGGGGGCAGCATAGTTTGGAGCCGTGATCTAGACAAAGCACAGTTCTGACCCCAGAGAGTCATTGTATGATGCAATCCCATCCTAGGAAAACCAAAAGTCGCCTTGCAAAAGCCACCTCATCATACTCCCTGGATCCCCCCCATGCCTTCCCTCACCAGAAGGGGCTTCCTCCCTTTGCTCAGCTCACTTTTCCCAGAATGTCACTGTTGTATTTCCCTAAAAGATTTGTGGCATCTGCTTTTTGGATGATGGGTTAACCTCACGATGTGGATGAACTTCTAGCTAGTAGCTACTTGGTGTGATTTTACTTGAAATCCATTTTACAGTTTTAGAATGTAAAATGTCTCAGTAGATAAAGCCACATAGGGATGGCCTGGGGAATCATGAGCACATTCCTCCAGTAGAGGTCAGTGGAGGGGCACAGGGCCATCCAGCTTGGCTGCAGTAGGATCAGGTTCTGTCCCAATTGAGTGTCCGCCCAGCCTAAGCATGTCTGAACACACTCAGGACTGCTGAGTAAGGTTGTGCAGGTTGTGCACTGCCCATGGACATGTTTAAGGCAATGTAATTCACATCCTAGACATTGTAGATGTATGAATTTAGTAGGACAGCTGTACAAAAGATGGCAAGAAAGTGTCTTGTTCTACCCAAATTGATATATAAGGACAATTTTGTCAGGGATGGAAAAGGCACTATTTTCTAATTTGCATAGGCTCTTTAGGGACTATCTCTATGTCATTGGGGCACAGGATCTGAAAAGCCAAAGCTTCCGAGTCCCTAAAGAGCCAAAGCTCCCAAGTCCCTAAAGAGTGCAGCTTTTCTGCACTGAATACCCTTTAGGGAATGTACTATTTCCTGCAGTGGCCCAGAACAGTCATTCATTCAACAACATTTAATGAATGTTAAATGAGCATCTAGTAGACGCCAGTCCCAAGGCTGGGCTGCAGGATGGAATGGAGAGCAAAAGGAACAAAGAGCCCCGTCCCTATGATCCAACAGAAGGCTGACACGAAGCAACCAAGAACACACTTGACGATGTGAGTGCAATTCTGTCTACTGTGGTAGTGCGGTCACTACCAGGCCAGTCTCGGGTGTTATGAGAGCAGAGAGTGGGTGTATGGGCAGGTCTGCTGGGGCTCCGGGGAAGCTCTGAACATTGAGAGGAACACTGCATCAGAGGTTGGATAGTTCAGGTCCGGTGGAGTCTTACAAGGAAAGCCGTGAAGGCTGAGGGTGTCCCCAGGTTGAGAAGAATCATCCCAGAAGGTACTACGAGTTCACACAGTGAACAAGCCCAGTGTTAAATAAAACTGAAGCATGTAGAGAGAAAACTTTAATTGTCTTTCAACCTTTATGATTGGTAAAGAACAGACACTCCTTTGGATTGTACTGTGTATTTAATAATTCTAACATTTTCCAGTATCCCTTTTTAGCAGACATATAGTAGCCTTTTGACCCAACAGTGGAAGTGAGAAACCCATCACTTTCCTAAAATTAAGGCAATGGCGCTGGTTGCACCCCCACTTCCCTCCACCTCCACCAACACACACAAAGCAGGAAGGAATAACAAGATTTACTACATAACAAAGTTTTCAGAGGAGATCAGGGCAGGCTTACAAGCAGCTGCATAAATGTTTTGGGAGCACAGAAATAGATGGCCAGCTTGGGTTATATGCTGGTTAGGATGGGGCTTCCTTGTGTTGCCAGGACATACGTGGTTCAAACTTCATGCCAGCACCACGAGAAGCAGTGCACAGACTTTTTTGCTTGTGGGTTCTGATGTGGGGCAAGGCAGGGAAAGGAAAGAGTGAGGACTGACAGCTTGATAAAAGATTCAGGCTCTTTTGACGTTAGTAGTAGTTTAGTGAAAACAAGGATACTCTGGCGGGCCCACTTAACCACCCAGAAAATGATATCTGCTCTTCCGTGAATATGTGGGCTTTCTAAATCCTGACAGTTCATTAAGGTCTGGAACCAAAGAATATAGGTTGGTCACTGTTGTGGCTTCTCAGGACCAAGAATGGCCCAGAGCCTGGAACTGCCCATTTATGAGGAAGCCACCAGCAGTCCTGGCTTTGAAATTCATTTCCCTAAGCACAGGGAGCAGGGGATAGCTGGATTAGAGAATGATGCCCTCATCAACAGTGTCAGATGATGCACATGAAAGACCCGTGCAGGCCCTCCCCAGTTGTGGATGAGGCCACTCGTTCTGGGTCCTAAATAGCACTGTAGAACAGTGGATGATGGTGCTTACCCAGGGCAGTTTGGAATATGCAATTGCTGGCTGCAAGGCAAGAGGGTCCTGAGAAGCTTGGGACTATCTCTGTGTCATTAGGGCACAGGATGTGAAAAGCCAAAGCTACCTAGTGCCCCTCTCATGCAAAGGTCCTTAGGAAGCTTGTGGGTTACCTGCCAAGATGGAGCTCAGTTTAGAGAGTACTACTAACTTCTCAAGTACAGGCCAGGGCTGCCTACTGCTGCAGAGACATGGTGGGTGAACAGGAACCATTTAACATAAGTGGGTCCCTATATATTTTACCAGGACTAAGACCTCTTCCTCTGAGGAAGAGGCAAAGTAGTATTATTACTTATAATAACTATTACCACTTGTTGAAAATGTACTCGAGGCCAGTAACTCTGTTAAGCAGTTCATTAGTTCATGAATTCAAACTTTCAACTAATCTTTGCTATGCATCTACTACATGCCAGACACTAAGTACTGGGCATACAGTGGTGAACGGGAGGAGGGAGGAAGGGAGCTGGCCCTAGCCCCACAAAGCTGACATTCTAGTGGAGGAGACAGACAATCATGCAGAAAAATCGATGTGATTTAAGTCTGGCAATGAGATGGGGACAGACGTCATGAAAAAAAGGAGGTAAGGGAGTAGAGAGATGGCTGGGTGTGGGTGGGCTGAAGGACTCTAGAGAAAGGATCTGGGAAGACCTGTCAGAGGAAGTGGTGTTGGTGCTGAAACCTGCACAAAAGAGGGACGAGGCATGCCGAGATCTGAGGGTAGAGGGTGCCAGGTAGAGGGAACTGCAAATGTAAAGGCTCAGAAGGACAAGGATAGTGTGTCTGAGTTTACGTAGACTCTGGCATTCCATCCTGACACTACTGTAAGAATATAAGCCCTATTTTCAAGTAATAAAATGGCATCTCACACAAGGTCACCTGGTTAGTGGTAGGCCCAGAATTCTAGGTCAAGAATGATCCTAAAGTTTGTTCCCTTTGCTGCAGTGCTGTAGCGCAGGTGCAGTGTTGGGAAACAGTACGTCTTACTTTTTATTAAGAGAAATAATAATAATTCCCCAACAGAAATATTTACCTAGAATAGAGAAGATGCAGGTTCTTGCCCTGGGAAGATTTTGTAATCTTGAACCGGCCAGACGCCCTCCTGGCCTCAGCTTCCTCCTCTGTGTGATGGGGATGCTGGGACCTTCCCTGCTGACCTCCCTGGGATGCTGTGACCCTCTTGACATAAAGGTGGTGTGAACGGCGTGGTGGCTGTGGAAGCTGAGTCCTATTACTTTCAGGGTAGGGAGGAGAGTGGCAGGTGTGGTTAGGAGAGGAAATTGCTGGAGTCAGTTATGTAGACTGGGGCTCCCGCTATGCCACGCACAGGAAGGCTGGCTTTGTCTCCGATGGAGACACACGTCCTGAATGACGGCTCCACATTAAATGAGGCGGTAGCTGAATTCAGCCCGTCCTTGTTCCCGAGTCCACCTGAAAATTAGATGACACAGGAACCTGTAGGCGGCTCCACGTGTGAGAAAGAACCCAGTTGAAAGGACTGGGAGCCCATGGCTCTAAGTTTGAACCTGGCACTGCCAGCCTCTCTGGGCTCCCGCTTCTTGATGTGAGGAAGTCACTCCCAAGTCAGAGGCCGCTGCCAGCGTCAGACCTGGGGCTTACCGAGGACCTGGGGTCAGGGACGCTGTGCTTTCCCAGCTACAGGAAGCCCCATCTGATTGGTCCAGCTGTGGTCATGTGCCAGACCATGAACCAATCACTGGGGCCCAAGGAATGCCAGGTGCTGATTGGCTGCTGGCTTGGGTCTCCAACTGCATCTCAGGAGCTGGGGATGGGGTCAGCTCCACCTGGAAGTAGTCAGAGCCGGGTCAGGGGTCAAGTTCCCTGGACAGAAGAGAGAGCAGATTTAGGGCCAGTGTTTATCTGACCTTAGGTGTCTGAGCATAGCCAGTGTTCATCTTCCTTGAAATTTTTAATAAGTCACTCTTTCCTCTCTCTGTTTGGGATTCTGACCATTCAAAAATAATTTCAAAAATTTATCAAAACAAATAAATGTTGAAATTACATCAGCTCTGGACATCAGTGAGAAAGAACCCTGAACGTTACCGTCTAAATCACTGAGTACAGTAACTCTCTAACCTTCAGTCATGCTTCTTCTGCCTCCTGATATCGAAAGCAACTCCTTAAATTCAAGTATCAAGTAAGAGGATGGGTTTTTCCCCCTACTGGTAATAGTATTAGCTCAAATCAAAAGTCCACACTGCTCAATGGGTGCCCCCTTGCACAGGAAGTTACCTGAGAAGAAATCACTTAGCTGCATTTGGGTTCCTGCTCCCATGTCGGCATAAATATTCTCATTTTCATTCTGTCCCAGCAGCTGGCAGAGTCACCATCCATCCCAACATCGTGGATGGCCTGGCAGGGTGTTATAAATTGCTGTCTCGGACCATCAATCCCTTTCCACCCTACTTTTTAGCCAATGGCACATCCCAGAGAAGTGCCTTTGACAGCATTGGATTGGAGAGAAGTACTTGTTGGAACAGCAAAGTTAACACTCTCATTTCCCATGAAAACGGGCTAATATTATTTTCTGGACTAACTTTTCAAAGGCACAAATGAAAGCTGATATGGTTTGGCTGTGTCGCCACCCATATCTCAACTTGAATCCCCACGTGTTATGGCAGGGACCCAGTGGGAGGCAATTGTCTCATGGCGGCAAGTCTTTCCTGTGCTGTTCTCCTGATAGTGAGTAAGTCTCATGAGATCTGATGGTTCTAAAAAGAGGAGTTCCTCTGCACAAGCTCTTTTTGCCTCTTGCCATCCATGTAAAATGTGACTTGCTTCTCCTTGCCTTCTGCCATGATTGTGAGGCCTCCCCAGCTGCGTGAACCTGTGAGTCCAATTAAACTTCTTTCTTTTGTAAATTACCCAGTCTCTGATATGTCTTTATCAGCAGCGTGAAATGGACTAATGCAAAAGCTCTGAGTCCTCCTAAGATTTATAGGCTAATAAGTACTATGATTCAGGAAAGGAAATGAGAGTTGTATTAATTTTCATTGCCCTAAAAATCCTCTATGCTCATCCTCTTCATCCCTTCCTTTTTGAAACCCCTGGCAACCACTGATCTCTTTACTGTCTCCATAGTTTTGCCTTTTCCAGAACATCATATATTTGGAACTGTATGTTATGTAGCTTTTCCAGGCTAGCTTCTTTCACTTAGTAATATGCATCGTTTCGTCCATACTTGGAGACATGGCTTCACAGTTCATTTCCTTTTAGTGCTCATTATCATTGTCCGGATATACCAGTTTATTTGTCCCTTCACCTACCAAAGGACACCTTGATTGCTTCCAAGTTTGGGCAATTATGAATTAAGCTGCCATAAACATCCCTGTAGGTTTTTCTGTGACGTACATTTTCAACTCCTTTGGGTAAATGCCAAGAGGCACAACTGCTGGGTTATATGATAAGAAAATGTTTAGCTTTGTAAGAAACCACAAAACTCTCTTCCAAAGTGGCTGTACCATTTTCATTCCCACTAGCAATAAATGAGAGTTCCTATTGCCCCACATCCTCACCAGTATTTGGTGTTGCCAGTGTTTTGGATTTTTGCTATTCTAATAGGTGTGAAGTGGTATCTAATTGTTGCTTTTGCTTTCATTTCCCTGATGACATGTGATGTGGAAAATCTTTTCATGTGCTTATTTGACATAAGTATATCCTCTCTGGTGAGGTGTCTTTTAAGATATTGGGCCCATTTTCTAATTGGGTTGTTTTCTTATCCTTGAGTTTTAATAGTTCTTTGTATAATTTGTGCAATAATATTTTTTCATACAGGCATTTTGCAAATATTCTCTCCCAG
Source organism: Homo sapiens (assembly GCF_000001405.40). Classification (NCBI taxonomy): domain Eukaryota; kingdom Metazoa; phylum Chordata; class Mammalia; order Primates; family Hominidae; genus Homo; species Homo sapiens. The sequence continues at coordinate 127,349,568 of NC_000012.12, read as the reverse complement.
TCTGTGGCTTATTATTTTATTCCCGTAACAGTGTCTTTCACAGAACAGATTTTTAAAAAAAATTTAATAAAGTCTATTTTATTAACTTTTTCTTTCTTGGATCATTCCTTTGGTGTTATATATAAAAAGTCATAGGCAAACCCAACATTATGTTGATTTTCTTCTGTGTTACCTTCTAGGAACTTTATACGTTTGGATTTTATATTTAGGTCTGTGATTCATCTTGAGTTAATTTTAAAAAGGGTGTAAAGTCTGTGTCTGGATTCATTTTTTGCATGTGGATGCTCAGTTGTTCGAGCAACTTTTATTGAAAAGACTATCATTTTTAATGGTATTTCCTTTGCTTGTTTGTCATAGATCAGTTGACTATATTGATGTGTATCCATTTATTGGGTATCTGATCTGTTCTATTGATCTATTTGTCTATTATTTTGCCAATACCACACTATCTTGATTACTGTAGCTTTATATTAACCCTTGAGGTCAAGTATTGTCAGTTCTCCAACTTTATTCTTTTCCTTCAATATTGTGTTAACTATTTTGGGTCTTTTGCCTCTCCATGTAAACTTTAGCATCAATTTGTGGATATCCTCAAAATAACTTGCTGGCATTTTGATTGGGATTACATTAAATCTACAAATCAAGTTGAGAAGAACTGACATCCTGACAATACTGAATCTTTCTGTACATGAACATGAAATATCTCTCCATTGATGTAGTTCTTTTTTTCATCAAAATTTTGCAGTTTTCCTCATAAAGATCTCATACATATCTTGTTAGATTTGTACCCAAGTATTACATTTTTTGGGGTGCTAATGCAAATAGTATTATGTTTTTAATTTCACATTCCACCTGTTCACTGCTGGTTTGTAGGAAACTTACTGAAACTTGTATATTAACCTTATATCCTGCAACGTTATTATAATTGCCTATTAGTTCCAGTATTCTTTTTTGTTCACTTTTGGTTGATTCTTTCAGATTTTCTACATAGATAATTGTGTCATCTGTAAACAAAGTTTAACTTCTTCCTTCCCAATCTGATTTCCTTTATTTCATTTTCTTTTCGTACTGTGCTAGCTAGAAATTCCAGTATGAAACTGAAAAGCAGTGGTGAGGGTGTGCATCCTTGCCTTGTTCCTGATCTTAGGGGGAAAGCTTCTGGTTTCTCACTATTAAGTATAATGTTAGCTATAGGTTTTATGTATATATTCTTTATTGAGTTGAGGAAATCCCCCTCTATTCCTAGTATACCAACAGTATTTTTGTGTTTGTATGCAAATTATGAACGAGTGTTGAATTTTTTCATATGCCTTTTCTGCATCTGTTGCTATAAGCATGTGATATTTTTTCTTTTTTAACCTATTGTAATGTATTACATTAATTGATTTTTTAATGTTGAACCAGACAAGCATACCTAGGATTAATTCCCCTTGGCTGTGATGTATAATTCTTTTTATACTTTGTGGATTTGGTTAACATTTTGTTGAGGACTTTTGCATCTATGTTTATGAGACAGATTAGCCCCCTGAGTCTGTGGCCAACAGAAAATCTCGGTGGATATGACATTGTAGCAAATCCCTGAGGTGCTCCTCGTTTGGGGGGTTGCTCTTCCCAGTGTCCTGTCATTATGAAGAGGAGCCTCAGTAATGGGCCGGAGCTACCTCAGCTTCAGCTGAACAATCACAGAACACACCCATCAATAGGCTTTGACTGCACCTGCATTCCTTTCATGAAGCCAAAGGCTATTCAATTTTTTCAGAGCACCGAGGTCTCTGACTTGTGAGATGTCAAGACCTTTCTCTCCATTTCTTTGTTCTTGTTTGCTTGCTACCTCTGATTTTCCACCTGCCATTTTCAGCCTGGCTGCCTCCCTGTCGCTGCCTGCGTAGCTCTCTGACTTTCTCCATTTCCTTCTCACTAAGTGTCTCTATCCTTATGCTTTTCCTCAGTTTATTTCCCAGCTGTTCTCTCTCTCTCTTTCTCTCTCTCTCTCTCTCTGATTGTCCATTTCTGAATCATTTAAGCTTATATGGTCTCTTTATACGGATATCTGCTTTCTCTCTCTCACCCCTTCTCCTTCCCTATTGTGGGAAGTCAGGGACCCCGAATGGAGGGACTGGCTGGAGCCGCAGCAGAGGAACATAAATTGTGAAGATTCCATGGACATTTACCACTTCCCAAATAATACTCTTATAATTTCTTACGCCTGTCCTACTTTAATTTCTTAATCCTGTTATCTGCATAAGCTGAAGATGTATGTCACCTCAGGACCACTATAATTGTGTTAACTGTACAAATTGATTGTAAAACATGTGTGTTTGAACAATATGAAATCAGTGCACCTTGAAAAAGAACAGAATAACAGCGATTTTTAGAGAACAAGGGAAGGCAACCATAAGGTCTGACTGCCTGTGGGGTCAGGCAAAAAGAGCCATATTTTTCTTCTTGCAGAGAGCCTATAAATGGACGTGCAAGTAGGGAAGATATTGCTAAATTCTTTTCCTAGCAAGGAAAATTAATATTAATACTCTGGGAAAGGAATGCACTCCTGGAGGGAGGTCTATAAACGGCCGCTCTGGGTGTGTCTGTCTTATGCGGTTGAGATAAGGACTGAGATACGCCCTGGTCTCCTGTAGTACCCTCAGCCTTATTAGGATTGGGAAACTCCATCCTGGTAAATTTTTGGTCAGACCGGTTCTCTGCTCTCGAACCCTGTTTTTTGTTAAGATGTTTATCAAGACAATATGTGCACCACTGAACATAGACCCTTATCAGGAGTCTGCCTTTGCCCTTTGTCCTATTTCCTCAGAAGCATGTGATCTTGATCTTTGTTCTGCTTTTTGCCCTTTGACGCATGTGATCTTTGTGACATACTCTCTGTTTGTACACCCTCTCCCCTTTTGAAATCCTTAATAAAAACCTGCTGGTTTTGAGGCTCGGATGGGCATCATGGTCCTACCGATATGCAATGTCACCCCCGGTGGCCCAGCTGCAAAATTCCTCTCTTTGTACTCTTTCTCTTTATTTCTCAGCTGGCTGACACTTATGGAAAATAGAAAGAACCTACGTTGAAATATTGGGGGTGGGTTCCCCGATACCTTCCTCCTTCTTCATCTGTTTTTCTGCTTTGGTTTTCCTTCCATCTTGCTCTGCTCTGCCTCTCTCCGTCTCCATCTATCCATCCATCCATTCATCTGTCCATCCATGGGGCCTGACCAAAGGACTGGGAGGCAGCCGGAGCCTACAGCTAAGACTCTCACTGCTCACTGCAGTCACCAAGGCACCAGCCAATTCACAGCAAAACCCCACAAAAGAGTTTATTCATGTTTAAATAAGGCATTAACGTGGACTTGAGTTTCAATAGTTCTATGCTTTTCCTCTGGAGTATTTCTCTCAATGTGGCCATCTAATCAGGTTTAGGTTTTAAATTTATTGAACAGCTGTCATTTGCTTGCTGGTTCTGTGGCAACTTGAAGCTTTATTAAATTTTAATTTAGCCATATAAGTAAACTTATTTAAGGTAACAAAATAACAGTTGTAGTTAAGCAGAGCTTTGCTGAAGTGGTCATTGTAAAGCACAAAGAAGGAGTTAGAGAAAACGCTTTTATAATTGTGATTTACTGTCAGGGCTTGGACATGTAAATCAACAGGGTCACCAGAATCAGGAGAAGCAAAGGGCACAAGAATGCAGAGAACACAGGCCAAAATGTAATCTCTTATGTTCATCCCCCAACCCCCAACACACATACACACAATCTTCACTGAAACAGAGGGCAGGCTGATTTCAAAACCAGGCGTTCTCATTCCCAGAGCCCATACATGTGCCCTGTCTACTGCTCTGCTTTTCACACACCAGATATCATCCTGGGTTTTCAGCACAGAGATGTCTCATGCCCTTGTGGAGTGTAGAGTCTATTGTGTCTAAATGGTAAATATCATAAACATAAAAGTTATTATATAATTATAATTTTGGTAACAACCATGCAGGGAAATACCTTGAAACCTAGTAATAAGAGTGTCTTAACTCACACCAAGAGCAGACAGACACGTCCTTTTCCTGAGCAGTGGACATACATGCAGAGATCTGAAGGATGAAAGCACAGCCAGGTGTGTTTAGGTGGAGGGCTCTGCATTTGAAGGCTCAGAAGACAGAATTTAGATTGTGCTGTTGGAAGAACTAAGAAGACTGCAGTGATGGACAGAGAGAAGGGAGCAAGACAGAGCTAGAGAGGGGGGCTGAGGATGCATCACTCCATGTCAGCAGGTTTGGATTTTACCTTATGAGAAGCTGAATGCTTTTAACTTGTTTTCAGCTAAAATAAATAATCTGAATTATATATATATATGTATATATATGTGTGTGTATATATATGTATGTATGTATGTATATATGTAAATATTTAAAAGAACATCTTGGTTGTAAGGAGACACAGAGAAATCAGTTGTCCACGTGAGAGATTATGGCTTAATGTGGGAGTTGGTAGAGTGGATGAAGGATGTAGACAGATTTGAGATAAATTATCATGATAAAAACTACAGAACCCCGAAGAGATCATCAGAGGAAGAAATAAACTAACCACTTTGTATGTAGAAGTACCTGGGTTTGGAGGGAGATCTCTGGGGGTTCTGGAGGTGTCAAGGAGATGGGGTGTGGCAGTCAGCTTGGGTGTGCAGAGATTTGTAATGTTCGACTAGTGCTCTTTTGTTGTTTCTGCTGTTGTCTTTCCTAATTTAAAAACACAATGAAGTCTATGTTCACTATGTTAATAAGTCCAGAAAATAGGTAGTCACTTCCCAAATGATCCTTGAGCCAAGATTTGAAAATACTGAAAGGAACTCGTGTGCTATGTGTGAGTCTGTGAGACAGAGGGCGGCGGGGGGTGGAGTAAGGGAGAGGAGGTCAGGGAGAGGGAGAATGACCCTGCACCTGGGTACTGAGAAGACATTCCAACCAACCATCAGGTTTGATATCTCAGTCTGGGATGGAATGCCATCCAATTGTTTGGAAACTTCCATTTTGTGTGTGCTTCGTGGCTTCATCCCTCTGGACAACTGTCTAAATTACAGAATGAGAATGAAGGCAGTAGGGAGCTTGGTGGACACCCCTCTCCCTCTTGCCCCGGTGGTGTGCGCATTTGCTGATCTGAGCCCTCTCCTCTCCTGTTTAGGACACTGAGGTTTTGAACACTGCCATTCTCACTGGAAAGCCTGTTTCAGTTCCTGTCAAAGTCGTGAGGGTCCAGGAGGATGGTTCTGTGGTCTATGTGTCTGAGTCTGTGGAATGCAAGTCTGCCAATGAAGATGTCATTAAGGTAAGGGGAGATTTATCTACAGAAGTCCTAAGTGTTCAGAGCTTTTTGTCGTTCCTTCTTTTGTCTCCAAGGTGTGGTTCTGACTGAGCATCCCATGCTCTAAAGGGCTGGAAACCAGAATGACCTCATGAAGGAGGAAACAGCTGACCGCAGAGACTCCCTGGAATCAGCAGGCGGCTGCAGCAGGCGATGCTGCTTCCCTCTCCCTTGAAAGGGGAATCCCTGACCTTTAATCTCCAGCAAAAAGAATTCCCTCCCTCCCTTCTATGTTCCTTCCTTCCCTCACTCCCTATATGCATGAAACTCAATGACTATTAAAAAACATTCATCCATGTGACAACTAACCTAATATAATATTATCCACTGGTTAATCCTTATATTAGGTTAATCAAAATTGAGGAAATTGAGCCATGGTACATTTCTGCTGCTTTTTTTTATTATTATTCCAATTAGCTGGATTTATGGTCCTAAATTCAGCCAGAAATCATCCCATTTTTGTTTTCTTGTTCTTTGCAGGTGTCTGAACAACCCAATTTAGTGTTCCCACCTATTTTCTTTTTTTTCTAACAAAGACCTCATGGAGAAAGGATTTAAAATTTTAGAATCATCTTTTCTCCTTTAAGTTGCTAAGAGAACCTCCAGGTTCAATCTATTCATTCATTTTAGATAAATACAATAATGCTAAGCTAAGTCCTTCATGCCATTCCACTGGCTCCTGTTTAGAGGTTCAGTGAAACTTGGTTTCAGTCTTAAGAACTTCATGGTAGGCAGAAAAGCCTTTAGGGTATTCTCCCATGGTAGAGCAGATCTGAGAGCAGTTGATTTGTTCATGTTTTAGATCACAGCTTGGTGAAGGCTTCCAGGGAGGCTGTGCCTTAAGCCAGATATGGTTTCCATAAAGAAACAATGCTGTTTCTGTGAAGTATAATTTTTAAAATAATAATGATAATAATCCTGAGGAAACAGAAATTTTATACAGTCTGTTTCCTGGGCTTGGGAAGTTAATTTTTCCTGAGATAGAAGGCGAAATAGCTTAACAACTTTATGCAGCCCTGTGCTGAGGCTCCTGGCAGGTTTAATTAAACAAATCAAGGGCCTTAAATATTTGGAGTTTAAAACGGTCTGAGCCAAGTCACAGGCAATCATCTGCTCAGGAACAAAATAAAATTGATGACTCATTTTCCTCGGTTGCCTCTGACGATATTCATTATTTAGCGTTGCCATAGCATTCATTATTACCAAAGGAGCCAAGAATTGTGGTGTTTAGAGAAAGACTGTATCTGCAGGCTGATGCTACTATGGACCAAACAAATGACTTGCCTCTGCAGGTCCTCTCCAGAGAGCCTGGTGTGGAGCCCCACAAGGTAGAGACCTCAATCTCTTGCCCTCGAGATTCCACCCTAAGAGAGGCAAATCCAAGCTCTTGGAGAGTTGGATTCCATTATGCACTGTACTTAATTGTCTCCATTCTACAGAAACATACTGAATACCCTCTCCCCAACCTGACAGATACGTCACTTTGGAAAACAGGAGTTATGTGCTGCATGGTCACTGTTGTAGCTACCTGAATATGGGAATTTCTTGACAGAAAACTGAAGCTTGATCTCCAGGAGAACATACTGAGTTTGCAAATCACCAAACATGGAGGCTGCTTCATCACCATTCTAGGTCCAGGTTCTGTTCAACTCCTGGCCTGTATAAATTGAGGGGACTTAATAAATCAGATGTATTGTAGTTTTCCAAGGTGTACTGCCCATATTAATGATGCATGTTGCCAGGACTCCTCGAGGAATGGACTCATCCTCAAAGATGTGCTTTCCTTAGCGTTGACTTTGTGATATGCCAGGTCATTGAGGACAGTGTGAACCCTCAGTAGCACCTTTTGGAGCACTCCCCAGTCTGTGGAATTTTCACTCATGTCAGTTCAGGAAATGCCGAGCAATCCCCAAGGAGGATACTCCACAGATAGCAAGGATCTTATGGAGCTTCTGCAAGAAAAGTGTGGACTGAGGAAATTCTGTGGATTGGGATATAGGGAAGGGAGAAAGTGTGAATTTGGAAAAATGAAAACTGTGGTGATATGAAGAGAATATCAGCATTTGTGAACTCAAAAGTATCTGAGACAGATCTCAATCAATTTAGAAAGTTTATTTTGCCAAAGTTAGGGATGCTCCCAGTGCCTAAGGTTGGCGAGGTACGGCTTGCTTTTATGCTTTTTAGGGAGGCATAATACATCAATCAATACCTAGAAGATGTACATTGGTTAGATCTGGAAAGGCAGGGCAATGGCAACTCGAAGTCAAGGGAGGGGGGCCAAGTTATAGGTAGATTTAAAATGTTCTAATTGGCAATTGTTTGAAAGAGTAGAGACGGGGTTTCACCATATTGCCCAGGCTGGTCTGTTGGCCAGGCTGGTCTCGAACTCCTGATCTCATGATCTGCCCGCCTCGGCCTCCCAAAGTGCTGGGATTACAGGCGTGAACCACCGCGCCCAGCCATGTTCATCCGTCTGGTCCCACCCTGCCCTCCCTCGCCTGCCCTGGCCATCCTAAAGACCTAAAACCATAAAAAAAGAAAACCTAGGCAATACCATTCAGGACATAGGCATGGGCAAAGACTTCATATCTAAAACACCAAAAGCAATGGCAACCTGAAATCAACAGAAAGGAATGTCTGGTTACTATGATAAGGAATAGAGGAGTCAAAGATTTGTCATGAAGATGAAGCCTGCAGGTATCAAGCTTCGAAAATAATAGATTATAAATGTTTCTTATCAGACTTAAGGTTTGTGTTGATGTTAATGCTGGTCAGCTTTTCCTGAATTCCAAAAGGGAGGAGGGTATCACAAGGCATGTCTGACCTGCTTCCCTATGGCCTGAACCAACTTTGGGATGCCCTTGGCTGAGGAGAGGGGTCCATTCAGATGATTTCAGGGCCTTAGGATTTTATTTTTGGCTTGCACTTTTTTTTTTTTTTTTTTTTTTGAGACAGAGTCTTGCTCTGTTGCCAAGCTGGAGTGCAGTGGTGCGATCTGGGCTCACTGCAACCTCTGCCTCCTGGGTTCAAGTGTTTCTCCTGCCTCAGCCTCCTGAGTAGCTGGGACCACGGCCACATGCCACCACGTGTATTTTTAATAGAGACGGGGTTTCACCATGTTGGCCATATTCTTTCTGAAGCTTGCTACCTGCAGGCTTCATCTGTATGATAAATCTTTGGACTCTCTACTCCTTATCATAGTAACCCAGACATTCCTTTCTGTTGATTTCAGGTCTTCAGCATTAACATCTCCATCTCTTGAACTAGTGATCTGCCCACCTCGGACTCCCAAAGTGCTGGGATTATAGGTGTGAGCCACCGCGCTGGGCCTTGGCTTGCAGTTTTGATCTCAGGATTGGTATGACTTTGGAGAAGACAGAGGACACAATTGTTAAAGAGTCCAGAATCTGGGAGAATAAAATAATTTTCAGAGACTGGAACCTCAACCTAGTCTGGCAGGTGGAAGAAGGATAAAAAGTTCTACTCTTAGTTTAAGAAAGTTTTCATTAATTTCAAAATATGCAGCATAACAGCAACATCTGTGTGAAAAAATCTTGGCATCTTTATAAATAGTAAGAGCCAATGAATCAAATGAAGAGGTCGCCATGAGGCTGATGTGATCTTCGTCAGCATTAGTCAGAGCATGGTCCCAGCACAGGCAACGCTGCTGTACTTCATGCCAAATCTGGTCCAGAAGGGTTGTGTGTGTGTGTTTGACTTTTTAAAATTTGAATCCATTTCCAGCATGCAAACATTGTTAATTTCACATCTGGATTCCGAGCTCCTCTTGAAACACCATGTGGTCAGGTTGTCCTGCGCCCATACTCCTGCCGGTCATCATCATCTGGAGTGGACCAGTTGTCTACAGAGGCTCTCCACTCCCCACCACTCCAACTCACTGTAATCTCCACCACTCCCTCTCGCCTTCCACACTGAGGGTGAGGGGCTCTTGTCATTTCTTGTCACATTTGTGCTACTGGCTTTCTGACAGTAGATTTCAGAGTGATGTGAGATATTTCTTTTACACTGGTCTCCATCAAAAATGAGCAACAGATGATAGCCCTCACTCTGTCACTCCAACAGAGAATTCTTTCTAGGTCATAAACAGAACAATGGGAAGTCAGATTGTGTTCTGCTGAAGAGTGTCCATGGGCTGAAGGCTTTTGAAATCAAATCACAGTAGAATTGCCTGAAGGAAGTGAGAGTGTATAGCCTGATGCCGAGAAGAAAAAGCCTGGGGGTAACATACAGAGTGAGAACTGACAGCTCTTTTTAAGTCTTTCAAGGGCCATCATGTGGAAGATGGAGTAGGTTTGTGCTTTTTATATTTCAACAGGGGAAGTTAAAAAGGAACCACTTTTAGCTTACTTTAAGGAAAAAGAATGCAGAGCCACTGAATTCTTTGGTTAAGCTTTCAGACAGATAATGTTGGTCCGAATCCTGGTTCTATCTTCTATGTATTTGATCTTGGGAAAAATTACTTAAATTTCCCCAAGCCCAGTTTCCTCATTTGTAAAATGGGAATGACAATGCTGAGGCGCGGAGCTACCCTTTCTAGAGATCTGTTCTAATGACAGTCCATGAAGCAGAACTGACACTCATCCAAGAAATCTTTGAAAGTGTTTTGGAGAACATCTAGGCTTTTAGAGGTTCCCAGGCCAATTGGTTTTTGTCTTTGCTTTAATTTCTTCTTGTATTTGACCCATGTGCAAATTTTATGGGGCAGTATATGGTCCTCACCATACACTGGTTTTACAGGCAGTATTGAATGGAGTCATAGATAAGAAAGATTTGGAGGAAGACAATGAAGTTAAGTTAAATTTTTCCCTCTCTATTTTATTCTTCTCTCTTTCATGTCTTCTGATAATAAACTGTTGTCAGGTGGAAATCTACAGAGAGGCTGAGCACTGATAAATAAATTATAATTAACTAGTTTAAATGTCGTATGATGCAATACCAGTGAAATTTGGGAGAGAATGAAATGATGTTTGTAAAAGGGTCACACAGTGCTTGACCTCCACTACATCAGTAAATACTACATATACATCTATGTTACATCCATATTCGTATCTTCACCTCTATCTTCTAACCTCTACTTGACTGTAGGACCCACGGAGTCTGGGCTATGTCCCTTTACTAATCACGTGTCCTCTGTGCTTGCACAGTGCCTGATATATATATGGTGCTCAATCAGTACTTTGAACATAGGAATGAATGAATCCAGAGGTGAAATAAACCCTAAGAGTGGCTGTCCAATCTTTGTTGGACAATCCCGAGCGGACTTAACATCACTGAAAATCTTCAAAAAGAGGCAGAAGGGCTTATGTGTCAAACAGATTTGGCAATGGGTGGAGACTTGGACCTGAGTTCTAAGATCCTGTGAACCAAGTCTTCCCTTGATCTTACTGAGTGATTTTAATCTAGATATACTGATTGAACATATATAATGTATAGGAAAGTGTATAAAATGTTGTGCGAGTCACAAAGATGGAATGGATATGGTTTCTGCCGTTGGGAGCTTACACTCTAATGAATATTGATAGCTAACACTGATTGAACAGTGAATATTGATAGCTAACACTTATTATGTGCCAGCTGCTACAAGTGTTGATCCATTTAATTCTCATAACAGTCCTTTGAGGTAGAAAATACCACCTTTCACAGTCCATAGATAAGGAGATGTAGATGGAGGTGTAGATGGTTTAATTAAAGTCATCTAAGGCCACTCAGCTAGTGAGTGTAGCAATCATATATTCAATCTGAAAAGACTGGCTCCAGAGCCTGTAATCTTAACCATGGAGAATTATTGAGCTGTTATTCCTTGTAGTTGTGCAGGACATACTTAGGGGAGGTTCTTATGAGCTAGTATCAAAATGCCATCCCTATGGTCCCCATCAGAGGAATCAGTTGGTAGTGGACTTGTTCCAAAGTATTTGTAAAATACTTTGTTAAAAAAATAGCAGGAAGACATGTTTTCCTAGCTTTCTCAAGTTTCTTTGTACATCTTCACAGGAAGGACAGAAAATGTGGTTTTTAGAGTAAGATTCTCTTGTAATCTTTGGGGATCTATCTTTCTAATATGTGGGCTCCTGTTTTTATTGGATTAGTAATTGTATTTTTGTCAATGAATGATGGTTCCCAGAACCCCAGAAGTCCATCATGCATCATCAACAGGAGATGAGCATCTTTATTCTTGGAAAGAAAAAAAAACATAGAATCATGCTGGTCTCAAAGATGGTGCCCTCCTTTTTACCCTGCAGTAATTCAGTTTCTCAGCTTCCAGCGTCAGCTGGACTAGCAATGAGGAGATTCTAGAGGGCTAGTAAAAGGACATTAGTGTGCAAAAGCCTTCCTATCCCCAGGGAGACATCTTGTTTTCAAACTTAGCCTTCCAGTGGTTAAGGCAGAATATCTTCTGATGGATGAGCTCTCAAGGAAATCTAAGGTTCTCCTGCTGCTTGTTTGGCAGTGTGTGGAAAGCTGGTTACTAAATAGAACCCAATGTCACCTCTGGTGAAGATCAGCAGTTTTGATAGAGCAGCTGCATTTCCGGAGCTAATTTTCAGCAGCTACAAAAGGGCTCTGTGATGAGGTTTCCTCAAGTTTTTAAATTTTCAGATTAAAATATGGAAGGAAATATATTTTTTTTGAATTAGTCCTTTAGAGAGGCACATTTGAACTGCGGTCATTGAGCTAAAGGAATCATTATTCAGGTGGAACAGAGTAGGACAGGTGTGATAGGTAGTGAGATCTGGCAGGGATAACCTGAATTCCCTCACTAGCTATTTGTGGGCATTCTGTTTGCCTGTTTGCAAATAACAGAAATCCAAATATAACTTGCTTGAGCCACTGAAGGAAAGTGTAGTGGGCAAGTAACTAGAAGAGGTAATAATGACTTTAAGTTGGATCCAAAGGCTCCTTAGGATTTGGTTACTCTCCATCTCTTATTTCTGATATCCCCATATGTTGTCTTTATTCTCAGATGGATTATTTCTATATAGTCACCCGCAGCAGCTAAGAGGTTTACATCATTTCACATTCAGGTTCACAAAAAGGAAGATTCTGTTCTCTAGTGCTTCCAACAATATTTCCAGGTTTAAAGAACACTGGGTCTCATGCCCATGACCATTTTTGATCTGGTAGAACTGTGGCCATATAATAAAATAGGTGGATTGGCCATGCCTGGGTCATGTACCCACCTCTGCAGCTGGAGGTGGGATTGGCTTAACTTGAAGCACATGGTCAAGGAGTGAGGATTGATTCTACAGGAAAATTTTCATCTTCCATGAGATGCTCCCTGTACTGTCAAAACACTAGGACCTACTTAGGTCTCAAAATAAGATGAGGTTTTGTTCATGGTTTTCCCATGCTCATGCTATTCCCTGCACTGGGAATCCTGTTCCCACTCCTTCACCTGGATACCTCCCAGTCACCCTGAGACTTGGCTAAAGTGCTCCCTGTTCTGTGCAGCCACCTTCCTGTTGCTCTCCCTGCCAAGGAATCTCACCTCTGTGTTTCCATTGTCCTGTACAGACACATTAGGGACTCAGCACTTTGTATGTCTTTGTGCATGTTGATGCATGTGCCCCTTGGAGGTAGGTGCCATGCCTTGTAAATATTTCTATCCCCATGGTCTATTCAAATACAGTAATAGCAACAAGGACAACACCGTCATTACAACACCCAGTGGTACTGTGCCAGAACTTGTTCTACTTTGTAAAAATACATTACAACATTCAATCTGTACAGCCTTCCATGAAGTAGATGTATTATCCCATTTTTCAGCTCAGGAAACTGAAGCACAGAAAGGATTTTAAGTGTGTGTACTCAGTATATTTTGAATAATAAACATTAGTCTATTACATGTCCAAATTCACAGTACCTAAAAATGGACAAAAAGTTCCTTCTTACTGCTATCTCATTTAAAAACAGATGTTTCTGGAAATGTAGATTTTATGCAAGATTTTTGACTTGAAAATCTCATTCAATTGAATAACATTGTGTGTTTGGCAATGTATAGAGAACTGGTTACCTTTTTAGTTGGAAAGGGCCTATGAATACATTCTGCCTGGGGACTGTCAGTCTGATCTACCCCAAAAGTTGTGCACTGTAGGATCAGGTAAACAAAATAGAAGCTAGAGGCTCAGCCACAGGCAAGGGTGGAATTGAGAGTGTTTCTGAGGAATCCACAGGTATTGATGAAGAGAAAGAAATGGGTTCAGAACAGACTCTTTGCACTGGCTTATCTGGAAAAGGTCCTTGTCTTCTATGGGCTTCCAAAGAAACCCTCTGACTGATTTGAATTTTATTTGGAAGAACATATAGAAAAACTCGAAAGAAGTTTCAGGCTATTTCTTCTTTTTCCTTTAGCAATGATTGGCAAAAATTCCTACAAAAAAACACTGTCATTCTATTTCTGTGCATAGATTTCTTTCCTTTGCTCATCACTAGGAGCCAGACAGCTAAGAATAAGTTGTCAGGCAGTTTGGATGTTATTGCTTAATTTTGTCCTTTATGCTGGTAATTTGGAATTTTATTGTTCCATTCTAATTAGATATGTGCCATGTTTTTCCTGTTGGCCAGGAAAAAATATTGCTGCATTCTCAACCTTTTGTTCCTGTCAGCTTCACTATGATTCCAATATTAATTAGATTGTTTGTTAATTTCTGTCTTTGGCATCTCTAATTAAGAACTAACAATCTGGAATTGTTTCTGCATAATTCAGGGAAACCTTGGAATGAGCCAGTGTAAACCTGCATGCCTCCCAGCTCCACCTGCCCAGTAAACATGGCCATGTGCTTCCTTCCCTCCTCCCCTGGAAGCCTTTCATCTGCTCTTTCCTCAAGGCCCTAGAGTCTTGTGTTTCTCAGAGCCATATTTGTTTTGTGTATATTAGGAGAGAAGGTGACTCTCATTGATGTTTTGGGGCTTGGTTCACACTTTAAACTCCTGCCATGCAGCTTTGATGGTGGGCAGGGAACATCAATTCTCTTTACCATAAAGAAGAACTGCTTTGTGGAATTGGGACTTGTTAATGAGTCAGAGCAGCAGAGATAAGACATACGTGGCTCTCAATCCTAGCATGTGCCCATGGCAGACATCACTAATCAATACCAGCACTCCTTCCTGCTAAACCCTAGATTCTCTCCCAAGCAGAGCTCCTTTGAGCCACAACTATAAATTGACTTGCCTTGGCCAGTGAGATGAACTTATTTCCTATTTCTAGTAGACCTTCTCACAGCCAGCAGAAGTTTTTAATAAGGATTGAAACATGATGTCAATGAGGCAAAGGTATGTATGAGGAAGTCTGATATACTGGAGGAAAACAAAGAGAACTCTTTTCTGTTATGATTCTGGAGCAAGTGATAGGGAAGTCTTTGTATTTGCTTTTCCCCTTTTCTCGTCTCAAAGACAAAAACTCAGCTGCTGATTTTTACACTTTGATTTCACAATTCACAGCATTCTTTTTATAAAAGTTTCTTTTCTAAAATAAATTTTCATAAGTAGTTTTAAAACAAGTTTGGAAAACACACACCCTGCTTTCTACCCTGAGAATATGCTTATCCTGCCAAAGTGTTTATCTTTTCTTTGACTAATTTATGTGCAAATCCTGAGCAGCTAAACTTGTGACTCCAGCACCTGTACCAATGGCACCTAATTAACGGCAGGTTCAGAGAGTGCAGCTAGAGCTGGAGCAGGGAGCTGGGCTGCACCATATGCTGGGCTTTTACCAGATAAACAACCCCCAATCCCTTCTGCGGCACCTTTTGATGCGTATGAAATGCCTGGATCTTTTCCTAATCTAACAAGTGTTGGTGGCACTTTTTAAATCTCCCAACGTCATGAGATAAAGTGCTAAAATGAAAACAGCTCATAAATAAGCATCTAATAGATGCTGTACTGTGTAATAATCTTGGGCCTAAGTTGCAGGTGTACAATTGATAGGGAGAAAAATTTTCATAGCACTTGTTTATAAAGGTGGAATCAAACCTTGTTTCATGTGATTTGGACAAGGCTTCTTCTCAAAGGGAAAAATAATCAGAATTTTTGTTTTCTTCATATAGGAGGCCCAGCAAGCAGATTTGAGAGATTGTGCTCTGTACTTGTGCAATCTAATTGTGTCCTGTTAGAAAGGAGATGTCCTGGGAAACTCAGATTAAGGTGAGCAGCAGACTCTTCTTGTAGTTCAGGTGGACAGAACACAGCCACTGAGGCCTGATATCTTGTAAGCACTGTGAAAACTGTACTCTCCTACCAATCACTGTATTTTACAGCATTTTGCACAATTCTGTGTCCTTCACTCAGTTGGGCCTCCTCCAGGGCATAAGCTCTCTGATTCCCTCTGTGTCCCCAGAGTCCTGCCCAGATCCCACCACAGAACATCACTGGCCCTGAGCCGGGCCTGGAGATTTAGCCTCAGGCTCTGTAAACTCTGTGCCCTTTAAAATGGTGACTTGTCCTTTCGGGGCTACGTCTCTTCAAAGTGGGCACAGATCAGATCTCTGAGGTCTCATTCAGCACCAGGACGTTAAGATTCTATGATGGAGGTGTGTGTTGAATGAGATGGGAAGGGAAGCTGTGCAGTGGTCCCCGTTCTGCCCACCCTGCCCCTGAGGTCCACACTTGCTGGGAGGCCTGGACGTTTCGTCAGTTATAGGATGAGTGCTGGCCAAACCACCATGGAGAGATGAAGAAATGGCACATCCAAGCCATGGTCCAACCACAGAGGCCAGATCAACATATGTGAATAAGAATTGATAAAAAGAAATACAGCCAAGTGCAAAGCATCACAATCACACCTCAAAAGGCTGGGCTAGGGAGGTCTTTTGGAAGTAGGGGCTGAGAGTGACTTCCAGTGCTGGTGAGGGAAGGGAGGGGCTCACGGGGCCTGCCAGTTGCCAGCTGTATGATCCTGGACAACCTACTTCATCTCATTTACTCTGAACCATTCTTGCATGTCTACAATGTTCCAGGCCCCATCCATGACCCTGGACTTCAGAAAGTCAGATAAGGCAACAATCTTGTCTTCCAAGGACATGCATTACAGTCCAGAAAGGGCAGAGAAGTGTTAATGAATCAGTCTTAGCGTATGAAGATACAAAAACGGCTCAAGGTTCCTCAAGCCCCAGGGTCCATGGACTTATTCACCTTTTACTCTCTGTGATAATTATTTGACTTTGCACATGTATTATTTATAGTACTCTAAAGGATATGTAAACAACTTTTACCATGGACACTACCCCAGACTGTGCTGCTGTATTCGAACAGTCACATGTGCAGTCGTGTTCACTGTCATCCTGGGGTGCACATGGACTGGGGCTGTGCACCCAGAATTTAACTCCTGAAAATTCAACTGTATGCTTTGAGCCCAAATTCATGCACATATGTGAGATGAATATATGGATATATGTATATAAATTCATATATAATTAAATATATTAATTCATATATGATATATATCATGTATGGTAAATATATGTAATATATAGTATATATAACTAAATAAAATATTAATTCACATATACATAATTCACAGATACATATATTAGAAACTATGACTATTATAGTGGGCAGACAAGTGAATGGTGGTAATGATGGGTTTAATTACCTCATCTTTTCAAGAAGAAAGTAAGGAATCCATTGAGAACCCGAGAAAAGCCCTACACTTGGGAAGTGTTAGCTGAGCCATGGATGCTAATACAACAGCAACCTCTGTCATTGTATATTCCCTTTCCTTCCTCTATTTTTTTCTTTCTGACCCATCTCACTGCCTGACATTATATTTCATATCTATATGTGTGTTTAGTTTGTCTGTCTCCACCTTTAGATCATCAGCTTCATAAGGACAGGGATTATGTTGTTCATTGCCCTATTTCCAGGGCCTAGAACACTTCTTGGGTCTGAGCTGACATTAAGTAAATACTTATTTAATGAATGAATGATTTATTCTTAGTTTATAGAAAAGGTCTCTGAGGCAGAGAAAGCTTAAATTATCTCAAAATGTATTGGACTCTGGGCTTGGTCTCTAAATCCTCTAAATGAAAGGAAGAACAATGTGAGAGCTGGAAAATATGGGTACCCTCAGGTTCACAGATGTGGAATATGAGTCCCAGACATTGGAGACTGACTTATTCACACCTGCGGAGGGGATGGGTTGAGATAAGGACTCAGGTTTCTGCCACTTCCAGTTCCATCTCCCTAGACTTGAGGACTGATTGTCAAACTCATCCCTAACTAATCCATGCCTAGTGTTTAATGGCAGAAAGCACATCAAGGTTACCTGGGACCAGAGTTAGAGAGAGCTATGTACTGAAAACAGGCATGGCATCTTTTGGGGGTGACAGGAATGTTCTGTCTAAGGGTGTGGTGGTTTCTGCGGTGGACATTGTCAAAATCATGAAATTGTACGATTTAGCTGGATGCAGTTTATGGAACATCAATTATACGTAAATGAGGTTGATCAAAAGCCTCGATGTGTGCATTTAAGTCATGCCCTTTCATGGTCAGCCTCTCATCCTCTACAGGCATGGTCATGTCTTTTCCTTGAGTGGGCTGCTCTAAGGTTATAACACAGGGTGCTGAGAAACCCTCTGGCACAGAAGACCTGTGTACAAATCACTGCTCTGCCCTTGAGCAGCTCTGATCTCTGGACAAGTGTCTTCCCCAAGGCCTTGGTCTCCCCATCCGTAATACAGAGACAGAGCAATTAACATTCACAGTGTTTGCAGGATTTAATGGGTATAACTCTATGCAAAGTTTAATAAACAATACATGGTACATAGTAAGTATATAATACATGATAGCTATTATTGTAATAATGATTGTTATCATATTTCTAGAAAGTGTAAAAACTCAGGAAAAAAAAAAGAATAATTTTGAGTACCTCTGCACATGACACAATGCTAGAGTTACTGAAAAAAGAGGTCTTGATCCAGACCCAAAGAAAGGGTTCTGGGATCTTGTGCAGAAAAGAATTCAAGGTGAGTCACAGAGTGCAGTATTGAAAGCTACTTAATTACAGAGTAAGGCATCCCCTGAAAGCAAGCAGAGGGATGGCCTGTCTTTAAGTTTTTCTTATGTAGGGATCTTCTCTATGTAAAGACTAAGCTAAGTTCTGATTATGTGAGGGTGATCAGATAGACTGACAAAAATTATTATCTTATTGATTTAAAGAAAACTATCCTTGACATTTTAGTGTGTGAGTACATCAAAGCATAACTATAATTATCTTGAAAGTATACATTCTTATGGGTATTGGGACATCTGGATTCTCCATTGTTGTAGGAGTGTGTCCTCATAGGTATCTTCAGGCTGTTTCCTCAACTATAAATATCTTATGACCATGGGTCTTGACTGGCAAGGAGTGCGTCCTGTTGGACTCAAGGTGGAGGTGATTTTAAAATGGTGTCACTGTGGCTCTCCTAGGCTCCTGCTTCACTACCACTAGGACTTTGCTAAACTCTGTAATTAGTGATAAATATTTGATCCTGATGACCAACTAATTATCAACTTTTTAGGCCACATAGATACTTTTTTCCCTTTTCCTAAATTAG
Organism: Homo sapiens; assembly: GCF_000001405.40. NCBI lineage: Eukaryota > Metazoa > Chordata > Mammalia > Primates > Hominidae > Homo > Homo sapiens. Next base: position 127,330,667 of record NC_000012.12, on the reverse strand, counting down.
AAAGTCTGCTTTTTTAGTATATTTGTAAGAGACACACCATCTGATTCTGTAGCTTTTCTCTCTTCTACCTTAGTAGCACATTTCTTAGGTCAAAGGCAGGGTGATGGGATTGAAATTTAATGCATGGTTAGGTTTCCATCCATGCAGACAGATTGATCAATACAGTGAGAAACTCAGTGGGTGCTATACAGACAGATTCAATTTTTTCTTCTCTCCTAAACAGAAAACAAAGCAAGGGAAGTTTCTTATGGGATCCTCAGAGGAAACCCATTTTCATTCTAAGAATCTTTTTCTCCCCACTCAATTACCCAAGAGTAATGTTTGGCAAAAGTGTTAGTTTGGTAGTGAAAATATTATGCTCTAAAGACAACTTTTCATAAATGATATTTATAGGCCATCTTGCAAACGTTAAAAATTAAAATGGCATAAAATGTCTGTTTTCCATTTCCAAGTTCATGTTTTCCTTAACTCTTCTCATAACAGAATTTGCAGCAGTTGATTCTCCTATTTTCTCTTACAGCTCAAGAGAGCATAGAAGGTATCAGAATGGCTGTTTGATTGTAATCTTTACCCTGGTGTGTCTTTCTATCCCCTCCCATACCTCACCCCCATCCAACACACACACACACCCTCACTCTGTGACATCGTGTACAGAGGTCAAATCACCACTGGGAATCCAAGATCTCATATTTACCAGATTTTAGACCCCAGACTTCTTTTGCCTTTGGTTCTTAAGTTTCTTCTCCTGGTCTGTGTCTTCTCTCATAATATATAAAATCACTTTCATTTTTCTTAATGCCATTACCATGATAGCCTTGTGTGAGTCACCTTCTTTGCCTTCTTACGTATACACACACTACTGGTGGTGGTGTACAGAAATGATTGGGTCCCAGAGGAAACAGCTGTGACATATTCATTCACACACTCAGCATCTACTTATTGAACACCTTCTGTGTGCCCAGCACTGTCCTATTAGCAGAGATAGTAGGGAAGAGGAGACAGGTCATGGTCTCAAGCAGATTACCTTCAGGTGGGGAAGAGAGATAAGAAACAACCAGGAGGGTTCCGAGAGTGGTAATTACTGTGAAGGAGTTCATCATATAACAGAGCAATCTGGTGTGATTAATACAGTGTAAGTGACATGATATAAGCAATACGAAGAGTCTAAGTAATGCATCAATGTTGTAAATATAAGTGTGCACAGTAGCACACACAGCAAATTAGATACAGGAAAATAGTGTAATGGAGACAAAGAGTAACCAGAGGAGGGTGCCAAGTTTAAATTAGAAATGGCTCAAGGAATGTATACTGAGGAGTGGCATTTGAGATGAGGTCCTGTATCATTTATAATCCTTTTGGTGGCAAGTAACAAAACCACATAGATCCAGATGGCTTTACCAACAAGAAGGGCATCTCATAGTGGGGAGGTTCCAGGCAGCTGGTCCAGCAGCCCCTCTAGGTCATCAAGTCCCGAGTTCCTCTGTCTTTCTGTCCATCTGAACTCGCAGGGTCAGCCTGGCCCATTTTGGGCTCCCTCAGGGCTCTGGGATCTCTGGGGCAGTTCCTGTCGTCATTTCCTATGCGACAACATCCTGTAGGAGGAGGAGGCACCACTTCCCATGAGTCTCTTTGACCAAGTAGGCCTTTCCCAGAAGCCCTGCCGTGGACTTCTCACAGCTCATTGGCCAGAGTAATAGCACATGCTTTCCCCATAAATCAATCACTGGCAAGGAGGATGGGGGTTTAATTACTGAGTTAGAGGGGCACATGGTGAATGGAGGGTTATCTGAAGAAAACCTTATTACTATTAAAAGAGAGTGTGAGAGTGTGTGTGTGTGTGTGTGTGTGTGAGTTGGGCAGGGGGCTGGTGTGTGGTCACATGGCTACTAAGAAACACTTTTTTTTTTTTTAAGATAATGCATATCCCATAAGAAATAACTCAAATAATAGTCACGCAGAATTGCCAAAGCCTCTCACTTAGTTTCATTTTTCACTTATTTTTCCATGTGGGCTATCTCTCAATTCCTGAAAGCTGAGGCAAATTTAAGTCTGCATGTGCTCTGAAAGAATGCCGAGGGTCACTGCAATGTGATTTCATTTCTTATGTACAGAAAGGGCCTCAAGATTTCTAAAGTCGATATGTTCCTGACAATCGGATGTGATTCAAAATGATTTGAAGTAAAATTGGTGGTGAGGGCGGGGAGCGAGAGGGAGTATATATGGTCAAATCAAAATTTTCCACAAATGCAGGAATGTAGAGGTCTTCTCTACAGGAGATAGGATCAGGAAGTCCTTGTAGTAGGGGACAACCACCAGAACAATGGAGAAGGTGAAGAACTTCCTAATGCATCCATTGCAGCCTTCTTGTTTGTAGCAAGCCCGGCTATTTTCATGGAGGTCTGCATACCACATGCAAAGAGCACATCAAGTCCAGGCAGATTTGGGAAGCTTCTCCGAGGAAGTGACTCGCGCTTAGATAGGCAGAAAGAATAAATGCTGAGCGAATAAAACAACCAAGGCAGTCATGGAAGTGTCTGTTCCAGGAAGAGGGAATCACATGGCCAGAGGCCCTGAGGTTAATAGTTATGGCACAGCCCCTGGAGATACTAAAAGTACCTCCGTGGGGCTGGATCATTGAGTGACCAAAAGAAGGTGGGAGAGGAGATTTGGAAATAGATAGGGCTAATAACGGAGACTGAGTCAGAGATCCTGAAAGCCAAGGGAAACCATCAAAGGGCTGTAAGCAGGAGACGATTAGATCATATTTGCATACACAATCTCTCAAGGAAGAGTAGGGCAGTGTGGGAAGAGGGGATGTGAAGAGAGCAGTTTTGAAGTTGTGGCAAATGTCCAGGTGGGAAGTGATGGAGGTCTGGGCTAGTATAATAGCAGCGAAGAGAAATTCGTAGGCACAAAAGACACCTAGGAGTAAAACCAAGAGAACTTGAAGTGTTGCATGTCGGTGGTGAAGAACATGGGTGGAATTAAAGAAGACATCGTGATGTTCAATTTGTTCTGCTGGATAAAAGGCAATGTTAGTTATTGAGATGGAAGACTGTGCTGTGGGGGAAATAGGAGATCGTGAGTTTGATTTTGTATGTTTGGCCGCTAAGAAACTATTGAGCCTTTCATCTGATGATGTCAAGAGGCACATGCATCTGGAGCTCAGAAGGGAGGTCTGAGCTGTAAATAGACACTTGGGTGAGGAAGAGAAACATCAAGAACAGTCCCAGTTTGCAGCTTGCTAAAGAGGCTGCATGGCGGCACCACTTGCTGAGATGGAGAACTCAGCCAGCAACCAGTCTGACGTTGCACCCGTCAACGATGTGTGTGATCTTGAGCCAGCTATGCCACCTCGCTGGCTTCAGTTTCTTCATCTGTAAAATGACATTGCGGGCCCCTTACAGTTTTATGAATCTGTGGTGAATTGATGGCTTATTTTGCATCCTCCTTCCTCTTTCCTTCTACACACATAAATGCATTTTCCTGATGGTCCAGGAGAGAAATTCAGCAATATTTTAATAGCTTATCTGGAAGATGTGAAGTGAAATGGAGGCTTAAATTGTCTAATACTTAACCTGCCTACTTACGCACGTTAAAGAGGCTAATCCTAAGTCCCGAATAAAGAGAATGTAATGAAATACCACAGTCTCACTTCTTTTCCACAAGATTACAGTTTAATGGGGGCAAAACATTGATATTTCCAGTGCATTTTGTGAATATTTTCTTATCAAGATTTTAATCTAGTGCAAAGCTCTCATGATTAACAAAAAAGTGATCCCCTTTATGGGTTGAATAAAGTGATTTTTTGGTAACACATGGCCACCTTTTATATATTTTCCAATATGGTACAAGAATTTTTGTTTGATTAACAGTAGGTTGAGCAGACCTGTTAAAGAACACACACACACACACACACACACACGCAAACACATATGTGGCAACAAAGCTTATGTTACTTTATGAAATTATATGTATGGTTTTACTTGTCAGTATTTTGTAATACCAAATAGTTTTCTTGGTAAGACAAATACTTTTTAGTATTTGTCACTAATCAGTGCCTACAAATTACCTTTTGTACAAGTCCTGTTCTTCTGGTTGTCTTGGTGTCTTATAAATCAGAACTATTGTGTCTCATGAACTTTCACTATTTTCAATTTTTGCTGGTGCTTTTCCTGTTGATGTATCTCAAGGTTCTACCTCCTCCCCAAAGGTTTCTAGCAACTGTGAATCCATTTTATGAATGGGAAGGAAATGAGGCACATGGTGACCTTCACCTGCAGCACCTTCCCTCTCAGTATGAGGCCACCATCTGGACGCCGAGACTCCTTTGGCAGATTGAGATCTGGAACATGGAGTGAGCTACAACAAGGGCTGGAGAATTTTAGTGGCCTCCAACAGAAGCTGAGAAACCAGAGAGGAGACTGTGGATCTGATGCTCCTGGGACTCAGAACCTTTAGAACTCTTTATAAATGGGATAAAACTGGCTCTCCGGGGCTCAGACCCTAGGAAAGAATAATCCACAATAGTTAACAATGGTCTGGGCTTGGTCAGATGGATCTGACTTGCATATTTACTAGCACTTTGATGTGAAAAAATTAAAATGGGAAGAATAATCGTGTCTATCTCATAGGATGGTTATTAAGTTTAAGTAAAATAATGCAATACTTAGAAGCACTGAGCACAAAACCGGGCCTTTAGACGACAGCTGTAGTTACTTTTATTCTAATTTCCCTATTGTTCTTTCCTGTGTTATTCATTTTCAGCTATTTGTGGATGCCAACCAAAGTCCATAGACTTCAGTACATTGGGTGAGGGTGTGGAGTCTGGAGTCAGACTGCCTGGTGTTACTCCTGGCTCTGACCCTTATACCTGCATGACTCCAGACTTGTTATTTAACTTCTGTTTCTCAGTTTCCTCACCTACAAATTGAGGATGAGAATTATACTTCCTAGTTGTCCAGAGAATTCAATGAAATATATCTGCGAAGCACTTAAAATCATACCTGGCAAAAAGTAAGCACTAAAAAATTATTGAAAATTTCTAGAAATTACTATTGTATTATTGCAAGTATGCTAAAATACTGAATCAAATATATTCCTGATGTATTATAGATCAAACATAGCACAGGTTTTTTCCAGCTTACTTGGTAGTCCACAGTGGGCATTCCTGAGTATGAGGTAACTCTCCTCAATGGCTGCAGAGCCCCAGAGGCCCCAAGAGCCTTCCATCCTCAGGCTCTGCCATCATCTTGGGCTTTATCGTTGTCTGGGTCTGGTAAAGAGAGCATGGAGGAGGCAAAACTACTTCTTAAAATCTTTTGGTCCAGAGGCAGCAGGAATTACATGAATTATTTTTATATTTCTCCAATTCTATCGGTTAACATGTCTCATGTGACTATGTCTACATGCACGGGGTGCTAGGGAATGTAAGCCAAAGCAAGGCAGCACATTTGGCAAAGGAGGCCCATTTAAAAACAAACAATAAACAAAAAAGCACTCAAATTATAGATAGATGATCATACCTATGACAGAACAGCTACCTCTCCACCAAAATCATTCTTCCTCTTCCTTGTCTTGGGTAAGAACAAGGAGAAGAAAAAGAAGATGATGAAGATGGAGGAGGAGGAAGGGAAAGAGTAAGAAGGGGGAATGAGAAGAAAGGAGAAAGAGGAGGAGACAGAAGAGGAACTAACTGATGGTGTCGTTAAAGACCTTTTGAGACTTCATCGGCCACTGAGAAGAAGGTGGCATTTGAGGGTTATGGGGCCTGATCAGCCTCAAGCAGGTTATTTATATCATGCTTTGGCTTCTTTCCAGATCACCAGTGTTTGTTTCAGTGATGTTTTCTTTTTCTTGCAGAGGACAGAAGCCCAAAACTAAGCTGTACAGTCAAAAACGTCTAGCTGTTTCTTGTAGCAGATTGTGCCAGTAAGCGTCACTGAAGAGTAATTTCAAGGGCTGGTGAAAATATAAGATAAAACACTGATTACAGGATGACAGGTTTTCTCTGCTCAACAATCTTTGAATTATTCAGAAAACTTTGCTTCCAGAGTGGTATATTAATAATACACCTAAGCAAATATTTTGTTGCTTAAGCTGAAAGGCATTTTCTCCTTGAAGGGAAAGCTTCTGAAGATGGCAGTAGATTAACATACCCAAATATCTTGATATCCTCAATAGGAAGAAAGTCAAGTTAAGTTTCCTGATCTAAAGAGTCCAGGAAATTAAATTCTCTCTATGTTCTGTTTCTGAAGTACTGCAGAAACTGCTCAAGATGGAAGGATACCAGAGAAGAAAAACATTGCTCAATGTTTAAAACTTATTTTATTTTTTGAAAAAAGAAACATAATAACTTAGTCCAAAATCAAACAACATAAAAAGTATACATTGAAAAGTTTATCCTCACCCTATCTACTTCCAGCAATTTCCTTCCAATTCTATCTGTAGTATTTTTTCATTTTTCTTCTTGTTTTTTTTAAATAAAATAAAATAAAATAATAATGCACACTATTATACCTTTTCCTTTTTCATTCTTGCACTGAATGGAGTACGCTGTATACACCATGCTGCTCTTGTTCGGTTTTCTCATTCCACAGTAAATCCCGGAGGCTTTCCATGCCACGGCCTAGAAAGCAACCTCATTATTTCACAGCCACTGTGTGTTCCAGGGTGGGTTTGTTCCTTAGGTGTTCCTGAGCATTTTATTCCACTTTTCCTGTTAAAAGCTTGCTTTCCCTTTACCCCACTCAAAGCAAAACACAGTCATGTCACTGAGATGTGGTCCGCCCTTCACCGTTTCCAAATTGCTCTGATTTGATGCTTAGATAGTAGCTTTGTGAAGCTGAGAATGAATACCCTCTATTCCAGATGCAGAGCCTGAGGCTCAGAGGAATCCTACCATGCCTGAGGTGTCTGCATCCAGTGGCAGAGGCAACTACAAAGCTCCCCTAACCTCCCCACACCACCACCATGCCTCTGCTCTCAGGGACATCACAGGAAGGACCCAAGTAGCTGATGGTCCCTCTGTTGGCAGCTTCTTCAATCCCCCCTCACACGCAAGGAACTTGAACTGAGATATCATCCATGCTGTTTAATTCCTGGATGGTTTTGAGTAGGAGATCAGGCCTTTCACACACGTGATTCTACTTGCTTTGGTTCAAGATTCTATTAATAATAGAATGGGCAGGAAACCACATTGCAAGGTCAGCTCTTCAGGTTAAAAATAGTGAGTTTGCCAATATTCAGCCTTCCAAGAAAAGGGGAGAATAGAAGTGAGGAACCCATTAAACACACATGAAATTATAACTATTATTATGTTTTAATATTTTTGTAATATCTCCCTCCCGTTTTCTAAAATATAAGCTTCCCAGGCACAGAGGACAAATCTGTTTCACTCACTACTGCTTCCCCAGAGCATAGAACCTGGCCTGGCACTCAGTAGGGCTCATGGAAAATATCTATTGATCAGTTCATGATAAAGAGGAGGAAGCAAAGTTCTTTGGGCCTTCAAGAAGAATGTTTGCTGGATCCGGGTGGCAGCCCACAGACGCCAGGAGTGCCCTGCACATATATGGGGCTGGGAGGACAGCACGGGTCTCCATCACCCTCTCTTGGGACCACCTGTGTCCGTGCACCTCTTTTCATATTCCTGTTGCCTGTACATTGCAGCCAGAGCCCTGAAGCTGTGCTTCCTCCCTGGGCTGGGCCGTGGTAGGTGGGGAATGGGTTGTATGAGAGTTTTTGCTCCACATCTCTCATCTCTCTCTATTGCCATCTATACCTGGTAACTGAAAAATGGCATGCCTTTCCTGGGTTAGAAGAAGTAATTAAAAGTAATTTTTCATTGCTGGTTACTGAACAGGAAGCCTCTAAGTCCATTAATGAAACAGAGAGGGAAGTCTGGTTTGTACGAATGAAGCTTTCGCCTCTAAAGGCAAAGGAACCACTGAGAATGGCACATTTGGAGGAAGATTGTGCACATTTTGCTTTTTAAGATGGATGTCACACTGCAAAAATATCACAACAATGCAAGATAGTTAAAATAGTTAAACATATTTTTAAGTGTATTTCCGCCTAGTGCTATAGGCCTTGGAGATGCAAAGGTGAATAAAAGTGACATAGAGTTCACAGGTGTCTACAGAGTTAGGGTACAAAACAAAGATATGATATTGAATATGGTATAATATGTCTTAAAATAGACCTCTGATATGATTTGGCTGTGTCCCTACCCAAATCTCATCTTGAATTGTAGCTCTCATAATTCCCACGTGTTGTGGGAGGGATCCAGTGGGAGGTAATTGAATCATAGGGGTGGGTCTTTCCTGTGCTGTTCTCATGATAGTGGAGAAGTCTCATGAGATCTGGTAGTTTTATAAAGGGGAGATCTGGTCTCATGAGATCTGGTTTTATAAAGGGGAGTTCCCCTACATAAGATCTCTTGCCTGCTGCCATGTGAGATGTGACTTTGCTCTTCCTTCACCTTCTGCCATGATTGTGAGGACTCTCTGGCCACACAGCCATGGAACTGTGTGTCGATTAAACCTCTTTTCTTTATAAATTACCCAGTCTTGGCTATATCTTTATTAGCAGAATCAGAACAGACTAATCCAACCTGTTTTACTTCCATTTATATGGCAGCTCTAAAACTTCATTTATCCACGTACCACTTTCAAGATACTTCCTTTTTCAAATGCCACCTTTATTATTGTTCCTGTTAAGCTCTTTAATCCTTACTTAAATTAGGGTGCTTCATCTTACTGACACACAAAAAATAGTACAATCCACCATGTAGTAAAAAGTCAAATAAAAATGAATTTGGAAAAAATAAACTGATACTATTAAAAATCTGAGTAGATACTATGGTCTGCCTATGTCTATGAGTTTGTCTTTATTAACTAATGAAGAACAGCAAGGGTCAGAGAACTGTTGAAGACATTCCAGCACTGAACAGAGAATTTCTCCTAATATCATGGAAAGGATTGAGCTCATAACTTTTCCTTCTGTTTTTAAATGCTATGTTCCTGCTACCTATAATTTTTTCATTGAAAATTATTTGTTTTACCCATTGAAATATTCACCTTGCACTTTGGGAAACCCAAATTGCTCTTACTATGCTGGCGAAAATTTTCCTATCACTTAGAGCTGCAGCTCTAAGGAAGGAAGAAAGAAGCCATGATTGGCAACAGGAAAGACACATTTCAGATGTTTTAGCAGTAATACAAGTAAATGGTTCTCGAAGTGTGCAATAGACAAGCCTCGCCCTGGGAAAACCACCTTCATGATCATGGTATCTTCCCTTCCAGGTAAGTGTAATTCTCAGACCTTACAGGGAGGCAGAACAGCATATTGTAAAGAAGTTGGGTTTCAAAAGTGAAATGGAGCTGGATCCCAATGTGCTAATTCACAATTATCTGGGCCACCCATAAGCCTCTCTGAGCCTTGGTTTCTTCATGCAAAAATAAGGATGTATTTCATACCTGTTGAGAAGACGAATGGATTTAGCTATAGAAAGGAAGAGGTCACAACAGGTGGTCTACGTGGGCACAGACCCTGCTTCTGCAGATGACCAGCTGTGTGGCCCTGGATGGGTGGCCTCTCTCTGCCATGCCTTGGTTTCCTTATCGGTAATATCAGAGAAATAATTCAACCACACTCTTTGAAGTTCTGTGAAGCTTACGTGGGTTGAACATGCATGGCTGTCCTGTGCTGCTGGGGAAGTTGATGTCAGCTCTCTTTCTCCCATGAGCACATGCAGCAGGGCACCCAACAGGTCTCACTCAGGACCCATGAGTCACTCCTCTTTCTCCCCTGCCACAATCCCCAGCTACTAAACACACAGACTAGGCAGTGGCAACCAAACAAAGTGTTCTCATAAAGGGACACAGGACAGCTACTTCTTGAGGGGAAGTTTCTGGAGTTGCAGAGCCAGAGAGGCTGTTTCAGGGTGGGTTCTGGACAGGTGAAGGTCAGAGTAGAGCATGTGCCAGAGTGAGAGGAAGGGCTGGAACCCCGAGGAAGGAAGAGAGAAACCAAGATAGGCAACACGAGAGACACATTTCAGATGTCTTAGCAGTAATACAAGTAGCTTAGCTCAGAGAGCAGTGATTTTTGATTAGGGCAGGATGGTGGATGGAGGGGGTCCTCTGGCAACCTTAGGACCATAAGCTCAGGAAGCTGCTTCTGTACAGACTAGAAGGCCTCTGCCAACAAAGGTGATGGTGCAGCAGCCCACACAATGATCATTACTGTCCCATAGTAAACATCTACCTGCCTGCTGGATGGACTATGAGCAGAAGAGATATGAACACCATTCCTTTAAACAGTTTATTGCAATTCTGCAATTTTTGAAACATTAATCCCAGTTGATGGGAAAATGTTATTCTTTGAGCATTCAGTATTTCTAAATGGGCTGTTTTGAGTTATTGTCCCTTAATTAAATGAAGTTCTCAGAAAATGTACTGTTATTGTTATCATATATTTTTACCAATAAGGAAAGAAAATGGACCAAGATGATACTTTCTGAACTCCCTTTTAAATTGGCAAGTGTAATGGAATCGTAGCATAACACTTTCCTAAGGAATTCCCACAAGCATATGCATTGAGCTGAGGGCTGGGAGAGCACTTTGTTGGGAGCCCTAAGTTAAGGGATTCATGGTGCTTATGAGGAACAGAGATGCATGAGCCTCCTCGCCTACATTTCAGGTCTTCTTGCCACTCTTGGACTCCATCCTGGCTGAGAAGACGGTGATTGTCCTGGATGACTGAGTCACCATCGCAGAGCTGGGAGTGCAGCTCATGGCTGGCATGTCTCTCTCCCTGCAGCCTCAACCAGCAGACAAAAGGGCCATAGTCTCCACAGCCACTGCCCTGGATGTTCTTCATTCCCCACAGCAGGTGAGCGTTCCAGGGGCCCTGCATCCCTGGTCAGTGGAGATGACTTCTCTCTCAGTTAGCACATCCTGCGAAGGAGAGCAGGACAGCCCTCATGCCTAGGACTGGGGATTCTTGAAGCTTCTTGCTTCTTATCCAGGCTGCTCTGTCTCTGAGAAAAGTATTCAGTGGCTTAGACACATTTCCTCTTATGTGCTTTTCCACGCCGACCGTATCCCCATACACCATTTGCTTTGCCCTGGGCTTATCTGTGCTAGGCACAGCCTGCTGCTAGATCATGACCAAAGGATCACATGTTTTTGCTTTTGCCAAAGCAGTTGGTTTGCAATGCTTAGAAATTCCATTTCAGCTACTTGAACAAGCATGGCTAATAGATACTAAATTGCTACTGTTTACAGCAATTATTGTCAACTCTGAAACTCTCTCTCGTCTTTAAACTTGCACAAATCATTTTTGAAGATACCAGGGCCACTGTGCCATTCAGACCAGCCAGCCTCATAATACATCTTCCTGTGTCCTTCCTGCCAGTGCCTGTTTTGCTTCATCAGCACCAGCTTCCTAATGAAGAGCATTCAAAGTAATATTATCTTGAACACCTGATTAGTTGCACCTGAAATTGATTCAGATAAATTGCCTGATCTTTATAAATGTTTTTAAAAAGGTCAAAGTCAAATTCTGTTGTACGCATGCAATAAATTAATTTACACTTTCATGCATTTATTAAAGTCTATTATTTGTTCCTCATACCAGAGAGGCTACAGCACATTATTGATGCCAGTTCAAGGAATAACAAGAACTGTTCAAGATTATAAAATATAAATGTCTATTTTTCTCAGACTGTATAATCAGAGAACATTTCATTATAAATCATTTTATATTTTTGATTTGTAGGAACCTGATTATAACATAATACTTTGGTTTCATTTTCCTTAGGAAGCAATAGTAAGTTCTTGAACTTTGTTCAGTGATGGTTTGGTGACACCTTTAGACATTTATGATTCCAAGGATTTTCCATTTATTGTCTCATCATTGAAAGACATGGTGGTGTCTATCCAGGTTCAAACCTTAAGCTCAAATGGTTCTTATTGCAGAGGACCCTTGAGTTAGACATGATGATTAGTGAACCTGTCAGAAGACCAAGAGGAGGAGTGTTCTTACCCTGAGTAAAGAAAACTTCAAGGTCAAATTTGAACCAAGTAGTGATAAGCACCAAATATTTTTGTTTTGTCTTATTTTTACACGTAGACAGTAAGCATTTTTTAATTGAAATTTTCTTAAAGAGGCGGGAATGATATAGAGAGCATAAATCGGGAATATAAAGACCAACTCACTGGTTCCGTAAAGCACGAAGGAAGCCAGGAGAGACCAGTCCAGGAATGGTTCCACCAAGGCACACCTGTTGGCCAAGAGGAAAGTACCAACAAAAGCACAACCCCCCAGTCTCCTGTGGGGATGCAGTGAGGATGGTGGGAGAAATTGTAAAATAGACACAAACCTTCTCAGAAGACCAGAAGGTTTTGCAAAAGCCTCGGGGAAAGATTACGGCTGAAAGCAGCTTAATCGTCTTTGAGCTAATAGCAAGGGTAAATAACAAAGGAATGTAAAGGGGGTTTATCTAAATAGCTTGTTTATTCATGTGGTCCTAAGACAAACCTTTGATCATCTATAGGACTGCTCTCTCCAGGGGAGGGTAACAAGATTAATTACCCACAGGCGTGTTGACTCAAAGTCTTTGTCATTAAATCTGTACTAAATAAATGCAAACTTTGCTGGCTTATCAAGGTGATGCTGCAAACTCAGAGCAGAGCCCCTTATCAGGACTGACAGGCAAAATACCTGTGTCAGTGTATGTCTCTCATCTGTTGCTGGGTCAAGGTCTGCGGGTTGGACCCCCACAACCTCCCATGGATGGAAATAATAAGCTACTCAAAAGTGGTGGTCCAGATACCTTCACAAGTTTCTCCACTCAAGGGATGTCACCAGATCCCAGTAGTCCTGGTGACCATAAAGTGACCTCAAGGGGGCTAACGGTCTTGGAGATTGGCATGTGTGCCCTGTTCTGTGTGGGGGTGCAGAGATGCTTTTACCATACAACACATACACATAAACATATATATATATGTGTGTGTTTGTGTGTGCATGTGTAGCTGTGTGTGAATACTGAAGAGCTGGATAATAAACTAGTTAGTGAGATCAACAGTGACTGTCAAATGTTCTCAGATTTGGTTGGTATGGATGTTCTTGAGCATAATAGGATTATACCGAATATTTTTCAGTTCTAAATATTTTCTGCCTATTATATATCATGGATTATATCACCTCCTTTTGGCTAGTCAATGTAAAACCATTAGGTACTATGTCCATAATATCTAAACCAAAATGGTGGGAAAATATAAATTAATAAGTCTTGAAGTCCAGTTTTCTGGGTGTCATGCATCTGCCTGGATTTTCTGCCATTTTATGACTGAGATATCCAAATTATCAATCTTGATAAATAACCTGAGCCAAAAAAATGTGTATAAAAGCCCTTCCCTTCCCACAGGAATGGAAAGTTTAAACTCCCCCTGAGAGAAGCACCAGCAAGCCTCTTGAGAGGGCACCTGGCTTGAATTCCATGGCCACTCAGAGGGAAGCTCAGAGGCTAAATGAAAACCACATGACCTGGAAAAAATGAAAATGGCCAACCACCATCTCCAGGGTCAAGAGTTGCTGTATTAGAGGCCAGAGAACAGGAATTAAGAAGCAGCTGGCACAACAAAGAACTGGCGCTTAAGCACACAGGTGGGTTGCCTTTGAGAGAAAGCAAGAAGGAAACTGGAAGAAACTTCCAGAAGACGATACCTAGCAAACCCTAGAAAACACTATGCATACCAAGAAAAGGAAAAATCGATTTGGTAGCTCTTTTGTATTGCACACTGGCGAAGTTAAATTCCCAGAATATAAGTATCCTTAAAATCTAACCGGAAAGTGTGAAAAATAGAAAGCATCAATGCAAGGAGAAAAATTGATTTTTTTGTCTTATTTTTACACTTAGACAGTAAGCATTTTTAATTGAAATTTTCTTAAGATAATTATAGCTCTACATGCAATTTTAAGAAATAATTCTGAGACATCCCTCCCATATGTTTTCCCAATGGTAACATCATATAAAACTTTTAGTAAATATCTCATCCAAGATAATGATACTGATGCAACTTGCAAATCTTATTCAGGTTTCCCCAATTTTTCTTGAACTCATTTAAGTTCTATACAGTGTTATTGCCTTTGTAGGTTTAGGTATCCAACAGCACAGTGGAGATAAGAAACAGTCCCAGCATTACAGGCATCCTTCATACTCCATCTTATAACCACACAAACATTCCCATTTCCCCTGTTCATGGCCCATGGGAACCACTAATCTACATATCTAAAATTTTGCCATTTCAATAATGTTATATAAGTAAAATATGCTATGTAAGTAATTTACTTATATATGATATATAAGTAAATACATTATATAAGCAATAAACAATAGCATTACATAAGTAAAATCATACAGTATGTAACCTTTTGGCACTGGGTTTTTTCACTCAACATAATTCTCTGGAATGCAATCTTTACTATGTTGAGTCTTCCAATCCATGAACAGAAAAGTTTCTCTACTTATTTATGTATTTTATTTCTTTAACGAATATTTGGTATTTTTCAACATACAGATCCTGTACCTATTTTGTTAATTTTTTGCCTAAGTACTTTTCTTTCTTTGGAGTGATTTTAAAAGATATTGTATTTTTAAGTTAGATTTCTTCATGCTTCTTGTTAGTACATAGAAATAAAAGTGATTTCTGTGTGTTAATCTTGTATCCTGCAGCCACAGTAACTCACTCACTTATTGGTGATAGGCACTTTTTAAAAAATGATTTCTTTTTTTAAATACATAGAAATCATGTTATCTACAAATAGAGTACTTCCTCCTTTGCAATATGTATGAATTTTATTGTTTCTTGCCTTGTTTCAGTGTCTAGAGCCTCCAGCATTATGTTGAATAAGACTGATAAAGGTATAAATCCTTGCTGTATTTATGATTGAAGGAGGAAAGCATTAAGTGTTTCATCATTAAGTACGATGCTAGCTGTAGGATTTTTTGTAGATGGTTTTATATAAAACTGGAAGTAATTTCCCACTATTACTAACTTGCCAATGTATATATGTATGTATTTTTAAATGGATGGATGTTGGATTTTGTCAGACGCTTTTTCTGAGTCCATCAGTAGGGTTGTATGATTTCTTACTATACTACTAGCATGTTGCTATGGTGGATTACATTAATTGAATTTGAATGTTGAACTATCTTGCAGATCTGGAGTAAATTCCTTTTTGGTCATAAAATATAATTGTATTCCTATGCAGCTGGATTCAGTATGCTAATATTTTTTGGAGGATTTTTGCATTTAAGTTCTTTTCTGGTACCATTGTGTGGTTTTGATATCAGGGTAACACCAATCTCAGAAATTAGTTGGGAAGTGTTCCTTCTTCTAATTTCTGGTAAAGATTGTATATAATTCATATCAACTTACCTCTAAATGTTGATAGAATTATTTAATGAAACTATCAGAGCCTGAAACTGTCTTTGTCAGAAGGCTTATAATTATAAATCCAATTACTTTAATGGATACAGAGCTATTCAGATTGAGTGAGGTTTGGTAGTTTTATCAGAAGGTGATTAATTTCTTGTAAGTTGTTAAGTTTATGAATTTAAACCTCTTTATGACATTCCTTTAATATCTTCTTAGTGGCTGCAGACTTTGTAGTGATATTCCCTATTTTATTTCTATTATTGGTGATTTGCATTTGTCTCTTTTTTTGTCAGTCGTGTTAGAAGTTTACTAACTTTTGGTTTTTTAAAAGAACCAGCTCTTTGTCTCAATGGACTTCCCTGTTGTTTTTCTATTTTCAATTTAATTGATTTCTGCACTTCATTATTTCCTTCCTTCTTGCTTTGAGTGCATTTTGATCTCTTTCTAGGTTCTTGAGGTAGGAACTTAAGTTACTGATTTGAGACCTTTCTTCATTTTTAATGTGAATATTTTGTGCTATACATTTTCCTCTCGGAACTGCATTACCTGAATCTCCTATATTGTGATACGTGGGTTTTCATTTTCATTTAGATATATGCATTTTTAAATTTCCATTGACTCCGTTTTTGACCCATGGATTATTATGTGTGTTATTAAATTCCCAAATATTTGAAAATTTCCCTGCTGTCATTCTGTTATTGATTTCTCTCCTCTCTCATTCCAGCTTTTAAAAATTTGTTTAGACTATTTTCATGGAGCAAGATGTGGTCTACCTTGATGAATATTCTGTGGATACTTGGGAAAAAAAAGCAAAGCATTTTCTGATTTTGGCTGGAGTACAGTTAAGTGTTCTTAAGCTTGACAAATCTTATTTTTAAAAGTCTGCTTTTGTGCATTTTGCTCGATATTCTTTTTTACCTCTTTTAGAAAATTACCTTCCTAATGTTGGGATATTGGGATCACAGTAAAGTCTCTATCCATCAGAGAACTATCCAGGCCAATAGCAACAACCACAAAGGGCTGTTTTATCTGAACCTTACACAAAACTGGAAATTTTTTATTTGTTTGTTTGCTTGTTTGTTTTGAAGCAGGTTCCTGTCACCCAGGCTGGAGTGCAGTGGCACTATCATGGCTTATTGCAGCCTCAACTTCCTGGGTTCCAGCGATCCTCCCACTTCAGCCTCCTGAATAGCTGGGACTACAGGTGCGTGCCACCATGCCCAGCTAATTTTTTGTATTTTTTGTAGAGGTGGGATTTTTCCATGTTGCCAGGCTGATCTCGAACTGCTGGGCTCCAGTGATCCTCCCACGTAGGCCTCCCAAAGTGCTAGGATTACAGATGTGAGCCAGGGTGCCCAGCCTGGACAACTGTTTTTATCCAGCCAAATCATGCTATAACGTATTTTCAGTTCTCTATTTCAGGCTTCAAATTGATATGACAAATGCTTTATAAACTCAGAAATTATATTTTCCATTAAAACCATAGCTGTAAAATGTAACACCTATCTTTTGTTCTTCTGTAAGGGACAACTTTAAATGAATGGTGAAAAGGCTATGCTAAAATATCCATTGCAGATTTGTGCTAGTGTGCTATAGGAAATGCATGGAAAAACTGGGGCTTGTGTTGTAAGTTAAGTCAACATGTAGCTTAAGTGCATTTTTTAAAAATTTTATTATTATTATACTTTAAGTTTTAGGGTACATGTGCACAAAGCAGAGCAAAGCTGAAACATTTAAATATTCAGATATCTCCCTCTAAAATATTTAAGCCAATGGGGGATGAAACATTGAGTAATAATATTGTGAAATATGTGACATAAGAATTTTGTCCTAGAAAGTACCCATGTTAGGAATGTTGATGGGACCACCAGGGTCATAGTGATCTTTCTCCACATGGCTTTCAAATTTTCTTCTCCTTTTGCTGAACATTACTTCAGAAATAAAGTGACCCCATTTTCCAGAATAAATTTATCTTTTAAGCATTGGTAACATTATTTTTAGCATGGAAATAAATATTGAAATTTTCAGTTGTCTAATTATTTTACCCCCAAATATCCCCTTTTGAATTTCAGCATTTTACCGTAGGAGAGAGAAAGTAGTATAATTTCCTCACCCTTCACAAGGGTCACAGCTAACAACCCTGTAATAAAAGATAGATTAGCAAGAGAAAAGCATATTCATTTATTTAATCAAAGTTTTACATGTTACAAGAGCCTTCAGATGAAGAGCTGAGGACCCAGGAAAACTGCGCGGCCCTGTAGAAGTATGACTAGACAAAAAGGGAGCGTGGCCTAATGACAATCAATGGGAAACTTAGTAAGGACTTTGCGTTCAATTCTTCTAGGTCTGTGTATCCTCTCTTCCCTCCAGGAATGGACACCAGCAAATGGGCCAGGACACCTGTCACATGAGGGCCTTATGAACTACTTTCAGGTGATGTTGGTCAGAAAATTCCTTTATGGCCAGCTTTTGCATACCCAAGTGAGGGATGGTCTGAATGACCCTCTTGTTTCTGCAGCTTTCTCAATTCTCAAGGTGCCATATTTTGCAGTATCGTGTTCTGAACCCTGGCAGCTCGTACACAGTCAAACTGTACATATATCCATGTACATACACACATAGATACACATACACACACACATATATACACACATGGAAAGACACATACATAACTATTTGTATATTTTACAATTCATCCAGATTTTTTTAAATCCTTCATGCAAAATTTGCGGTAATTAAAATATTACAAAAAGGAAATGTTCATTAACAATGACAAACAACTATACTGCTTAAAAACCTTTCATCTTTTCTCCTAGCAGGCTGGGGAAAATTTCTTTCCAGATGCCTCAGAAAAAGGGCTTCTGTTTCTTACAGCTCCATCCAGGGTCAAATGGTGTTGAAAGTCAGTGCTGAAATGCATGATGCTGCAGGAGTTTGAGAGCCTTTGACCTCTGTCCACCCTTTGGTCTTGCTTGTCAATGGCTTGGTTATGTGTATGTATTTGGAACAGGGGCTTTGTACGGGGTCAAGGGCCCGGGGTGCTGAGGTTCTCAGAAGAGGCAGAGCTCTGGAGACATAAGGAAACCACAGGACAGGTGGGGATTCTGTTTGGGAAGCTGATGTAGATGTTTCAGCTGAAAGTTGGGCCGTGCATTTGCCAAGTCCCTAGAGGCTCACTGTTGGGGTGTGAGTGTATTTCTTGAAACTGCCAGCATCACATTTGGCATCTTAGCAAATGTCACTCCTTGCTTTCAGGATGAATAGAGATGCCTCTTTGGCACTAACTTGACTTATCATAATAAATGCCTCATGCCGAGCCTGCACTTTTTTCCAGGCCTTACAAATATCATTTAATTAACTGGATAAAAACACAGGAGTTGGCTTTGTGAAATCGAGGCTGTGGAGTAGCAGGCTTTCCTGCCACTAAACTGTTGGCAGCAAAAGAGCCAAAAATGCACTCCCAGGTGCACAAACCCAGCCCCATCAGAATTACTTCTCGCACTTTGGGTAACTGTTTTTCACTAACAGCTTCCTCCTCCTCTTTTCCCCGGGAACATGGGAGAATTGAGCTACAGAAGTCAGCGGGCTCTCCCCAGATCTCAGCGTGCATATGTACAGTTTAGTAAAACCAGTTTCAAAGAAGAAGGAAAAAAGGAAAGTTTGAAATAAGATGAAAAGAATGAATCTCTTAGATGAGTTTTGCGTAAATGCAAACACAACATTGAAAATGTATTTGTACATTGAAATTCTTAGTACCTCCTGATTTTTTTACTGTTTTATATAATTTACATAGGTCATACCAGATTTTTGGAATTTGCTTTTAGATTTTTACGAGCAATGTAGAAAGAGAAGAAAACACTTTAACTGGTTTCAGTGTTGATAGACTATTCTTTGCCTATCACTTTTCACATGGGAAATAATGATCAAAGTCCATTAGGGAAAATGCTCTCTCAATGGATGAAATCAATAATGTTATCAATAGACAAAACTGGGTAATATTCATGCAGTATGAGATGCCGTCAATATATACGTTTTTTGGCTTTAACTGTTGTTTGGAAACAGTTTTTTAATATAAAGCATTTTTTATTTTATTTTAAGGTAGAGATGAGATATAAAAAGTATAAAAAGGTAGAGATGAGATATAAAAAATCATTTTTTTATTAATCTATGCTCTCCATTCAAATAAATCACCTTCAGAGATAGATGCTGCTTCGGAAGTGGGGGTCCATGTGATGCTGGCGTTCCCACCCATTTGAACAGATTGTATTTCTTTGGGATAAACTAAATCATTTCTTAAACTGACACTTTCTTTTAGTTTTTTGGGCCAAAGAGCATGTGCCAGTTTGAGAGTTAAATCTCAATTTACTAATTTTATTTATAAGGTTAGAACTGAAATGAGCTTCTTCTTTGTTCTCAGTTGCTCTGAAACTAAGTCTGACTCAACAAAGGAAGTAACACCTAGGGCAAGTGTGGGAACTCGCACGTGATGCGGTTACTTCCCTTACAAACGCTTCCTTAGAGAGGGTGCCCATCATCATCATGTTAGGATCTCTTTTATCCTTGTGGATTCCCACTTAGTATAAGCATTTTCTGTTCCTGTAACCACTGTAGACTGATGAGGAGCACATAGCTGGCACTGATGAGCACAGGTCTCCTGGTACTCAGCCCTCTCATTTCATTTTCCCTGTTGGTGGCAGTTTCTTCTGGGCACCTCTGGAAATGTGCATGGGACCCACTGCATCTCAGTTGCCCTGGTGCAGTAAATCATCCTGCAGCAGCCAGCTCACATGCCAAGTTCGAATTAGTGTAAAATGTCACCATTATTGCCGTCCCAGCAACTCTAACATATCTGGGCTTTTAACATGTCCTACAACATAGAACAAGCTTCAGAGCGTGTCTTCCTCCTTAGGGCCAGTGAAAGGCAGCCCGCAAGATACCAGCCTGTGCTATAGGGTCGAGGGCCCAGGGTGCTGAGTGCTATAGAGAAAGAGTGGGTCTCATCCTTTTCTCTGTAATTTGAGGTCCTTTGTCTTTAAGCCTTTGACCAAATCATACTGGAAGAATTTCTCCAATAATTTCTTAACAATCCTGGGGAGCTGGAGATTTCTTACTAAAACAGAATTTGTTGCATATTAAAGGGCACCCTCTGCTCCTGAATGTTAATGATACTTCCTAAGTATTGATTGGATGGGGGCCTCAGGCTTCTGCTAACCACAAAAGATCTCCCTCTTCCGTGATCACAGTTGTCACATATTTCATTACCAAGTCATTATCTCTTATTATAAACAATCATCTGAGGAATATTCTTCAATACAACCTGGGTTTTCTCAGAAAGTCAATGTCTGTTTCCCTTCCTTCTCTACTGGTTTGATGTTTCCCAATGGGCAAGTGTGTCTTTGACCATCAGTAAATCTCCCATAACAGGCCCCAGTACCTCTGCACTCCCCCTGGAGAACAGTGACATCTCTGGCCTGGATATTCAACTTGGGAAGAGCAATTCAATAAAAAGGGAGCATCTTTTTAACTGAAAATCACCGAACGTTTGGCAGAGGAATCATCCCATGACAGTGTGGGGACTTATTATGACCATGATGGCATTTGACCTCTAAGCAGGAGTCACAGTGAGAGTGTGTCCTGGCTGCTGAAGGTGATTTCACTGGCAAGACTATAAACAGTAGAGCATCACGACTGACCACCTGTGGGGGTCTGGCACTGTGCTGTACACCTGGCACAGGTGTGTTGTTCTGCTCCAACCCTCAAAGTAGATACTAAAGGCAATAACATAATGGCAGTGTGATTTGCAGCATTTGCCTGGGGACATTAATAATCCTCCCCCTCAGCGTTACTCAGAAGGCTCTTCCCTAGACATTCCCCCAGACCCCCTTTCAGTCTGTTTTAGCCTTTGCTTCAGTGTCTCTTCCAAGGAAACCTTCCCTGACGCTCTGTCTAAAGGACCACCCACTTCCCTTCAGCTCCAGTTTTTACCCTGAGTTAATTTTCTCCATGGGGCCGTGGCCAGCTGATTTCATAGTAGATATGGGTGTATTTATTGAATTCCTCCCACTAGCCTGTGGTCAGTGGGTTCACAGGCATTGTGCCTGGAAGAGTGCCCCACACATAGTGGGCCTTCAGACTGTTTGCTGAGTGGATCCCTGTTGCCTGTGTTAGTTTCTTAAAGAAACAGTGGATGGTCAGGTTTCCTTAAAGCAGAGCCTGAGATGGGGTAGATGATTTACTGAGGGTTGGGGTTTCTCAGAAGACATGTGAGTGATGCAAAAAGGGAAGAGATGCGGAAGGGACTGATGGAGCCTGGGAGAGAAGCAGGACAAAGACGTCGGCCTGGCTGAAGCCCAGCTGAAGCTGATCCCATGGGAGCTTCAGAGTGTGAATGCTTCCAGAGTGTGAATACCTCCAGAGTATGAATGCCTCCAGAGTGTGAATGCCTCCAGAGTATGAATGCCTCCAGAGTGTGAATACCTCCAGAGTATGAATGCCTCCAGAGTGTGAATACCTCCAGAGTGTGAGTGCTTCCAGACTGTGAATGCCTCCAGAATGTGAGTGTTTCCAGAGTGTGAGTGCCTCCAGAGTGTGAGTGCCTCCAGAGTGTGAATGCCTCCAGAGAGTAAATGCCTCCAGAGAGTGAATGCCTCCAGAGTGTGAATGCCTCCAGAGTGTGAATGCCTCCAGAGTGTGAGTGCTTCCAAACTGTGAATGCCTCCAGAATGTGAATGCTTCCAGAGTGTGAATACCTCCAGAGTGTGAATTCCTCCAGAGTGGTCTCATCTCAGGTGAGGGCTCCAGCTTCTGCATCCTAGCACTGGGCAACTGTTGCCTTCAGGCTACTCCTGAGGGATAGTGTAATCTCCATGGCATTTCTAAGAGGGGTGGCTGGGGATGGCAGGAGCATTCCTCAATGGCCGGACAAGGCTGTACCCTGTTGGCTGCACTGTGGACATCAGCAGTGGATGGGTCCAGAGACCCAAAATGGGATCTGGGTGAGAACCCAAGAGCACTCACTGGACTGATTTTCTGAGTAAACCTATTTGTTGAGCAGCTATGGTATTGGGAGAAGAGAAATGGACAGGAACTCTTAACATAAAGTCTGGGAGCCCTAGGGCATTATTCAGAGGAGTTTCAGAGGGTCTACTCGTCTTCTGAAGTTCAGCTGAGAAGCTTCCCATGCTGAGAAGTATAGCATGGCTCCCTGATTAGTAGCTCTGAATCTTCCACTGAATTCTAAAAAGGATCTGCGGCCCACGAGAACATCACTGACCTCTCTAGGCTGAAGGTTATCACCTGGTTATGCAAATTTTTCTAAATAATTACATTTGACATGCATTTGTTGAATCACTGGTATGCCCATCTTATCATATGCTGGAGATCCATAGCATCCGTGCTCTGGATGTTGAGGCCAAGTACGTCCTTCCATTTCACACACCATGCTGGCGGTATCATCGTGCCACACGTTTGTGCATATTTCTAGACTTGTCTGAACATCTGAAGAAAGAAAACCATTTGGAATATGTACATTAAATTATCATAATAAGAGCTGCAAGGCAGTGCCTTAATTTAATTCTTCCTGGTATGTTAAATCTTATTTTCTTCTTCATTTTGCAGTTGAGGAAATTGAGCCTTAAACATTAAAACAAACTGGCAGAGGCCACACCACGGCAGGTGACTGCTGGGATTTGAGCCCAGGCAGCCAAATGCCATGCAGCCCACTCTCCTAAACCCTATGTGCACCAAGTTATTCCTCAAACTCTGAAGAGTTATATATGGTAGAGTAGATTGGAAAGTGGAGGTAACACATTGCAAAGTGTCTCATCTTACAGACTATTTCACCATCTTACAGACTATTTCTTTATGGAGATTTGATTGTGCCAAACTAGCTTCTTAAAGGCCAGGGAGAAGAGAAACTTTAAGTTGATTTATCAGGTGTCTCCACCACTGAAAACGAAGTAGAAATGAAAATAAAACAGCTTGAAAGGCAAAGTGGTATCGGCCAGAAAATGAAGTCCATTTTGACAATTTCCCCAATGCACTGCTTTGGAGAACTCCTCTATTTTGTAAAGTGAGTCAATCTCCTCATTTTTTGTCCTGGCATAGTCTGTGAACAACACAATTCCTATCATTCTTTCCCCTGACTGTTCCCCTTGTTATAAGTGTGGCAACGGGCAACTCCTCCGAGTCAGTTCCTTGTGAGTAATAACGTGTTCAAATGGACCAATAACAATACACCAGGGTCACCATTAATTAAAAATCAAACCAACAAAAATAACCAGAACAATCTGTTTTCCTTTGAAGCAAGGGCAGTATCAGTCACTTACACAGCAGTTTCTGAGATGGAAAATGTAGTTATTACCCTCAGAAAACTGGCATGCAAACACTTAGGAAGTGCACAATCTCATTAATTCTAGGTATTGAACACACTATGTCGACACTGAGCAAACCACAAATGCATTTTATTGCCTCCTATTAAATTTAATGTCAGAATTCTGCAGATTAGATTATGAAATACTCTTTTTCTTCTCCCTTAGGGTAATTTTGTACATTGGGGAAGATAAATATTACAGTAGACATATCCTTGTCTCTATGCACAAACTGGTTTTAGCCACAGTGGGTTCACCTGCATCCATGGACTTAATGTCTGTCTTTCCTCAACTTAAAAAAATGTGGGTAGCCATTGCCTTCCTTGCCATTTGTGCAGCACCTTTGCCTATAACCTCGATGGCAGTGATGTTTACTATACATCATCCACTCTGCCTCGGGGGTTAATAGAGTGCCCTCCCTTGGGAAATAAGGAGGAGACGAAGAGGATGATGATAGAGTTTGATGGTCGCCCTGTGGTGGATTATTTTCTGTCTTCCACAGCTGTCAGCAAACGCACCTCTGCCCCATGGACTTTGGATGTGGTCATTCATTGACCAATAGAATGAAGGTCAAAGTAACAATGGGCTGATTACAAGTGGAGGTGTTAGAAGACACACCTGGGGATTCTCACCTGCCACGGCCTGGAGTGTCTTTCACCAGGAAAGCTGCAGGTGCCAGCGATGGTGGCTTCAGCCTGGATTCTGGAAAGAGAAGCCTCACGGAGCTGAGCTGAACCCAGCACAGTTGAGCATAGGAGAGTCCAGCCGAGCTGCAGGAGACCCACAGCCTCAAGTAAAATGAGCAATCAATCAATCAATATTTTTGTAAGCCACTGAGATCTGGGAGGTGTTTATTCTATAGTAATGGCTGGTGGGTGTGATCACTCATAGTAATATAGAACTTACCACAAACTCTTTGTTCTAAGCACTTTATATCAATTGTATCATTTAATCTTAACAGTAACTACATGTGTTGAAAGTATTAGTATCCACATCTTACACATGGGGAAACTGAGGCACAGAGCGTCCACATAATTGGTCCAAGGGCACCGGCTGTCATGTGGCAGCACCAGGGCTTGAATCCTGGCAGCATAAACTTGATGGGAAGGACTGGCTTATACAATAGAGTGTGTGATCCTTAATCAGTTTTAGGGTGTACGTGGGACAGGTTCACTCAATGTTGCTGAAGAGGAAACAGGTTCAGAGAATGTCAAGTCCTCAACTTTAACATCAGACGGTGATGTAGCACTGGGTCTCCTTTCCTCCTCCGTTACCCCTCAGTCTGTTCTCAACGTAGCAGAAATGAGTCTGTGAAAACCGAAGTCACATCATGTCTGCTCCTAACCCTCCACAGCTCCCATCTCATTCAGAGTAAAGACAACATCCTCACCAAGACTGACAAGGACAGCCATCATCCTCCCTCCTCCCTGCCCTGACCTCACTTGTTCCTCCTCACCTCCTGGAGGCAGTGCCTGGCTCCCTCCCTCACCTCCCGGAGGCGGTGCCTGGCTCCCTCTTTAGCCCTGAAGATGGTGCATTGTTCCCTCCCTCACCTGCCAGAGGTAGTGCCTGGCTCCTCCCTCACATCCAGGAGATAGCACATGGCTACCTCATTCACCTCCAGGAGATAGCACATGGCTCCCTCATTCACCTCCAGGAGATAGCTCATGGCTCCTCCCTCACCTCCTAGAGATAGCACATGGCTCCTCCCTCACCTCCTAGAGATAGTACATGGCTCCTCCCTCACCTCCTGGAGGTGGTGCCTGGCCCTTCCCCCACCTCCTGGAGGTGGTGCCTGGCTCCTTCCTCACAACCTGGAGGTCATTGCTCACCTCCTTACTGCAGTGTCTTGCACCACCAGCCCTCCTCATCTCCCTCCCCAGTCTAAGCTTCTCCAGGGCACTTGTTTGATGAGCCATTCCACTTCCTGCTATAGATGCTTCCTGCTTTATTCTCAGTGTCTCTTCTGGAGAGTCAGCTTCATGAGTGTAGATGCCCATCTCAGTCACTGCTGTGTCCCCGGCACCTAAATGCACCTGGCACACAGGAGGATGGACTGGAGATGAGAATCCATGTGCCCAGACTCCTGGCTCAGTTCTCTTTCTATTCTGAATGGTAAATGGTCCCACAGTAGTTCATGAGCTCAGGATAAGATCTGCACAGAGAAAACACATACTGATGGACTGCTACCCATATGATCCCCATACGTTCCAGTTATTGGTTCTCAACCACCTCTACCTACCAGTCATTGTGCCAGGCATCAGTGATTTGCAAACTTTATAGGTTATTGTGACAATGACCTACAAGCTGGTTTTATCATGGCCATTTGTAAAGGAGGCAATGGAAGTTCAAAGAGGTGAAGCCACTGGTGTAAAGCCACACAGCAGTGCAGCCAGCTTGGAAGTTGACTGAAGCTGTATTACTGTTATAGATCAAGACCAGTATCCAGATGAGAAACCCCTGCTGGTGATTATATCCATTATTCTCACTCCAAACGACCCCAATTATGGAGGGACCCTCTGAGCTGAACTGGGCGCCAGAAGGTGGTAGGTGGTGGTGGGGGTAGGGGGTGAGGTATGAGTTCCACCCCGACTGATAAAAGAGGGTAAACAGGCCCAGCATCTTCCAAACACGCAGACCTTGTGCTTATGTCAACCCTTGATTAAGAAATAAATGTACTCTGTTTTTTTAAAAAAATCCAAACAACAAATACCTCAAGTTGAGAGAATAACCTAAGACCTTGACTTCATAGTAAAACATAATGTATTTGTTTTCTTTAGAGAAGATTGATTTCTCATCAGAAAATAGAGGAAATAAAATGGGAGAAAATTGGCAAATTATATAAAAGTGGCTTTAAGCTTTTTGCAACTTCAAACTATCCACAATCTGGTGAGATTGCTGCTATAATACATGACTGTTTGGGCCAAAATGGGCATGGCTCACAAATGGAAGCTTGTTTTGCTCCCACGTTGGAGTGTGGACCCCTCAGCTGACATTAACAATGCCAGTGTTTATTGTTATAATCTGCAGACAGGACCACACAAGGTGGCCAGAGGAAAAAGAAATAAAAAACAATAACAGCAACAACAACAATAACAAAAGCCTTATTTTTTCCAAAATGCTTTTAGGAAGCTGTTTCTTATGCCTCAGACTCCTAGAATCTCATGAAGGATGCAATTTCTTTGACATTGACCAACTCCACTTGCCTCTTAGAGGAGATGATGTGAGTAAAGCAACAGAAATTCACATGAAGGTGTAGAACATTGCTTCTGGGTCATCTTCAGATACATATTTGGGCAGAGAAAGGGAGGCCAGATAGTCCTATCTGCATATGAGTTCGGTAAGTGTTGTATTTACTCATTCTTCCTCTAAACAAATATTTTTAAATAAATTTTATTGGGTACATTTGAGGTTTACAGGTTTGCAACATGATGCTGTGGGATATATACAGAGAGTAAAATGGTTTCTAGAGTGAAGTCTGTGAACATATCTCTTATCTCACAGTTAGTTTTTCTGTGACGAGAGCAGCTGCATTGTACTTATTTAACAAAAACCCTAACGTAACATATTGTATTAAGCTCATTAACAAACGTTTTTGAGTGCCAACTCTGGGACAGTCATTGTTTTAGACATTGGGAATATGATGTTAAAATAGCACGCACAGTTCCTGCTCCCAAGGAGCTTATATAATATTATGTGTATGTGTGGGATGGGGCAGGTGTGTGGGGCGAGGGGGAAGGGGACAAGAATGCAAAGAACCAATGAAGGAGAATATAGCTGGTCAGGTAGGTTAAAGTATTATGGGGAAAATAACACAGAAGGTGCATAGCGAGTACCTATTAGTGGCAACTGTTATTTGAAAAGACAATATAAGCATGGGTCTCATGGATAAGCTGATGTTTGAGCTTGAACCTAAAAGAAATGAGCTTGGAGGGCTTGGGTCCTGGGGGAAAGGAATATCCCAGGTTGAGATAGCAGCAAAAGTAAAGGCCCTAATCAAGGAGTGTGCCTGACCTATTTGGGGTAGAGCAATAAGGACAGCATGCACCCAATGCCTTAAATGATGACTGTCCCAGAGTTAGCACCAGGGGAGCTGGTGGTGATGAGGTCAAGAGCTCTGAGTGAGGGTCTGATAGTGATGGCTTGGACCATGCTGTAAGGAGCAGCTGTGATAAATGCAGTTGTGAGTGTTGCCTGCCCACTGTGGGTCCCCCTTCCTGACAGCACATGCCATGTTTGCCCACACTCATTGGCCAGAACTAGCTAATGGCTTCGCTCAAAGACAAGACCTAGAATTATGTTTCTACTGTGTGCCCAAGAAGAGGGAAATCTGAAAATATTTGGCAAGCTGGTGTAATGGCCTCCATATCACAGATGCATACAGAAGTAGTTCTTTATTGTCAGGTATAAACAATCAAAAACATTTGGAGGGCATTATCTAGAGAAATAATGTAGCAATTCCAGCTAGGTAATTTTGCAGTCAGATAATGATATTTGGCATTTCTGCAATGATTGCCGTTAACGTTGAGGCATTTTAAAGTGACCTTTAATCTATTGCCTGAATTGGCAGCAGAGAGGGTGAACTTCTTAAAGCCACTCCAAGATTAAAAATGCATCCCAAGTGATGGATGTGTGTTTCTTCCTTGTTAGGCTACCCATGTATTCACCACTTTATATATTTCTCTGGCATTAAGCAGGCAGAAATGTTCCATTTATTCTTTCCTCTCTTCCCCTTGCCCTACTGTCTTAATGTTCAGGCTCAGAAATAATAAGACAGCTGCCTTTCCTGGCATAGAGAACTAATAGTGACAGATTCTTTACACATGCAAATATATCCTTAGTTATACTTTATAAATATAAGACGCTAGATGATAATGAATTTAATGTTTTAAGTATCATGCCTAATTTAATGACATCAGCTTTTAGTGATTCAGAAATCAACACACTTTCATTCTATTGGGTAAATACTAATCAAGTTGCAATGATATAGGGTAATGAATTAGGTCTCAGGGAAAGAAGAAATTCCCTTTGCTACCTGTGGTTTAAGCTTGTGTCATTCTTGAGGGCAACTTAGAATCCAGCCCACCACAGCATGCCGCTTGTTACTGCTGGGTGAAAATCAAAGTGGTTGAAAACAGTCTTCTTTGGCTCAGAGCTATAGCCCAATATCAGACATGGATAATTGGGTAAACAGCCAGATTTAAATGTGAGCAAATAATAGAATGTAGTTCAGGATTATTTGCCATGCAAAGATTTTCTGTGGAAATTGCACGTTTCTCCTTGGGAGCAGAGTCTGACCCATGAATTTCTCTCTGTGTGTGTACAGATATGCACATGTGCAAACACACGTGCCAATTCAGTAGAATTATCAACATTTTAATCTTCATCTCAATCGCGTGAAACAGGCTTTTTCATTATCTGCATGTTTAGAAGTGGAGGGAACCGGGATTTCGAGAGGCAGATTTTCTGCTTGCCCACATTCACTCAGAGAAGGAATGAGCTGAAATCCTATCAGATCTGTCAGTCACCAAGACATCCTGACGTCTCTGCAAAGATCACAGTGTTAGAGGCGGCAGGTATCCAGACAGAAGCAGGAGAGGGGAGCCCCTAAAAAAGGGAGGTCTGGAAAATCTCATGTCCCAGGGACCACCCGAAGCAGGTATGGTAGATAAAAGCAGAGAGGAGGGGAAATACCTAGGCAGAAAGGAACGTCTGTTCAGGTGCCCAGTATTCACCCACTCTGCAGTTAACTTGTCAGAACACAGCCAGATGCATGCTGATAAGAAGGAAAACAAGAAAGTCCTCAGAAAAAACCTGGTGCCAAAGTCCAAATTAAAACAGAGACAGGAATTCCAAGGCGAGAATGCAGGTGCAATAGGTACAGATTGAACCATTATATGACCTTTGTGGGGTGGCAGTCATGAGCAATGCAGCGGTTAGGTAGGATTCCTGTTCAGTATTGCCACACATGCCACACCAATTAACAGCAAGGAAGGGTCCCACCAGCCTGGGGAGGGAATGAGGTGGGGAAAAGGCAGGGACTTAAGGCAGGTGCAGGAAAACTAGACAAAGAGGCAGAAACTTAAGACAGAGGCAGTTACTTCAAAACAGATTCCCATTGGCCAGGCATGGTGGCTTACGCCTGTAATCCCAGCACTTTGGGAGGCCGAGGCGGGTGGATCACCTGAGGTCAGGAGTTTGAGACCAGCCTGGCCAACATGGTGAAACCCCATCTCTACTCAAAATACAAAAATTAGCCTGGCATGGTGGTGCATGCCTGTTGTCCCAGCTACTCAGGAGGCTGAGGCAGGAGAATTGCTTGAACCCAGGAAGTAGAGGTTGCAGTGAGCTGAGATGACTGCATTCCAGCTTGGGAGACAGAGTGAGACTTTGTCTCCAAAAAAAAGAAAAAAAAGAACCCAACAGACATAAAACCCCAACACAGAACTCTCACGCTGCTGCTGGCACCCTCACTTCAGCAGCCCACTCTGCCATATCCTTCCAGAGTGTACTGTCTCCCTCTAAATAAGCTCTCTGCTCTCTATTTTCCTTCAATATGTTCTCTTTGTGGCTAAATCAGTCGCTTGGCAGAATGCTTTCTTCCAGGTTAGACAAGAACTGGGATCTCTGCTCTCCCCAGCAACAACAGGACTGTTGAAATCATTCACAGCAGAAGGTACTCTCGGGAACTGTCAAGGGTGGTATTTCTTTTCCCTCCTTGCTCTATACTAGGCTCAAGTCTATGGCAGAGTTTCCCTGGCAAGAGACGCCTCCAAGCTTGTCCCATGCTGGTTCTTTAACCCAGTGCCTTATTTGGCGTGTCTCTGCACGCTCTTCCTCAGAGAATCAGATGACAATGAGGGTGTTTTAGGAGCTCCAAAGCCCAGGCAGATACCATCATATGGATGGTTTCAGCACCTTCTATTTCTCAGCAAATAGGAAAAAAATCCTACAAGAAAAATTTGAACTGAAAATACAATATCTGAAATTAAATATTCAGTAAATGTGCTCAATAGAAGAATAGAGATGACAGAAGAAAAGTCAATGAATATAAAATAAAATCCAGTGTGAAGTACAGAGAAAAACAAAGAATATATTTTATGAAATCAATAGAGCCTCATGACCTATGGGGCAATATCAACAGTTTTGAAATGTGCATAATTGGAGTCATAGAAGGACTAGAGATGTAAACTAAGCCAGAACAAAACTGCTGAAAAACTCATGGCCAAAATGTCTTATATTTGTTAATAGAAATGAATTCATAGATTCCAGGACTTTAAGTAGAATGAATTTAAAGAAAACCTCACCCAAACACATCATCTTAAAACTGCTGAATACCAAAGACAAAGAGACAATCAATCAAGAAAGTAGCCAGAGAAAATGACACATTGGATAAAGTATGATGTGACTGATGGCAGATTTCTCCTCAGAAACCATGGCAGCCAGAAGACAGTGGAAAGACCCTGTTAAAGTGATGACGAGGAGGAAGCAAAACAAAGGAAAAACAGACTGAATGTCGTGGTTCATGCCTGTGGTCCCGATACCTTGGCAAGCTGAGGAAGAATGATCACTTGAGCCTGGTAGGTTGAGGCTGCAGTGAGCTATGAGTATACCACTGCACTCCAGCCTGAGAGACCGACTGAGACCCTGCCTCTAAAAACAAAAATAAAAACAAACAAAAATACCTTCAATTCAAAGTTAGACTCTCAGTGAAAGTATACTTCAGAAATAAGAAAAAAATAAAGATGTTTTCATGTAAGGGAAAATTAAGGAATTTTCATCAATAAAGCAATGCACTTTATTGATGAAAAATGCAATTAGAAATGTAAGTGGTAAGATAAGTCTGAATATATCCGGACATCTAACCTAGCTTGAAGAAAACTTTTTTTAATCTAAAAAACTAAATGTAGGCCTTCATGATTGTATGATCTGGACCCTGATTCTGCTCACAACTGCCCTGAAGTGATAAACCAATGGGAATATCTGGGTTCTGCTTTCTGTTTGCAGCAGAGAGTTACTGAGCAGGTATGTGGATTGACAGACGGAAACAGGATAGCAATAAGTATAATACAACAGCAGTGTTTTTTGAGCATCTTGTGTGTGCTGGACCCTCGGCTGCATACGTGGTGTGCAATCTTTCCAGCAGCCCTTTGGTAAGTGCCGTTATTGACTCTCTGTTACAGACAAGGGTGCTGGAAATGCAGAGAGATGATAGCTAGCATGGCATCACTTTGCAAAGGCAGTGGGAGATTAGGACTCCAAATAGGATCTAGCCGTTGAGGCTGTAGAATTTCTACATGAGGTTATAGAAAAAAACAAAAAAAAAGAACTTCCCCCCTCTCCAAATACACTGAAATCCCCTGAAAGGGGTGCACATTTGGGTACACTGCTTCTGAACCAGGTGCAAATCCCCATATTTGGACCTCAAGATTACAAGGTAATTATTCAGAGCAAAAGTTGGTCAACTACAGCCTACGGCTAAATCCAGTTTGCTGTTTTGCTATTTGTTAATAAAGTCTTTGTGGAGCTGAACCACTTGCATTTGTTCGTGGCTGCTTACATTCTAGAGCAGCAGAGGTAGGGAATTGTAACAGACACCCTGCAGCCCACAGAGTCTAAACTTATTCCATGGATCTTTGCAAAAAATGTTTGTGGAAGCCCTCACTTACAGACATCCAAAGCAATGTACAGCAAAACTGAAGACTGTGGAAACTCTGTCTCCCTCTCTCGGACTGTTTTCTCCCAAGGCATCTATGCTTTGTGAAACAATCTAATACTGCAAAATATTTTATTTTCTGTTTTTCAGTGTAAGAAAATGATGTACGGAGACTCTAAGCTTCCTTTCTGCCTGTCTCCACAGTTGTCCATTTTACTGGCAAAACTGCATGCTTGTTAGTACTCACAACACAGAACTGATGACCAGGGCTTTTCCTCTGTTCTGATGATACTAAGAGAATTAATGTGGAAAATATTTGTGGCCAAACATCGTGTGCATAGCCATGTTTGGTCGGTTTCTATTAATTCCATTCACAAATCATAGATTAAAGTGGAAGCAAAAGCAGTGATGAGAGAATAGTGAATTAGCAATTTATCCCTGGGTTGTTACAATTTCATCCATTGCCAAGGTGGCACCTTTCTCTCTGTCTCTCTTCATATGAAGTTTCCTCTCAGATCCCCAGTTGTTCAAAACCAAAGGGAACTTGATATCCCTGCTCTTGAAATGCAGGTGTCATGTCACGAGGAAGACAGTGGAGAGACCCATGTGAAGAGGAAGTGGCCCCCGGCCAGTGTCCAGTCTGAGCTCCCAGAAAGAGCCAGCACTAACTTGCCCACTATGTGAGTGAGCCATCCGGGATGCAGAACCATTCAGCCATCCCATCTGACCCTATGTGGACAGAGCCTCTACAGCTGGATACAGGACAGTCACAGCTCCCTTCACCCCCTGCTTTCTGTTTACTATTCATCTGGGTCAATAATGTTGGCTTATCTCTTGTTTATAATGAGGAAAAGACTCCAGTTGTTGCAAAATAGGTTCCCATCAAAAATGAACCCATTGTGCAGATGGTGAAGATCCAGAAACTACAAGACAGATGAAGCCAATCAAATATTCCGAATACTGACGACCACCTGGCCGACAGGCTTGGTTTCTGACAGGAGTACTTACAATCACTATAGGCAAGCAAAGCTCCAGTGTGAAGGCGGAAACTATATTGCAGCAGAGGCATGACTTAAAATACAGAGAAAATATGGCCCCTGGAATTTCTTTTTGCTAATTAATGAAAAAGACAAGATGTCAACTTTGTTAAGATGTAATTTAAATAGGATAAAGTGTCCAGCTTGAGTATACAGGTGGATGGGTTTGGACAAATGCATGTGTCGGTGTAACTATTGCTCCATTGAAAGTCTAGCACATTTCCATCTGCTCCGCTAGTTCCCTCTCGCCCTTCACAATGACCCACTAGTTCCCTCTCGCCCTTCACACCTGACTCCACAGGCAATGATCAGATTTCCTCACTTTCATAGATTGCCTTTGCCTGTTCTGGAACTCCATGTTATTGAGGTCAAACGCCACTTAACCTTTCGTGTCTGGCTTCTTTCAGGCAACACAATGCTTTTGAGGTCCAGCTATCGAGTACATTAGTGCTCTGCTGATTTCTTACTGACGAATTAAATTACATGCATGTATCTCAGCGTGTTAATTCAACTACCGATGGATTGGGTCATTTCTACCTTATGTGTATGTTTCATTATTATACATAAAGCTTTAAAAAATCAAAGTGACTAAATCATGGTGAGATCAGGAGTTCGAGACAAGTCCGGCCAACATAGTGAAACTCCGTCTCTACTAAAAATACAAAAATTAGCTGGGCATGGTGGCGGGTGCCTGTAATCCCAGCTACTGCGGAGGCTAAGGCAGGAGAATCACTTGAACCCGGGAGGCGGAGGTTACAGTGAGCTGAGATCACACCACTGCACTCCAGCCTGCGTAACAGAGCAAGATTCAGTCTCAAAAAAAAAAAAAAAAAAAAAAAAAAAAGAAAGTCATCTAGGGCATTTCTACAGTTACCTCCAGGATCTGTCCAGATACATTCAAATACAGTGTTGTGAGTTACAGAGATAGGGCTGGAGTCATTATGTACTGAGCCATAATTCCAGGTATTATGCATCTGTAATTTCTGACTTAATATCTTAATTAATCCTCCTTGTACTGCTGTGAGGTTCACAGTCACCCCCATGAAAACAGATGCAATCATTTCCTACATAGAACTGGGTTCCATTGCCATGTCTGGGATGGGGCCCACCTTTCCCAGTGTCCTGTCTGCAGGATCTCCAGACCCAACTCAGAACATTCCTTTCCATCTTCAAACAGTCTCTCTGATCCTTTTTAGAGGAAAGCATTCCAGAAGAGACTTCTGCATTTGAGGTTATCATTTCCTCACCTCTCATTATTCTTCACCCCACAGCAGCCTGGCTAGTCCGGCCAGTTGCTGATACAGTTATGATAAAGTCACCAGGGACCCATATGTTGCTCAGATAACTGAAGATACAATTGCTTTTTCAGCAGACCTCAATCTAGGTGACCGCTGCCTCCCTCATGGAAGCTCTGCTGCTACTCCTGTCTGTTCATTCACAGCCTTCTTTGTCCTTCTTTCTCCACTGGACAGCATAGAACTATTCTATAGCCCCAGAGCTTGACTAGAGGCCTTTCTTTTTGCACTCTCATTTAATACAGAGCTGAGGCCTGTGTCGTCCTTCTATCACCAAGAGCTGTGTGACTAGGCAAGTTGCTTCGCTAGGCTCCAGTTTCCTCGTTTGTTAAGCATTGATCACGATAGCACCAAACCCAAAGAATCATTGTGGAGAATAGATGAGTTCATAGCACTAAACACATCTATCAGTGTCTGGACTATGGTGACTGTCCAGTACTATCAGTCATTATCTCATCCTACTCCTTTGACAACGTAAATAAATTTAGGGAAGAGTGTTCTAAGCAGAGGGGGACAGAAAATGTCAGAGAAGCCCCTGAAGTTGAGGGTAGGGACTAGTGAAGTGTGTTTGAAGAAGGGAAAGAAAGTCGGCATGGCTGGAGAAGACACACAAGGGGAAGTGGTCGAAGCAGCCAGGTGGTCATGAACAGCCAGCACACACAGGGCCAGGTAGGAGAAGCGAGAGGTGAGGGCTTGGCATTTATTCTCAGTCCATTGGGATGTCATTTGTGGGTTTTTATTAGGGAAATGTTATGACCTTATTTAAGTTTTAAAATCACCACTTTGGATGCCTTGTGGCTTATGTTATAGGAGCCAGATTGGACACAGGGGGCGTGTTTGGAAGCTGTCCAGACTGATCCAGGCTACAGGAGGAGTGCAGGCAGAGAGAGGGAGACAGAGCCAGGGTGCAGTTCCACAATCCAGAAAAGGGACTGTGTACTGCACAAGCATTTACAGAAAGTGACAGGCCCAGTCTCAGGCACTGCAGGGCGGGGAGTGCGGCCTCCTGAAGCCAAGCAGGGACACAGGCTTGGAGGCCATCCTGTGCTGGATGCGGGGTTCAGGCATTTAAGGTGCTTGGAAGGCCGGGGCTGAATGGACTGTTTCATGTTTTGATAGCAATGCCTTGCCCACTTTGATTTTAGTGTGTGTGTGTGTATGTGTGTGTGTGTGTGTGTGTGAAATGCTACAAATGAACACCCAGAGGGGCAAAGCCAAGTGAGAGAACTGTCATTAAGAATCCAGCAAAACACTGATGTTCATTGTGCAAATTGACACATTCATTTGGAAGTCACTTTGCAGTCCCCATAGAAATGTTAAGTGTTCAGGCACTCAGAACCAGCACTTTCACCCTGAGGGACTCAGGCGAAATGATCACAGTGTGATCTCAAACTTGATGAAATACATGTGCACAGGAGGCAGGGCTAATTGGTTTGGAGGGCACTGAATTCTAGTGAACCTTAGCTTAATCCCCCGCAGCACTATGCTGTACCTGAATTGGCACCTCCTTATGTCGTGGAGGCTCAGTTTTCTTATCTGTAAAATGGGAACACTAATATGAATCATTCATAGGATTGCCGCACGAGTTCAATGAGGTTTTGCAAGACAACACTTTAGCAGGCCTGCAGTAGAATCCACCCATGTAGGCAGGGGCTGTGATGGGCCCCGTGGAATGCACAGTGCCTGGCCCAGGGCTCTGGACACAAGTGTGTAGACGGCTGCGGCTGCACCCTGCATCCCCCGCCTCCCAAGGTGACGCAGTCACTGTGAGAGCAAAACCAGCCACTTCCCTTAGAAGCCCTGAGCCTCCTTTATGGTCACCTCTCAGGTGTGCATAAAGCACACCTGAGTTTCTGGAACCTCTGCCTCTTCCTTGCTGGTGGAATACCTCCTCGCAGAGGCCTGGGCTCTGCATCCTGAGAGATCACTGGAGGGGCTGGATGAGAAGAACCAAAAGTGCAGAAAAATGCAGTCCCAATGGAGGGACTCTGTTCAAAAGAAAATGAGAGATGGGCACACAAACACTCCTCCTTAAGCCAGGGTTAAGCCAGGGTTTCCCTGGGCGGTGCCACACCCCACAGAAATCCTGCGTGCCAAGTGCATGCATGGCCCGCTGAGCAGGCTGCTGCCTCTCTGTGCTTGCCCTGCAGGGGGAGCTGGTGTGTAACACAGCGCTCTGCCTCATGGCTCATCTTCCTTTGCCTCATTTGCATTTGTCCTCATCTTTGCTATCCTACGCATGCAGCTCAGGGATCAAGCAGCAGCTTTGTGGATCCTCACCTGGGCTCTTCCTGGAGAACCCTGTGTTGGGTGCACAGTATCAGGAGATGGTAGGATTGCATAGGCACTTGTGGAATGATGGAGTGGAATCTCAGGTGTGACTATGAGAGGCATCAGTGATAAGGTGAGTGTGAGATGGGGGTGGGGAGTGGGAGAGGGGGAAGAGACCGCCTAGCCATGATCACAGCACAAATACCCTGAGGCTGGAATGGATGGAGATCAGCACAGGTGTGAGCCAAGCTTGATGCTGGAAAACAAAACGAGGGAAGGAAGGCAAACCCAGTGATGGGATCCTTGAAACACGAGGCTTAGGTCCTCCAGGTACTAGAACGAAGAGAATCAGAGTTCAGGAAGACAGACAGAGGCTTCATGTAGATGAATACACTGGGAATGGTGGAGTCGAGAAAACAGAAGAGGAGCTCTTGAGGGAGTGCCGAGGAGTGAGGGGTGGAGAGGGCCCTGAGTGTGGCCATCGGAACATAGTTTTCCGTAGACGCCCCAACACTGTTCCCGAGCACTGTCTCCCCATGAACCCTCCCACAGAGGTTTGCCTCGTCCCCCCAGTTACTAGCTGTTGACTAGACACATCTCTAGGATGGGTGTGGCTCTCTTCTGGAGACCCTGGGGGATCCAGAGAAATAAGGGCTGGGGTCCCAACCCCCAGTTTCCCAGGATACTCAAGGGAAAGGAGACTACTTACCGGCATGATGTCTTTTGGGGCTGCCTCAAAGCATCCTGTACTGATGCACTGAGGGGGGCCACAGAATTGTCTAGCCTCTGGGAGTCTGAGGTTTTCCCCAGAAGACATGGTTGGATGAGGGAGGTTTGGTGGGAGGTGACAGCTTCAGATAGCCTGGGCCTTCTTCAGCTTTCCTAGTGTCCTGTTTGCAGGATCTCCAGACCCAACTCAGAACATTCTGCGTACAGAAACCTCAGCTTAGAGAGGGTAAGGCATGTGAGAACCAGAGCAGCTACACTGGACAACCCATTAATGAGCTGCCTCATTGCGGCAGCCACATACACACCAGATCAGCCACACTGGACAACCCATTAATGAGCAGCCACATTGGAGCAGCCCCATACACATCAGAGCAGCCACACTGGACAACTCATTAATAACATGTGTGTGTATAACGTGTGTGTGTGTGTGTGCACATGGGAAGAGAGTATATATATACACACACACACATACTGTCATTAATGGGTTGTGTGTATGTGTGTGTATATATATGTGTGTGTGTGTACACACATACATATCTATCTATATCTGTATACAGATATAGCATAAGTTCTGGTCTGAGTCTGAGGCCTGGGCATGTGGAGTACCAACATCTCAGAGTAGAAGGTGGATGTCCCAACTCAAACAGAAAGAACAAGCCTGCCCTTCCTCCACCCTTTTGTTCTATTTGGACCCTTAGTGAATTGGAGGATGCCTGCACACATTGATGAGGGTCATCTTTATGCAACCCACTGATTCAAATAATATTTTCTTCTAGAAACACACTCACAGACATATGCAGGAATAGTATTTTACTGGCTATCTGGGCATTCCTTAGCCCAGTCAAGTTGACACATGGAAGCAGCTAGCATGGTGAGAGCACGTTGGGTGCTGGCATTTACTTTCCATTGCAGTACAGTGTGACACTCAAGCTGTCTCCTGTTTACTGATACTGATTGGTCAGGGGGGTTCAGTAATAGCCAAATTGATCCAGTGATTGAAAAGTCATCATCTGCTATTAATGGTTTAACAAACCCTAATGACCTATGGATATATATATATATATATATATATATATATATATATATCTTTATATATATATCTTTATATATATATATCTTTATATATATATATCTTTATATATATTTATATATATTATTATATATATCTTTATATATATCTTTATATATCTTTTTATATATCTATATATCTTTATATTTTATATATTTATTAAATAATAAATATATATTAATAATAATATATAATATATATAATATATTATTATATATATTATATATAATAATAATATTATATATATTAAATATATAAATATACATATATATATTTGCCAGAGATTTAAAAGTAATGGTTTTCTAAAATTCCTTCATAATTTTAGGCAGAATTTGTCTTTAAAAAAATGCCTGGCCAACTCTTTGGCTATGCTGAAGTATAGCTCATGCAGAAAATATGAGATAAGCACATTTTTTTTTTGAGACAGAGTCTTGCTCTGTTGCCCAGGCTGAAGTGCAGTGGTGCATTCTCAGCTCACTGCAACCTCCACCTCCTCGGTTCAAGCAATTCTCCTGCCTCAGCCTCCTGAGTAGCTGGGATTACAGGTGTGCGCCACCATGCCAGGCTAATTTTTGTATTTTTATTAGAGACGGGGTTTCACCGTGTTTGTCAAGCTGGTCTCAAACTCCTGACCTCAGGTGATCCATCTGCCTCAGACTCCCAAAGTGCTGGGATTACAGGCATGAGCCACCGTGCCCAGCCAAACACGTGTTTTTTACACCTTACTACTAGCTTCTGGAATAATAGGTTTGTTTCTTAACATCCTCTAAAGGCTTTGAGGAAGTAACAAGCTTGGTGTGTTTGAGGGACGAAGGGGAGCCTGCTGCAGATCCAAGTTGAAGAAGCAGAAGGATGGCAGTTAGATAAAAAGCAGGGTCTTGATCTCCATCTTAGAATATTTTGATTATAAAACCGAGATTGTTTTCATGACCTCAATTGACCAGGAGAGTGTCCACTATCTAATAGTTTGGAAAAGGTCATCAAATCTTCTGGGGTTTTTATACAGAAACAGTGAGAAAATGCTCAATTCATAAATTTGAAAGAGGCAGGGAGAGACGAAGTAACATTATGTTTTGATCCCATGCTACAGTTTGATATAATTTGATAGTCAGTGTACCAGATGTGCTTGGATTTGGGAGGAGCTAGAAGACACTGCATCATGAACAAAGTTACAATTGCAAAACTATGATCACTGTTTCCTCTTCTGTCCCACCTGCTACCAGAGTCCCCTCCCAGTGGGGCTGCGGCCATGCTGAGCTGAGCTCTGTCTTCTCTGTGGATTCACAGTCCCAGGCTCGTGACCACGAAGAGGACCTGGTGAGGGTCAGAGATGGGGACTCACTGAGCCAGGTGCTTCTTCACCCACCTCACTTCAGGTGCGCTTTGGAGCAGGTAGGACAGGTGCCCTCAACTTTATTATTTTACACGTGGAGAAATAAAGCAGGTAGGGTCATGCAACAGCACTGTGAGCTGGAGGAAGATCTGGACCCCTCTGGCCACAGGGGCACTGTTGCTCACTTCAGTACTCAAAAGGGGATGGTTCCTGGCTGCCCTTGGTGGAGGAGAGTGACCCTGTGATGCTGTATGGTTGAGGACGATAGATAGTTCAGCATCACTGGCTATGCCATTCATGAAATGCTTTAGCTGGAGTAAGTATGCAAATTTTTTTTAAAACCCTCAAACTCCCTAGAGTTGAGAGTCTTCCCACGCACCTCCAAAACTCTTGTGAAAAACCACCAATTTCACCCCAACAAGGAGAGAGAAGAGGCCCTGGGATTGGGAGAGAGAGTTGTGATATTTCAGCAGGTCCTGAATCCACAGAGTCAACCACTGCCCTGCACTCATGCATTTTCATCCCATCGATGCTGTTAGATGCAGTCCATTTAGCGTGACATCACAAGATGGAGGAAGAAAAGCCCAGAGAGCTCATTATCAGGAGCTGTCTAGGAAGGTGTGGGAACAAGTTCTGAATTAATTAAACTTTCACTTGAATAATGAACGCATGCTATTTTATTGCTGAGCTGCTCCAAGATAAGCAAGGAGGCTCCCTCCTGTGGAATGCCTGGTGGCTGGGGGCCTGCCGTTCTCAGCTTGGAAGAAGTGAGAGAGTTCTTTTTAACTCCCTATTGGAGCAAACACACACATCTGGCACATTGTAGGGTGACTATCAGCTCTTCTCCTGACACATGGCTTGGGGTCGGCTGTGCATCATTTTGGCCATCCATCTGCATATTTTGAGGGTGCTCACTGCTGTAAGCACTACAGGCACCTAAAATCTGGTGATTTAATCTCCATCCATTATATCTTAGTTTGTCATGGAGCAATGGTTTATTGCAATCTCTACTTTTACCAGGCAGTGAAACCAAGAGGGATAGCATTCTGTCAGGCGCATTAGCCTATGGCAGGTGCAGTAGGAGCCTCTGCTGAGGGAAGGGCATTCTCACAAAATGTTTACATTCACTTGCTTGCTGTCAGCCTGGGTTCTGAGAAAGGGTGGATGTTTCTGACCTGGAAAATGATTATTTGTACTCACAGTTGGCTACAGGGGCTTGAAACTTTTACAGGCCATTTACAGGTTGACAAAACGAAGCTTCACTTGCATATTTTCCTTATAAACTCATGGCAGATGGTGGTTGCACCTCTCGCAAAGGATGTGAAGAAGTCAGACAGATTTCCACACCCCTTCATTCCCACATCACCATGGGTTTTGCTCCATCTGGCAATGTGGTTTCATTGAATTTGTTCACTCCATAGCAGTTCTTACCTGAATAAAAGCATAAGAGGTGTTCGTCCAATTATCTTAATTTGGTTCAAAAGAACACACACCAGCACTCAAAAGAATCACATTGAGTAAAGTTATTATAAGACAGTGATGTTGAGGCCCGGTGCGGCGGCTCATGCCTGTAATCCCAGCACTTTGGGAGGCTGAGGCAGGGGGATCACTTGAGGCCAGAAGTTCAAGACCAGCCTGGCCAATATGGTGAAACCCCGTCTTTACTAAAAATACAAAAAGTAGCCAGGCATGGTGGCGCACATCTGTAATCCCAGCTACTTGGAAGGCTGAGGCATGAGAATCGCTTGAACCCAGGAGGCAGAGGTTGCAGTGAGCTGAGATCGCGCCATTGCACTCCAGCCTGGGTGACAGATTGAGACTCTGTCCCAAAAAAAAAAAAGAAAAAAGAAAAAACAGTGATGCTAAAGCCACCATTACAGGCTTACTCAACATAGGCAGTATTCCCCATTTTGAAATTTTGGGGTCTCTGGACAGGCAGTATGCAACCTGAGATCCTCTGGGTGTATCTTCTTCTCTGACTTTCACAGATATTAGAATTTCACAGAATCCCTGTTTCTTTGGGCTCCTCGGTGCTACTTTGTATTAGTATCAAGTAACAAAATATTCAACTAGGAGACTGTAAACAAGAGGAGATATCTCATATATCAAGAAGCTGAAAGCCGGGGTCTTAGGGTTGGCTCAGGAGTTCTCCTATGTTTCTAGGACTCCAGGCTCTTTCTTTCTTCTCTGCACCCTCCGGCATGTCGTCTGGCTTAACCTTATCTTCTCATGGCCACAATATGGCAGCCAGAACTCCAAGTATCACATCCTCACCCATTCACATCCGAAGGCAATAAGATGGCAAGTTTTTTGTCTTCATCCTCTCTCACGCCCCTTTTTGTAAGCAGGAAAAGCTGTACAGAAGGTCTCATTGATATCTTTGCAGGTCCCATTGACCCATATTGGGTCCCATGTCATCTATGAAGAGCCTGGGAAAGTGGCTGTGTGTCCAGCATCGATTATTACAGGATGCTGGCTGCATCAACCAGAAGGAAGGAGAAAGAGAGCTATGAGCAGGCACTCCAGAGCATTGTTGCCCAGGAAAATCCTTTTAATCCAGGTTTCCCCAGTGAGAGGTCACTGATTAAGCTTCATCAGTCATCATTTTCTGTGTGAATGAATTCCCATCCCTCTTTCCTTCTGGCGGGATCATCAAGTCTGATGAGGCTGGGGAAGAGGTTTGCGGCCAGTGGAGCAATGAGGCTGTGTGGGGAAGGTCCCCAGAGAGGTAATTCGGCTGTCTGTCAAAAGGACAAGGATACTCAGAGCTGCAGCCTGGAGGCCTGAGGCCTGAATCCAATGCACTGACCTGCCGTGTTCAAACTGTACAGAAACAACGAAAACATTATTTGATTTAACAAAATTAGGAGCTCCTCAGAACCAAGAGGAATGGGGGACGCTAAACGTGGACTGGCCGCTACTGCTAGCCAAGCTGGCCAGTGAGGACATGGTGGACACAAGGCTGTCACCTGTGTGACGTGAGCTCAGCAGCTCATGTACATTTCGCTTCATGCCCACCTCGCCAGCCTGCACTTCCCACACTCCAGCCCCTGTGTACCCGTAACACAAGATCACTCTGAGTACCCAGCACTCCCTTGCGTAGGTTTGGCCATGTCTGACAGCGCATGCTGTTAATCTGTGTACCCATGCATGCACAAAAACACAAACACACACAAACACATCTTTAAAGTGACATAGGTTTTCTTGAAATAATTTCAAAAGACACATTTTTTATTATTTTAAATAGAAGGTCACCATCACTTGCCACAAACAGAAGACATGCAAAACCATATTAAAACAAAATGTTTAAGAATTCCAGCCAGATTTAGTTTCTTGTCAAAGCTCTCTGCCAGAGGCCTGTGTCCTTTTGCTATGGAAGAAGACTGGGACCAGGAGCAGTGGCTCACTCCTGTAACCGCAGCACTTTGGGAGGCTGAGGCCTATGGATCACCCGAGGTCAGGAATTTGACACCAGCCTGGTCAAGATGGCAAAACCCCACCTCTATGAAAAATACAAAAATTAGCCGGGCCTGGTGGAGGGCATCTGTAATCTCAGCTACTAGGGAGGCTGAGGCAGGAGTGTTACTTGAGCCCGGGAGGCGGAGGTTGCAGTGAGCCGAGATCATGCCACTGCACTCCAGCCTGGGTGATAGAGCAAGACTCTGTTTCAAAAGAAAGAAAGAAAAGGAAGGAAAGAAGGAAGGAAGGAAGGAAGGAAGGAAGGAAGGAAGGAAGGGAGGGAGGGAGGGAGGGAGGGAGGGAGGGAGGGAGGGAGGGAGGGAGGGGAGAGAAAGACAGAAAGAAAGAGAAAGAAAGAGAGAGAAGATCGGCAAGGGTTAAAGGTAAAAGGTACACTTCCATGAGAATGACTCAAAGATAATTAATGTGAAATTATTCTGTGATTAAAATAATTCTGTGACTGTCTAAGTATCTAAATCATCTCCTGTCCCAAAGATGACCATCACCCATTCCACCAGGGGTCTGTTCCCCGCCTTCTATGACACAGGGCCCCTGGAGAATAGAAACCCACTTTTATGAATGGGCAGATGCATGGGTAATGCAGCTCCAGGAGTTTCTGTCTGCCGTGATGGGAACATTTTCTGACAAGATGCAAATGAAGCTGCCTCAAGTGCTCCAGAATTATTATTCATCCACAAATAACCTCATCTTAAGCCATTACTTTCTAAAATTTTTTTACTCGTTCTTTTGAAAATGGTAAGCATACAGTCTTGTCTTTGGAGCAAAGTTTGGATCCAAAACTTTACTGCACGTATTTGAATCTAATTGTTCAGTTTCTCAGGTTTTAAAAAAATTCATCCTGAAAAA
The DNA here is from genome assembly GCF_000001405.40 of Homo sapiens. Taxonomy (NCBI): domain Eukaryota; kingdom Metazoa; phylum Chordata; class Mammalia; order Primates; family Hominidae; genus Homo; species Homo sapiens. Next base: position 127,286,133 of record NC_000012.12, on the reverse strand, counting down.
TCTTTCTTAATTCAAGTGTTTTTCTCCAAAGAGTAACATATGTTATGAGGAGGTGAGCTGTGGCTATAGCATTCTGCTTGTGTTTTATACCAAACTGTTACGGGATCTAAGTTTCATCTCTGGGATGGCGATAATATTCAGAATGTCACATTTTGGTGTTTTTTTTTTTCAGATGCAGTGGTTTGAGACATAGTAACTGAAGATATGGACACTAAATCCCTCCATATTTCTATACAGTGAAAAATCAATAATGGTAATTGGAATCTCTGTCTCCCTCAGCCCTGATTTATCCTTCCTCTTTGTGGTTTATACTTTCCATGTATGAACCATAAAACTGTAATGGAGAAACATTTTTGCCTATGAGGAGCAAAGAGAGCTGCTTTGCTGAATGACTGTGAGTAAATGAGGATTCTTTGAAGAAGTGCAGGGCTTCTGTTCCTCCGTGTTGTGGGCAGCACACGCCTGCCCTATTCGTCTTCGTCATGGCTGCACCTGTGCTACAGAATGCTCATAGACTAGTGCTGCCCATGCAGGGAGCCCAGAGGCTGCACTTTCTCAGTTTACCTCATGGCTTCAGAGTGACATGAGGCATTGAAATAAGTGAGCATTGAATCTGAGGGCTCAGGAGCCACCTTCTACCTTTGCTCCTTTGGTGACATGCTAGATGCCCTCTGGTAAGTCAGTTAAATTCTTTGGGCCTCCTCTGAAAATTGGATCCAATGAGGCCAACACTTCCTGTTTCACAGGGTTACATGGGGCTCACATGCAATTCAAGAACAAACTTTGTAATACGAGGCAAAAGATACACAAACAAGCATGTACATTACTCAGACAAAGGCTTGGTCCTATGAGACAATGGGGCATGTTCTCATAAGATTCCTGTGAACTTTGTAGGCTCTTGGGGCTACAGGAAAACAATTTTAATTGAAGAGAGAAAGAAGAATGAGACCAGGATGTGGCCATGGGTGATCTCAGCTACAGAGCATCCTGCCCAAGAAGCCTTGGCACAGTCCACGTGATGTCATGCCCCAGAGTTAAAGAAACTAGTAACTCACTGCAATTCTTGAGTTTATAAGATGACAGACAAAAAAGAAACAACGTGTGGAGATGTTGAAACTCCCTCTGCTTATGAGATAAAAAGAACTGGCTGAAATTGGTTGGAACCAATGTGGCCAAATAAAGTCTGCACAGAACAAGCTTGCTGATGTCACAGCCTGAATTTCAACACAAGTTTCATACTAACTACCCCCAAATTTGCACATGAGACCCATGAGGAGGTATGAAGAGATAACTGTGTGAGGCTGAGGACTTTCCAGACCTCCCTTTTCCTTCTACCAATTACCTACTAACCCCAGAATCCACCCCTAAACCTTTTCTAATAAAATTACTGCCTTAAAGCCAGCACAGGAAGACAGATTTGAGCTGTACTTCTGTCTCCTTGTTGGTTGATGTACAATAAAAAGCTTTTATATTTTCTCAAAAAAAACAGTGTCTTGGTATTGGCCTCTAGTGCACTGGGCAGTGATCCCCTTTGGCCGATAACACATACACAGGGTAGGCAGCAGCCATGGCTTAACTTTGGGTGCCGTTTTCTTGTTAGGCCACTTGAGCCTTGGGTGGCTAAATCCTAAAGCGTGGTTGCTTCCAGCTTCAGAGTCTCATCCATTTTCCTGAGTGCCATTAAAATATTTTCATTTCTGCATGTGCCTTGGCCATGGAAGGGATAGGTCTCTCCTCTCCCAGTCTCCCTGACGGTTGCCAGGCACCTGTTTGTGTTTGAAATAGAAAAACACACAGGATTCCACACCAAGTGTTCTGCCTGAGCAGGGCACTGGCAACCGGGGTGGAGCTGCAAGAGCCTTTGGCCCCATGGAGGGACTGCTGGCTGCCGGCTTCTTCACTTCAGCTCCTTCTGGAGATGACCAAGTCTGTGGTGGTGCCTGAAGATTTAAGCAAGGCCCAGGTCATGCTGGGTTTCATGGGGAGATGATGGTATTGCGTTGTTTGTTTTCATAATAAGCAAGCAGGATGTGAAGAGGGGAAATGAAGTCATCAAAAGGTTTTTGTTCTTCCCAAATTGAAGAATAACAAAATCCGTGAAAATTACGAATTGATTTAAAAAGTCTAAAAAAACCTGAAGTCACCCCAGGTCTTCAAAACCTTAGAAACACTGAATTTGGCAGCAAACTATAAGAATTTGTTGGCTTATTTCTTTTCTTTCTCTTTCTCTTTCCTTCCTTCCTTCCTTCTTTCCTTCCTTCCTTCCTTCTTTCCTTCCTTCCTTCCTTCTTTTCTTCCTTTCTTCCTTCGTTTCTTCCCTCCTTGCTTTTTCTTTTCTTTTATTTTCTTCCTAAAGATAGAGCTACTCAAAAAATAACTAGAAAGAGAGAAACCCACTGATTGGATTCAAGGTGTGTTTATGGGTCAATGTGTGTTTAAGGCTGATATTCAAAAAGCAACATAGTCACTAGAAAATAGCAAAAGTTCTATCCTACAGGTTCATCAGGACAAAGACAAAAATTCCTTAAAATTATCTCAAAAGAGTGAAGAATATCAGAAAATGTTAACAGACTGGATAAAAATGTAGATATTCAGGAAAGTCTAAAACCATTCATAATAAGCTCAAAAATTAAAAGAAGAAATAAACAATCTCAATGAACCTAGTAAAGCCACATCCACAAGCATAGGCCAAGTCACACATGACAGAGAATGACAGATCTGATCCCTGTCTACAGCCAGGGAAGTCTGACACCCTCGCCTGGCCCCCTTCTTGATAGTAACACTGTGGGGGGCAGAGAGGGGTGACTTGGACTAGGATACGTAAAGTGAATCCGGAAAAGAGACAACCTGGATGATCAAGCAGGAACTGATTTAAAGGAATTGATGTCTGCTGCTAAGGTAGGTTATTTTTAAACCTCAGAAGAGGAAATTTAGGAAATGCATTACAGTTTTCTGAGCAAAATAAATGGACTACTTAGAGTTTGAACTAATAGTCTCTAAACCGAGAAAGCCCTTCACGGTTAGAAAATGCGCAGTCTGACAATGAGATCCAAGTGCTTCAACTGTCATGCATTTCAGCTGCCTGCACTTTTTCAAGGACATGCATTACAATTCCACAGAAAGTTCTCTGAGGAGCTAGAGATGGAGAAATAGCTTTCTATGGTATGTGAATATGTCACAAGAGAGGCAAGTGAATATTTGCCCTTTTCACATCCTCATCCTAGTCACTTCTTATCCACCACCGCCTCTGGCCCCACTGTCCTCTGCACCTGGTGTTATGAAGCACAGTGGGGAGCAGGTGAGGGATGGTACACTGTAGCCTCAGGTCCTATGGATGTGGGCTTGGATCCTGGCTGCTTACTATCCTCCCTGGCTGTGTGTCTCCAGATGAGTGATTTAACCTCTCGGCGCCCCAGTTTCTGCATCTGTAAAATAGAACAAATCAAAGCACCTCACTCATAAATACTATTGAGAAGCCTCAGTGAGATATTTCCCCTCAAGCACTGGCACAGCAAGGGAGTGTGGTGGACGTTTCATGAATGATGTTCCTCACTTTAATTTGAAGACTTAACATCCTCATTTCGCAGTTGAGGAAAGACAGGCTGAGAGGTTTGGCTGTTAGATCAACATCACACAGCTCAAGAGTGGTCGAGTTAGGATGTGGACTAAGTCACAGGTTACCAAGTGCCCTTCCAGGAGGTACTGTGGCCTTGCTCAGCCTAGAAGGGGTCCCAGGGAAGGAAGGAGGCATATTCCTGCTAACTATAGCCTGGAAACAAACAATACGGTGCAGTCTCCCCCACAAAACTTAAGTGTCAGAGCACAACCCCTGGTGACCAGAAAAGGCCTCGACTCAAGGTCCAGCTGACAGATGCCTCTGGTCACCTCTAACCCCACAGTGTTCAGTCTGAAATTCCAGCTGAAGGTACAAGTTTGAAGGTCATCATATCGCCCCACTACCTGTCAAGTTAAGCTGAACCCTGGGGCAGGAATGAGGACTGACTTTCCCAAGGTCATGCATGTGGTAATGGCTGAGCCTAGAGTCAAACCTGGACTTCGTGAATTCATATCCTCCTTTGGGGGTGATTTTGGGTTGGCAAGTCATGTGTGTGTGGGGGTCTCCTTCCTTCAGATCCATGCATCAGTGTGAATGACACTCTTCTAATAGATGACAAAGAACCAGACACCTGCCTTTTCACAGCTGGATGTGCCTCAGAACATGGCACACCCAAGACTCAGAGAGGCAAGCACCTTGCTTAAGGCCACACAGTGAGACAAGGACAGAGTCAGAATCTGAGCCTAGGCCTCCTGCCTTCCAGCCCAGGGCTCTTGGGGCCCCACAGCCTTCTGAGAATATCCTATGAGAAAGTTGGCTTTTCTTTTTCTTTCATGTAGGAAACAGAAAAACAGCCAGGAATCTTGAATGTTTATCTAAATATTCTGTTCACAAAAAAACATTTTAACCACATGGACTTGAATGGGCTTAAATTCAGTGGCACGGGGTGTAAATTCCACATAAATAAAAGCACTTTGGATTATTGAATAACTTTCAAGAATGTAAAGGGGCTGTGAGACCAAAAAGTTTGGGAACTGCTCTTCTAAGTAGAAAAAGCTTTTCTTTTCAGCTAAGCATCTAGAATGGCCAAACAGCCTGATGTATCAACACAATAATATAGTAAAAGTAGTAATAGTAATCATATAGTCATAGTCATAAAAATATAGTAATATTAATAATAATGAGTAGGCAGCTAAAAGTTGAGGATTTATCATGTAGCAGATACCTTGCTCTGTGTGCTACCTGCAGGTGCAGAATCTCATTTAATCCTCACTCCAACCCTGTGACTTAGGCGCGCTCATTATCCCCATTTTAGGGGTGGAGGGAACTGAGGTTCAGACCGTGAATTCCCTTGTCCACAATTGCACAGTGAAGGGCAGAGCTGAGATTCAAATTCAGGGATTCCTGACTCTAAGACATCCTGAGAAATGATTCTGCAACTATTACTGGACCCTTTGCAACACTGTCTCCCAAACTCCCTTAAACAAGCAAAAGCGCCCTCAGGATTTGTAAGAGGTGAAATGTCTTCCACCTGTGCACAGGGCAATCCTCCCTCCAGCCCTGCCCAGTGCCCAGGGGTTGGCAGAGTGGCTCCACCTACACCTGCACGGGTGGCCCCGCGCCTCTCACGCAAGTTCGGCTCCCGCTCCCTCCGGTCCCTGTGCAGAGCGCCCCCTGTCGGCCCCTCGTGGAGCCTGGGCCAGCGCAGCGAGTCTTTCCGCAGACACGCCCTCTAGCGCCGGCGGCTGGGAACGCACCGCGGTGCCGCCGGGTCCCGCAGGGGCGTGGCGCGCACCTGGGGATGCACCTGCACCAGGCCGCCTGCCCCCCTGCCGCGCGCGCCCCGTCCTTCCCTTTTTCACTTCTTTCCCTGTTTCTGTTTCCTCTCTCCATCCCCATATCCAATTAAATCAGTGGAAGCTCTCCCGAGGAAGAAGCGCGCAAGCACGTAGAACTCAGCAGGGCGTGGCAGGACCTCACTGGCCCCTCTGCTCTTCGTTCCTAGGCACCCCTCCCGGCAGTGGAGTGTCCTGGCAGAGCTTCCTGGTGGTAACGAGAGGACCAGCCATCAGAAATAGTGTTTTCGTTAGGTTATTGTTCTGTATTTCTATTCAGGGTCCCCTTCAAATAAGTAAAGAATTGCCAAAATCAGATGTCAAAATATGTGGTATGTATTAGCTGCTCACAATGAACAAATGAATGCTTTTAAACTGCAAACGTTCCGATGTTGAGATGAGTTGAGAATACTAATTTCAACGGGAGATTCGATCCTGTGATGGTCACATGTAGAGTGGCCGGGAAGGTGTTTTTGAGCAGCCTTTTCTGCATGACCCTTGTTTTGTTTTGAAACAGGGTCTCAGTTTGTCACCCAGGCTGGGGTGCAGTGATGGGATATCTGCCCAGTGTAGCCTCAACCTCCCGGGCTCAAGAGATCCTCCCACCTCACCCTCCCAAGTAGCTGGGACCACAGGCCTGAACCATCACACCCGGCTAGTTTTTGTAATTTTTTTTTTTTTTTGTAGAGATGGGATCTCGCTATGTTGCCCAGGCTGGTCTCGAACTCTTGGGCTTAGGTCATCCACTGCCTGCCTCAGCCTCCCAAAGTGCTGGGATTACAGATGTGAGCCACCATGCCGGGCCCCTGCATGACTGTTAGTGGACTTGTAGGCTCCCTCGGAGACAACATCAAAAGTGTAAATGTGGTGCAGGACCAGAAGCACCCCCTTCTGGGGTCTTTTGTGAATTTGAGGTCTGAGCTGGAACTCTACTTGCTGTCTCCAGCCAGTTTAATCACGGATGAAAATGTTGGGGTCTTGCCTCCCCTTGCTAGTGGGAACTCAGGGAGTGGTTATAAGAAGCTTCCCAAAAATGATGACAGTGACACAGCTGACTTTGCTTCAGGCTGGGTGCTCTGCCTAATGCCTCATCTGCGTGAATCCCTGTACCTTTCACAACGGTCTCTAGCAAGAGTTGCTCTTATTGATGAGGAAGCCAAAGGGCTGGGTGACGTAGACATATGCACAGAATCCTATTGCAGATGCTGTGGTGTGGGAGGACTCGGACCCACCTTTCTTACCCGGGAATAACCCTGCGACTCTGTAGGAGGATTGGAAGAACACAGCAGCTCACTGAGCTGCACTGTAATGTCTGAGCAGCTGGAATTCAGCCAGGGGGGGTGAATCCCCGTCCTAGAGCCGAGTGGAACCTGAAGCCTCTTACAATGGCCTGAAAAATGCCTCTCTTCTCCCAGAACAATTTCCTAAGATGTCAGCTTCTTGGGAGTAAAAAACAAAAACTGAGGCACAAAGCATGAGAAAGACTTATTCTACAGTAAGAAGATAATTGGCACCAACAGTAGCCACTAAGCTCATTTCTCCAAGTCTCCTGCTCTGGAAGTTTTATTGGTGAAGCCATCAGTCTTGTTACCACTCATAACACAGTACTGATGATCAGGCACTGTGTGTGTGTGTGTGTGTGTGCGCGCGCGCGCGTGTGTGTGTATTATTGTTCTAACATAATCACCTCTGGAAACATCTGTTGTTAAACACAGCACTGAATGCATACCTTGCTTGATTGGTTTCTGTTAATCGCATCCATAAATTATGCATTAAAGTGGATGCAGGAGCAGAGAGAATGAGGTGGGAGTTGGGGAATGGTGAGCCAGCCATCTCCCAAGTGAGTTGCTGAAACCTAGCCCATTCCCTTATGGGCTGATTCCTTTTTCCTTTCGTTTATGTTTTCCTCTTACTTCTCTGACTGATAAAAATCACAGAGAACAAACGAGCCACTAAGAATCCAGGGAAGACCAGATGCCAGGAAAATAGTTCCTTAATGTTCACTGTGATCTGTCCAGATCTGTCTAAACAGTGTGTCCTTAGCCCAGTGCTGAGGGTGCTGCTGGTCCTGAGACCTAAGCCATACTCCACTCTGAGCTCTGGGAGGCAAGCATCACAGAGGAACCTCAGTCTACTGGCATGACCCTGCTGGGTGGGAGCAGTCAGACCTGTGGAATCAGTCACATAGATTTCCATCTCAGCAGTCAGGGCCAAGGACCAAGGATGGGGCTCCCCGCATGGACGGCGCCAACCTCTCTGGGTCCTGCCTGCAGGAGATCCAGCCCCAATTTAGGACTTTCCCCCTGAAGCCAGTGCCCTACCTCCCCACTAATATCCCAGGCTCAAAAAAGAACCTCTGTACTTGCCCCTTCACATCCTCACCCCTCTCATTCCTCCTCTACCACATTCTCTGGCCCCATCAGTCTCTAAGGCCAGCTGGTGTTAACAGGCAGCCAAGGACTACCGGGTCCCCAAGTCCAATATGCATCTCACCTGGTTCCTCAGCAGCATCCCTGCCGGCCACCGCTCCTCCCCTGGAAGCCTGACTTCCTGTGGCTTTGGGACCCTACTGCCCTGGTTTCCTTTTGAGGTCCAGGTCACGTATCTGTGGTCTCAACTCTCATCCTCCCCACAGGACACAGATCACTGGGTTCCCTGGGGCTTCCCCAGGTCTCCCTTCTGCTCACAAACCCTCCTCCTGCCACGTCATCAAGGGCACTGGTGTTGGAGCTGGGCTGCTGAGTTCTGGCCCACCACCACCGCCCCACTCTCCACCAGGAGCCATGCAGGGCAACTTAGAGCTCAATCTAGTCATGTATCTCCCCGCATCCTCCCTGCAGCCACCTCACCCATCTCCAAGAGTTTAAGGTAAAATATTTTCATGATCTGTCTCTATTATCTCCTTCTTGCTCCCTGACTTTTCTTTCCAGCCAGACTGAAGTTTTCTCAGTCCCTCCCACAAGTGACTTTTTCCTATTTCTTCTGGGTCTTCTCACAGACGTCCCTTTAACAAGAAGGCATGCTCCCCACACCCCCACTCCTAAGGCCTTTTCATTAATCATGTCTCCTCTTAGACAAATCCATCTGTCTTGGAAACCCTTCCTGCTATCCATGCTTGAGTCATGTGATGTGTGTGTGTGTGTGTGTGTGTGTGTGTCAACACACACACATAGTTGACCCTTGACCAAAGTGAAGGTTAGGGGACTGACCCCTACCCAGTCCAAAATTCTTATAAAACTTTGGGCTCCCCCTAGACTTAACTACTGATAGCCTACTATTCACCAGAAGCCTTAAGGATAACATCAAAAGTCTGTTAACACATACTTTGTATGCTATATGTATGATATATGTATATATACATTTTTTGAGACAGGGTCTTGCTCTGTTGCCCAGGCTGGAGTGCAGTGGCACGATCTTAGCTCACTGCAACCTCCATCTCCTGGGTTCACACAATTCTTCCACCTCAGTCTCCTGAGTAGCTGAGATTACAAGCATGCACCATCCCCGCTGGCTAATATTTGTATGTTTAGTAGAGGGTTTCACCATGTTGGCTCAGCTGCTTTTGAACTCCTGGCCTCAAGTGATCTGCCTGCCTCAGCCTCCCAAACTGCTGGGATTACAGGCATGAGCTACTGTGCCTGGCTTTGATAAATTGTATTCTTAAAGTAATCTAGAGAAAAGAAAGAGTTATTAAGAAAATCGTAAGAAGGAGAAAATATGTTTCCTTTTCTTTTCTTTTCTTTTTTTTTATATGAAGTCTCACTCTTGTCACCCAGACTGGAGTGCAGTGGCGCGATCTCAGCTCACTACAGCCTCCTACTCCCTGGTTGAGTGATTCTCCTGCCTCAGCCTCCCGAGTAGCTGGGACTACAGGCATGCACCACCACGCCCAGCTAATTTTTGTATTTTTAGTAGAGACGGGGTTTCACCTTGTTGGCTAGGATGGTCTTGATCTCCTGACCTCGTGATCCGCCCACCTCCCAAAGTGCTGGGATTACAGGTGTGAGCCTTCGCACCCAGCTGAAAATATGTTTTCTATACAGTAAGTGGAAGTGGATCATCAGAAAGGTCTTCATCTTTATCGACTTCATATTGAGTAGACTGAGGGGGAGGAGGAAGAGGAGGAGTTGGTCTTACTGTTCAGGGGTTGCAGAGACAGAATAAAATCCACGGTCTGAGAGAACCCATGAGTTCAGACCCATGTAGTTCAATGGTCAGTTGTGTGTGTGTGTGTGTGTGTGTGTGTATATAATATGTAATATATACGTGTGTGTGTGTATTTCAGATATATATAGGCCTGTGAATATATATATGGTTATATATATGAGTATATACATATATGAGTATATATATATTCATGTGTACTTATGTGATACATATGTCCTATAACAATAACAATGGATGTGATATTCGATATAAAGCATCAATAGCTCTTATCTGTGGAGAGCCTTTGCAGGGATGCTGTATGTTCACAAACCCATTTCTTTCTTCTGTGCACACAGGTGGACTTCATTTCCCAGCCTCCTTTGTGGCTAGGTGTTGTCATGTGACTGCGTTCTAGCCAGTGGACAATGGTGTGAGTGATGCCTGCTATTTCTAGGCTTGGGTCCTAAAACTTTCCATGGGGCCACCCCCCACCCCATGCTTTACTGCCTCCTTGCCCTCTTCTCTTATCTATGGCTGGTGGGTGGAAGGAGCTTTCTTACCTCCCCAGAACCAGGAAGAAAGCAGCACCTCCCAAAACCCTCAGACTAGGAATAGTAACAGTGGACTAATGGGTGAATGAGACACAAACAAACCAAAACAAGTTTTATCGTATCGAGCCATTGTCATCTTGACGTTGTGAATACTAAGGTTTAGATTCCCTGACTAATACAATAGATTATCTTTGCTGCTATTTTAAGCACATTTCAAATAATTGATTCACTTAAATTTCACACCCCTCCTATGAGGTAGAAAATATGGTGCCTCTCATTTTATGGTGGAGAAACTGAGTCATGGAGAAGTGAAGACACCTGCCTGAGGTTCTGATGCCCGTCAATAGTGGGGCAGAGTACATGATTCAGAGCTAATGGTGCTTCCCTGTCTTGCTACACACTTTGCTCTTGCCATCGTATTGTTTTTTGCTCATTTTAATGACTTCCTATTTACTTCTGCATCTTATGCAGAGTATGAAGCCCTGAGGGCTGAGACCACATCTGCCTGGTTTTCTGTGGCAGCTGCAGCATCAACACTGGCTCTTCGAAGAGTAGCAGCTGATGAACATTACTCCGGCAAACAATTTTCTCTGCTAGGTGAGTGGTTCCAGAAGAATATCAGGGAATCTGCCTCTCCTTCTCTGAAAACTGCACAGAACAATGAGCGAAAATAAGGCTCTGTTTTGAAGGAAACTTTGTCATTTATCCATATCTGCGCATTGATACAGAAATCGGATTTTTTTCACCCTGAATTACTTTTCTAATTGTGCATTTCTTTACCTATGGTTAAGCATGCCATTTACAACTAGGGTTTTTTCCTTGGATTGGTATGCAAATCCACTTGATCTACATTGTAAGTTGGTTTTAAATTAATTTTTTTCATTGATATCTGGAATATTCAACTAAAAGATTCTAGTCTTGTTATTTCATACCCGTCTACTCCATTTGCCCAGAAGCAAGTGTGACAAAGAAGTAGAGTTTAATCATCTTATTAAATGATTGCTAGCCGGCTCCTTTACTTAACAGCTACTCTGGTCTTCTTAACAAGTTACTAATTTCATAGTAGGAATAGAGTTTTCAAATATATAACTAACGATTTGTCTACATTTAATTCTGTTTGACTTTTTCCAAAAGTATGAAGTTATATTTGTAAGAGCTTTGAGAGGACTTGGGCAATAATTTGATGTCTCCAAAAGATTCGGATGCTGTATTGCAATTAGATTATTTCCCTAGATTTGACATCCTCATTTAGGCTTCACGGTCATGTGCAACTTTCTAGTTAAAGTCACTTCCCTGTAACGTTCAGAATGATCAATATGAAGCCATCCCTTTATAAGAATCGTGCCCCACTGGACTGACTTATGCAGTTCCAAAGGAGGGGTTTTGGCTTGCTGCATAGGATTTTTCTGGAAATACTTCCAGGAAAAAAAAAGCATTTTGCCCACAGAAGTCACCCCCAAGATTATCTGTTAGAATCAGCTGTTTTATTCTGAAAATATTTATTGAATTTTATCTGTGTGCCAGGAACTGGATAAATGCAAAGGAAGGAGGGGAGAGTGTGTCAGACGGGGACCCTGCCCTACTGGAGCACACGCATCACCACCTGGGTTAGGACGGCCTCACCCGTCCCCTGGACCTTCACCTTATGTCCCAGAGAGGAGACATCTGCTAGAGCAAAGAAAATTCATTGTCATATAAAACAAACAAGAAAACACACACACACATGTGCACACACACATACAGAAAGCAAATAAAACATTGTTAGATGATGTAAATTGTCATATCAGTGTGTGCAGTGGTACCTATAAAACTGTTATGTGGCTGGGCGTGGTGGTTCATACCTGTAATTCCAGCACTATGGGAGGCCGAGGTGGGGAGATCACAAGGTCAAGTGATCAAGACCATCCTGGCCAACATGGTGAAACCCCGTCTCTACTAAAAATACAAAAATATTTAGTAGTAGGGTGTGGTGGCGTGCGCCTATAATTCCAGCTACTTGGAGACTGAGGCAGGAGAATCTCTTGAACCTGGGAGACGAAGGTTGCAGTTTGAGCTGAGATCATGCCACTGCACTCCAGCATGGTGACTCTGTCTCAAAAAAAAAAAATGTTATGTACACAGGCACAAAAACTCAGTAATTCCATTCTGATGAATCCATCCTAAACTACTAAAGCAGAACAGCACAAAGATGCATGCATGAGAGACAGTTAGGAGGGAGGGCTCAGGAGCCAGAAACACCTTAGTCTAAATCCTTGTTTGAGCAGAGGTTACCTGACTCACCATGTAAAAACCCTATGTCTGAGTCCCTGTAATCTCGCCAATAAAATGGGGAAAGTCATATTGCCAACTCCTAGGGTTTTGCACAGGTTAAGTACATTTTATGAGTGTGGTGAGCCGGAGCACCTCCTTATTAAGATTAACCCCACGTAGAGGGGAACATGTTTCCCCCACATATCTACAGCATCTGGTACAAATTTGTGGATGCCTTCAGATCACTGGGGCAATCATGTGCTTTCTGGACAGTGGCTCCTAAAAGCCAATATGGTCATTGCCCTGAGCTGTCACTGCACATGCAGACCAACCAGCCACATCGCCAGGGGCTTGCTGACATTACTGAACTTGGATACAACTCCACACCACCTGGAGAGTCTGGAGTATAATCAGGCATCCTCAGAAGCATAAAAAGAAGTGGGTTGTTGCAACCAGAAACTGTGCAGGGGTGACACCTTATGTGTAAACTCAACCAATGGGGAATAGCCAATAGAAAAAAGCCACCTTATTTTCCCCCATGACTTACTCCTTGTGACAGGATTTCCCCTTGAAGCCAGTCTGCAGAAGGCATTGGCGCCAAGTACCCTGGCCAGTGGCCCACTGTGTGTCACCACTAGTCATCATAAAACAGTAGATATCACAGGCCCTCATTCCTCAATGTGGCCTCACCTCTTCAACTTCCTATGTTCTCATCCCCATTGCTGTGGGCGTACAGCTCACCCAGGAGGCATTAGACTTACAAATCCTGGACTTCAGCTTGGTTGTGGCATGCATGACTTAATAGGAATGAGGAGAGAGAGAAGTGGATTGATCATGGGTTGAAGTAGTCAGAAAAGGCCTCATGCAGAAGTCAAGGACTAAGCAGGACTATGACAGACAGTCATAGGACAGGAAAGGCTCTAATCTTGGCAGAAGAAGAGCATGAGCATGGCACTGAGTCTTGAGTGAGCATGGTCAGATAACAGTACAAGCCACAAACCAATGACTATTGCAGGGAAGCAACAAGAAACAAAGCTGGGAGCTTTGAGGCAACAGGAGATGTTTTACTCCATGCTTGAGCCCTTCAGACAGCAGGGGTGAGGGTCATTGTGACATTGAGCAGGAGAGTAAAAGTACAAATGTCCTGTTTAGGAATATGAGTAGGCCCACCAAGTCAATGAATGGGATGATGGTGGTGGATTCTAGGGGAGAGATTCACAGCACTTGCTGGAGTCCCAGGAGAGTCCATGGTGGGGACTGGACAGGTGTGATGCTCCCAATTAAGTGGCTCTTCCCTGGTTTCTCTATTCTTCTTCAGAGACGGTTTTTCAGCTCAGCACTATTGACATATGGAGTGGATGATTCTTTGCTGTGGGGCTGCTCTGTGCAATGTAGCATGTTTCATCATGCTGGCTTCAACCCACTAGATGTCCTGCCACCAGCTGGGACAAAGAAAAATACCTCTGAAATTGTCAAATGCCCCCTGGGGGGACAACATTGCACCAGATTAAGAACCACGGCTTGGAGACATTTTTTTCTTCTCAAATCTTTCATTAGAACTTTGCACCTCTTTGCCCTGAGAGCCATAGCACCTTTTTTATTGGTCGTCGAGGACAGCGTGATGCAGGGAAGGAGCCCACACTCTGCATCCTCACATAGGCCTTAAGAATATCTCACTCTCCTCTTCTCCAGGAGGTGAGAAACCTTTGCTGTTCATTTTTCACAAAGAGGCCTCAGCCCAGAGCAGGATTGAGGGCCACGTGCAGAGATGAAGCACTGCGGTAGGCAGTGTTGAGGGAAGCAGGCAACAATGCTCTGTCATTGCCGTTGCGCTCCCTCACGTGCAGAGCTCCTTAGACTGTGACTGAGGAATAGCTGTGGGGCATTGAACCTGCTGTGCCATGACTCTGACCTAGTGATTAATGGAGCCCCACGATCTGCACATTTCACATTAGCAACACGCCTTCCATGGAGGTGCGACTCTTGACGGATGCATCTTGCTTTCTGAGGTGCGGGCTGGTCGCCCTGGAGTTAATGAGGTGGCGATACACAGCCTGACATTGTGATCATGGGACAAGACTCTGTCCTCATGAATGAAATGATTATTCATGTTTTGCTAATTATTAATTCAAATGTTAACTAGCACTAAACAGAAGCCTGTGCCATCTGGGGGGAAAAATTGTCTTTATTGCTGTTAGAGCAGAAATCCTGTTTGGTTTACTAAATATATATATATTTAGTATAATAATGTATATGTAGCACTATGTAGATATATGGTATAGTATATATATGCACACACTGATAGTATATATATATACATACAGCATGTGTATATATACTATTATACCATACTGTATATATAATATAGTATTTATACTATATATGCATGTTTTATTTATATATACATATATATACACACACACAGTATATATGTAGTATAAATACAGTCATTCATATATTTATACACATACTGGCTTCCAGATATTGTGATATTATACATCCCACATCCTGGAAGGGTTTTGATACTACAGAGACTCTTGTGGGTCGAATTGTAAATGGAAAGAGTTGGAAATTCCAGCCACAATCCAAGCTGGACACAACCCTCCTTGGGTGGTTGAAATAAAGAGACATTGAAATGGGCAAGACTTAGAGAGACGCAGGTAGAACTAAAGGAACACCCGAGAGCTGGCGAGACACTCAGAACCCAATAATAGTGGGAGGCCGTCACCACGTCTCGGGCTGCAGGGGCATGATGAGAATAGAGCATCCCTGCAGCCATACAAGGTCAATGGTTAATATCTTTTTCAAGACCTAATTTTAAAGGCCACTTCTCCAACTTTAAAGGAAACCGTAAGTAGCTCTTCCCACTGGCTACATAATCCATTTACATGATCCATTAATCTGATCAGGAGTGCTTCAGTTTACATTTTGCTAAAAAGGCTACGCAAAATGTTGTGACTTACAACAATTCTTTAAAGAGTGGCAGATTCAAGTACTTAGGTTGGATGGGTCATTCTTGTACTGGGTGCAGACACGCCACTCAAGCAGATAGTGGAGGGTTGGCAATCTGGGATATCCAAGACCTTCTTTCTCAGGTGTCAAACTTTTAGCGCTGTTGGTAGGGCTACCCCAAGCCTCCTTCATGCAGCCACTCATCTTCTAGTGGGCTGGACCCGCTTCCATGCATGGTGTTTTTGTTCTTAATTCTTGTTCTTGTTCTTGTTCTTTCTTATTCTTGGGGCTGTGTCCTAACAGGATGAAGGTGGAAACGGCAAGGTCTTGAGGCCAAGACTCTGGAAGTTGCACAATATCACCTCTGTTGCAACTCAGAGGACAGTTCAGACTAAAGACTTAGGGAATAGACTCCACCGCTGGATGGAGCAACATCAAAGTCACATGGCAAAGAAGCGTGCATATGGGGATGAGGGATTTGCTACCAGGAAGCTGACTACTGCAAGCAGTGAGCTTGGCCTCTATGGGGCAGGAAGCTGCTCCCAGTTATAAACCACTCTTGAGAATCAAATTCTTTGAGGTTTGTGCTTCCTCCTGGGCATGCCAAGCTACTTTGCTGTCATAGAATACTCCATGGCTATATGCTGTCCTGGGTCTGAATGTGTAAGACACTCCTTGGATTATGCCTGAGTATAAATTATTCCCCATGTATACATTTCAACCTGGTAGCATCAGCATAAAATACTTCCTGACAGGTGCTATTTCTCCAGTATTAGGTGTCCTCTAGAGATAATCTACTTCCTGGTCACATAGGTGTCTTCCCAATGTCCAAGCTACTCATCAGGAGAAAATATATATATATATATATATATATATTTATATATATACACACATATATTTACATATGTACATGTGTATATATGTGTACATAAAACATTGAAAATAGTTTATTTCTGAGCGTGTAAATAATCATATTTCCTAGAAGTTTGCTACTCCTTCAACAGAAGATGCTCCCTGAGCATGGGCTAACTTTGTTGCTGTTTGTGATGTATGTGTGTGTGTGTGTGTGTGTGTGTGTGTGTGTGTGTGGTTTCCTTGAAGGTTTATTTTACCCTTTTAGTTTTAAACTCATGTATAATATAAATACAGAAGAATACACATAAAGTAAGTGTATGACATGCTTAATTTTCAACAAGGAGATACTTTGATTCCATTAGCACCGAAAGAAAGAAAAGAAATCAACGCACCTCTGAAACCCCCTTGTACCCCTTTTCATTCACTAACCCCCTCTGCAAGTAACTACTAATTTGATATATAAAAACATAGGTTAGTTTTGGTTATTTTAGAACTCATACAAATGGAACCACACAGCATATAGCCTTTTGTGTTGGTTTCTGCTACTCAACATGACTTTTGCAAAAGGCATCTGTAATGTTGCATATATTTGCATTTCACTCATTTGCATTGCTGTTTTATTTCACTGTGAGAAAATGCCACCGCTTATCTGTCCATTTTATGCCTAATGAATCTTTGTGTGGTTTTCAGGTTGTGAGACATTCTAGTACACTTCCATTGCCGGACATGTGCATGTATAATTTAGTATGCTATTTCCAGAGTATTAAAAATTCACTGGGAGAGTTCACTTCCAGGCTCATAAGCATAAATACTCCCTAGACACTTGCTACTTCTCGAGCACGATATATCCCTTGGCCTAAGCTATTACTGGGATAATTAAGCCCAATAATAAGCTTTGGATGTGCTGTTTTTGAATATAAGGTATGCCCTTGTTACATGCTCCTTTCAGGATATATGTCTACTCCGAAAGTAAGCTCCTTCCTGAATATGCACCCTAATTCTGGGTCTCTGCTTGAGTGACAGATAATCTATGGGTGTGTGCTGCTTTTTGGGCAAATAGGTTTCTTCCCAGATGTGAGGCACTCCAGGGCAGAGGGTGAGGGAGTCTCTGAATGACCTTGGTGTCAGACACTTTCCCACTGGATACTGTCATTGGTGATATCTGTCAGACCATCTGCTGAATCTCATCCTCTGGAAGCTTAGTGCTCTTGGGATTCACTCTTGGAATTCCTCACCTCCTGAAAAACGTGTTTGTTCTACAAGCATCTTTTTCATGTTATTCAGCACAGCAGAGGCCATCTCAGGAAGATCCACACTTTATGCAGAAGCAGATCTAATCCTTGACTTGTTTTCCCTCAGCCCATGGGGCAGATGCCACTGCAGATGGGCACTCACGGGGATGGGTGATGGGGAGATAAACCGTTCATCAGGCACCTTGACTGTGGGACTACAGTTCAAGATTCCCAGGAGAACCTTAATGAGCCACGGTCACTGGAAATCAATGATGATAATGATGATGATATGCTCTCTGTTAATGAGCATGAGAATTTCCCACCATATGTCAGCAGACAAATTGCATTTAGCAGCTGGTATGTGATCAGCATTTACGGAGGAGGAAATGTGTTCATCTAATATTTGGACTTGCAGTCTGACCATGATAAAAACTCACTTCCTATTACCTAATTCCCATTTACAAACCCATATTTAGCTCATAGAACGGGATTCTGTGGGCACTGCTATTCATGTCGACATTCGATGATAAGCACGATATCAATTCCAGTATTTTTCCTTGACTGGCATGACTGCTAGTATTGCCAGAAAAAGAGTAAAGATAATTTGTTTCGGCTGGTCGCAGAGTCAACTATGACTTGGATTTGCTTTATATTCTTATACTCTGGGCGTCTTTTTGTTGTCGTTGTTGTTTGAGACAAGTTTCTTGCTCTGTTGTTCAGGCTGGAGGATCTTGGCTCACTGAAACCTCTGCCTCCCGGGTTCAAGAGATTCTCATACCTCGGCATCTCCAGCAGCTGGGATTACAGGCAAGCACCACCATGCTCGGCGAATTTTTGTATTTTTTTGATCCACCCGCCTCAGCCTCCCAATGTGCTGGGATTACAGGCATGAGCCACCATGTCTGGTCGACTCTGGACTTCTTAATGGTGACTTATTTTCTTTGTGGCGATGAGAAAACTATAAATTGGGGGCCAGTATCTGACCCTGACCTATGCTGCTAACTTACTGTGTGAGCTCAGGCATGTTGCAATTCTTCTCTGGGCTTGGATGTGCACTTGCTGGTATGTTTGGAACCTAGCACTCTACGAAATTATTCCCATTAGTTCTCTAATCCCAAAGTCGACTCTCAGTTCTCATCTTCCTTTAACATGCATTGCACTTGGTGGAACCCTCCACCTTCCTTGAAACACCTGGCTTCTAGAGAGTCACAGGTTCCTGGCTTTCCATCTGCCCCACTGAGAGCCCTCTCTCATTCATTCGACATGACTGACTGCTCTTGGTGTCCCTGGCTTGTGGACTGGGTCAATGCTCAGTCCTCAGACTTGTCTTCCAGTCCCATATTTGTCCTTTTGGTGGCTTGTAGTATTCCATGACTTTACATGTCACCGGTTCTCTGAAGAGTCCTGAACATACATGCCCAGCTAGATTCTCCATCCTGAACTCACCTCAAACATTACGTCATCACCCATCCTGCAATTATAGCTGCCAATTCCACCACTACCCTCATCTGTTCTGCCAACAGCCTTCTCCGTGTATTCAGGTCTTCAATCTTGAGGTCATGCTTGGTGCTGCTTTCTCTCTCCCACCAGCCCAATCCATCAGGGACATTCATAGGCCCTATGATGAGAATGTATCTGAACATGGACCACTCTTCGCCGTTTCACGACTGCCACCCTGATCCAGGTCCCCTGTCCTCTCTCTGAGTTCATTACATCAGCTTCCCCTCTGGAATCCCTGCTTCTTCTTGTGCCACCTACAGAAGCTGAAATAAGCATTTCAAATTACGATCTAGATGATGCCACTCTCTTCAAAGCCCTCTAATCAGTTCCCACCTCATTCAGAATAAAAAACAAAATCTCTACACCATCTGGCTCTCTCTCTCTCCTGTTTTCTTTCTTTCCTTCCTTCCCTCCATTCATTCACTGCACTCCGGCAGTGCAGCTCCGACTGCTGTTCCTTGAACGTGCCCCACAGCCTCCCTGCCCAGGGCTTCCGCATGAGCTCTTCCCTCTTCCTGGGATGCCCTCCGACCCCCTAAGAAATTGCAGGACTTACATCCTGACCTTGTTCTGGAATTTTTTTTTTCTTTTTAGTGTCTTCTACTTTCTCAGTGAGTCTTGCTATCCTTTCATCCCTTCAAAAAGAATTCCTACTTTGCTTCCCGGATGCTGAGTTGACCATAGCATGCATCACTATCTGATCAGTTACATGCTTAACCCACATATGTGTTTACCATCTGAATGTCAGCTCCATGTGGGCAGAAATGCCTTATCTGTTTTGTTTTCAACTTTATCCTAAAATAGTGCCCGACCCATCGCAGGTACATGAAAATGTGAGAATCACATTAATTGGTGCTAACTGTTTGGTTGGGCTGAGGACCTTTCTGTCTTCCCAGTTATGTAACTGATGTTAAGAAGACATTTAGCTGAGACGACAATAATGGTAGAATATGAAATAAAATAAAGATAATTTCAGCCCAATAGCTGGCTGGATGACTTTGTATCCGTGAGAGAACAACTGGTTTCCCTGAGCTTTTTACCGAAATTCCTGTTGGCTGTCTCTGCTAGATGCCACCTCAACGGTCACAAGTTGTAGGTCAGGGTCATGGCACTCGCAGCTGAATCCTGCAGAGTTTCCATGGAAATGGCATCACATGATATTCCATTTCACACAACTGCATATATGTAAGTATGTATTGTGGCATTATTATATAGATAATAAATAGACATGATATATCTAATATATATTAATATATGACATATATTACATATAAAATATTATGTATCATTGATATAGAAATATAAAATACATCTTTATAAATATATCTTAATATAAAATATATTCTACATATTAATATATATTAACCTCTTCTAGATGTCACCTGAAAGGTCTTAAATTATAGATCAGTGTTATAGCACTCAGAGCTGGATCCTGTAGAGCAGAAGGGTCCTATCTTTTGGCTTCCCAGGGCCACATTAGAAGAATTGTCTTGGGCAACACATAAAATACACTAACACTAACAATAGCTGATGAGCTAAAAAGAAAAATTCCAAAAAATCTCATAATGCCTTAAGAAAGTTTACAGATTTGTGTTGGGGCACATTTAAAGCCATCCTGGGTCTCATGCAGGCCACAGGCTATGGTTTGGACAAGCTTGCTCTAGAATTTCCATGGCAATGGCATCATATGATACCCAATTTCACATAATCATATATATGTGTATATATATATATATATATATATTCTGGTGTCTTTATATATGATATATAATATAGATAACACATGATATATGATATATATCATATATTAATATTACTAGCTATAAATATATATATTAATATATATTAATATATAAATGATATGTAATATATTAATGTATATTATATAGTATTGTATTATTATATATTATATATATAAATATAAAACATCACCACAATACATATATGCACATGTGTTTACCTTCAAGGTTCCTGGCTCCTAACTCCCATAGTCCCTATTAGTCTTTTCTCATGACGTTGGATATGTCAGGCCTCATGAGCAGACCTCAGTAAGTAGACTTTCTCCAGCTTTCTCCTGCCCTCTTTTCACCTGTCCGAAGGCAAAATTCTAATCATCCTCTTCTGTCCCTAGTGAGGTTCATAAAGACCCTCTCCAGAGAGGGCCCCACCTTGTACCCTAAGGGAAGGAATGCTGACCTCACCAGGCTTCCATCAAAACCCAAGAGGACTGGGCTCAGGGAGCTTCCTGATAGCCGAACACGTGGAGGTTCCTGGAGCGTGGCGCCCAAGGAGGGCATGGAAGCTCTCTATCCCTTCCCCCATACCTTGCCCTAGCATCTCTTCATCTTCATCCTTTGCAGTGTCCTTTATAATACGCTGGTAAACATAAGAATTTCTCTTCAGTCTTCTGAGCGGCTCCAGCAAATCAATGAAAACCAAAGAGCGGCTCATAGGGCTCCCAGCTTGAAGCTGGTCTTTCAGAAGCTCTGGAGGCCCAGACTTGTGACTGGTGGGAAGGAGGGGTGGTCTTGTGGGACTGAGTCCTTGACCTGTGGAATCTGACACTATCTCCAGGTAGATAGTGTTGGAATTTAATGAACGCTATCTGGAAGTGTCCCATTTGGAGCCCAACCAAACAATAAGCATTAATTTATTCAATTCTCACATTTGTGCATATCTACTATGGGTTGGGCGCTATTCTAGGATGAAACAGAGACACTGGGGGGTACCTAGCTGTTGTCCGCTGCTTGTTGGTGGGAAAAAATCCAACACATTTGGTTACAGAAGCCTCCTGGGTTGATTGAAGTGTGGTAGCAGAGGAAAAACATGATTTGAGAATTTTCCAAAACATGTATGTATATGTATCCATATATAGAGACAGAGATTGAAAGAGAGTGCAATTAGTCATTTATATTTAGAAAAAAATAAAACGAGGTTGGTTTTGGTGTGTGCAGTTTGTATGTTAAGGCCTTCATTCATTTAACAGACAGTTATTGAGCATCTGTTGCGAGTCAAGCACTGTTTTAGGTACCAGGAATAGAGTAAACAGAGAGGCAAAATTATTGTCTTCAGAAGTTACACCCTAGTGGGGCAAAAAAGATTGAAAGCATATACAGAAAATCATAGCATAATATGATTTCAAAGGCTGATGGCTGCTAAGCATAAAATAAAGCAGGACTGTGAGGTAGAGAGTGAGGGACTGGGGTGGGGGCTTTGATCTAGAAGAGCCAAGGCGGCCCCACTGTGGAGCGTGGAGGGCGAAGAGCATGGCGAGCCAAGGCTCTGAGGGGAAAATGGGCTTGGTGTGTTCCAGAGACAGAAAGAGGCCTGGAGCAGTTGTGAGCTAGGAGAGGGGAAAGGACTCCATTTAAATCAAAAACAGATTTGCCGTTTGTTGGACCAGATATTTTAAGTGTGAATAGGGACGGTGCATGACCTCAGCTGATGAAGGGATAGCTTAGTAATGAGTAGGGAGTAGAAAAATCAGGAGGTCTGCTGGAGTGTTTATCCAGGACAGGGAAAAATAACCAACAGTTAATACATTTAAAAGGAATACTGGGGCCACAGGCGGTCGCTCATGCCTGTAATCTCAGCATTCTGGGAGGCTGACGCGGGAGGATTGCTTGAACTCAGTAGTTTGAGACCAGTCTAGGCAACATGGCGAAAACTGTCTCTATAAAAAATAGCAGGTGTGGTGGCAAACGCCTGTAGTTCCAGCTACGTAGAAGGCTGAGGATTGGGATGATTGCTTGAGACCTGGAGGTTGAGGCCGCAGTGAGCCATGATCACACCACTGATCTCCAGACTGGGCAACACAGCAAGACCCTGTCTCAATCAATCAATCAGTCAATGGAATATTGGGAGACAAAAGTTAAGCTGTGTTTTCATAACAAGCCGATATCAAGAACCATGAGGGGTCTAGAATTTTACACCACTTGTAAGCTAATAAAATAAGCTATTAATAGTGTCATGGATTCCAGCAGAAGACATGAGACTCCAGAGTCAGAGGCAAAGGATTTTGTTATTCACAGTACAAAAGGCAGCTTTGAGCTTCATGAGGTTCTGTCAGTTTCCAATGCCTCCAGGTCCACCTGGGACCACACAAAGGTCAGTTCCCAGGCAAGTGATGCTCATGCAGTGGTTTATGTCCCAGCTGAGGAACATAGACTTGGGAAACGTACTACTTTTACAGTGAGCAGTAAAGAAGTCTGCTTCTTCTGTAGAAGAAGACATTGCCTCATCTCTCAAGGTGGCTCACGGAAAACACAAGCTTGAGAGATGGCCTGAACAAAAAGCATTTGTGCCTTACATTCTCAGAATGCCCAGGAAGAATGCACAGGGGCACTCAGGATGATTGACCCATGGATGATTGACCTTCCCCATAGCTACAAGTTCAACATGTTGGGTGCAGGCAGAATGGAGAGATTGGAGGTGACATTGCACAATGGAAAATGTCACAGTTGTGAAATCATTCTGCATGTTTTCTTCACTGATGCATCCCACCCATGGGGCTTCCCATCCCAGTGAGGTTGCAGCAGTGCTGAGACTGGGTTCTGTCTTCTCTGTAGACTTCATAATCCCAGGAACCACAAACCCAAGGAGGATGCCCTGGGTCCAAGTAGGAGATGATTGACCTTAGCAGGTGCTTATTTTGGACAGTGTGTCACACACCTGAGCTCATTTGCTCTTTCTGTGACTCCCAGCATCAGATAGAATAAGCATCATCTCTTTATAGGTAGGGAAACAGCAGGTAGAACTTAAGCAGTCCCATAAGTTGGGAACAAATCTGGGGCCTGGACTTAGGTCTTAAGACTCCAAGGTCACCTCTCATGTCACTGATTTCAAATTGATGTCCCATTGCTGCCCTTGGCATGTGAAGAATGAGGCCACCATGGCTGTGAAATTAAGAGCAACCAAGAAGTCCAACCTCACTCTTTGTGCCATCCATGAGATGCCATGGCTGGGGAAGGACTGCAGTTGTTTCAAGCGTGCAAATTAAATAAATCCTCAAAGTCAATCCCATGAGTTTGAAACACCGCATTCAGCTGATAAAGCAGATGTGAATGCCATTATCTCACCCCCAGAAAGGGATTTGGAAAAAGAGGCCTTGCAGCAAGGAAAGGGACTTGGGAAATTAAAATATGTCATCAGGTTTTGAAACCATAAAGGAAAATACTGACACTCCACACTAGTACCATTTCTCCCCAGCCATATTTTTAACTGTGGCATGTTCAGTATGACCCAGGTTTTGTGAAGAAGGAGATCCCAATGAGGTCATTATAATAGGCCAGCAGGGAAAGCTTTGGAACTAGTTCTTAATTCACTAAGCTTTTATTTAAATTGGGTGAACATGCTTTTTAATGTCACTGTCAAACTTCCAGATGATGACCAACAAGTTTACTTCCTGTGGAATGCCTGGTGCTACTGGGTCTGTCAGTTGACTCCCCATTATTAGAGGAAAAACACACGCTGAAAATATTGTGGGGTGACTATCAGCTGTTCTCCTGAAAAATAACGCAGCATCTGCAAAGCATCATTTTCCACCTAGTTTGACATTAAGCATTATTGCAAACACTATAGGCATCTACATTCTGGCTCATTTAATTTCTCTGCATCATATCCTCTAAACCTTTTATGCAGAGATTGTTTAATAGAATCTCTAATTGTTATCAGGCAGTGAAATCAAGGCAGGTGCATCTTGCAGGGAATACTGAGGCCATCAAAGGTGCAGGACCAGAACCTGCAGAGGCACAGGGGATCTAACTCAGAAAACATCTGCACACTTTGATTCAGCCTGGGGTTAAGAAAAAATGGAGAGCCCTGAGCTGGAAAAGAATCATGCACATTCGCAGTCTGCTGAGGGGACTTGGGATTTTTTACGTGGTCATTCTTCGGGCTGACAAAAAGTCCCGTAACTTTTGTATCTTCCACGTGAGATTTTCCAATAGATTGTGGGTTTGGGTAATTGCTTCTCTCATAGGAGATAGAAATAAATCAGCATGACTCTCTCTTCTCTATAATCCAAGTCCGTGTCTCTGTGGTTTTAGCTACGTTTGACATTCTTTCTTTATTGAATGTATCTACCCCATAATTCTGGGTCAGATCACTGAACTATGAATAGAGGCTTGGAATGCACCTACTCCCTCTCCTGAGTTGGTGTCATGAGAACATACAGCAACATTTGCAAAAACTTGCGCAGATGAGGTGAAGTGTTTGGAAACTGCACTGGTGAAGGAGGAGTGGTTGTGCTGAGGTTAAAGTCACGCCTAAGCAATGTAGGCAGTGTCTACCTTTCAGATTGAGGGACCCTGAGAAGGGTGCATTCAAGCTCAGACTCCACTCCCGTATCATGATTCTTCCTTCCCAGACAGACAAAGAAGTCTGGGAAAATGGAAACCTCTCTTTTTAGAGTCTGTTGTAGAATGTGGATAAGGTTCCCAACCATCCCAGTTGGCTGCTGTCTGGGGGAGTTTGCAGAACATGAGGCTTCACGTATAAAACCAGCATGTTACTGAGCAAAGCAGGATGAGTCAGTTACCCCAACATCGAGACAGCATCCTCACCATTCCTTTGCATTTGTCATATCCACTTACCCTACATATAATTACATACTATTTTAAACTCATTTAACATTTTTTCTTTAATAGAAGTTGCTTCTTTACTGCTTTACATCACTTCCATAAGTGGAAGCTAAACAGAAATACATACTACAAATTTTTAGAAATGTGGCAGAATTTTTCTGCTGCCCACCTAGATGCCTTCTCATTTCATGCCAATCCTAGATTTGTGTTGAGGCCTCAAGAGATGAAGAGGAATAAGTCAACGGCAGTCCCACATCTTTGCTAGTTTGGGGTCTAGGTGTCAGCACGAAACCCAGTACTGGCCTTCACACCTCAGAGGAATTTAGAAATGGGGCTTTTGGGAAAATAAATTCCCAAAAAGTTATGGCTTTTAAGACAAAAACAAAACAAAACATTTTTGAGATCTGCCCGTCACTCTTTTTGTTTGTAGGCTAAATGTATGAGGATATGAGGCATGAAGGCGGGGAAGCGACCTTGTGATCACACAAGAATATCCAAGGGACTCCCTGATTCACACCCACATCCCTGAGATCTTGGAGCTATGGAGCTAGCCCCAGAGAGAGACCACCTGGAAACCACTAAGGGCTCTGCTCCTGCTCTCTTTGTTGAAAGGATATAGTAGAAAGTTTTTAGGACCAGGTGTGGTGGCTCACACCTGTAATCCCAGCACTTTGGGAGGCCAAAGCAGGTGGGTCGCTTGAGGTCAAGAGTTCAAGACCAGCCTGGCCAACATAGTGAAACCCTGTCTGTACTAAAAATACAAAAAGTAGCTGGGCATGGTGATGCACGCTCATAGTCCCAGCTACTCAGGAGGCTGAGGCAGGAGGATCACTTGAACCCAGGAGGTGGAGGTTGCAGTGAGCCGAGATCATGCCACTGCATTCCAGCCTGGGTGACAGAGTGAGACTCTGTCTCAAAAAAAAGAAATAAATCATAGGCTCCCAAGCCACAACACCAGGAACTGGGCATCTGGTGCCTCTGAGGAAGACCAAAGGGATATCATCCCACCAGAAAAAAGCTAAGGGAGCAAGGCCTTGGGACCACTGCCTCCCAGCTGTGAGACTCCATCTCAAAAAAATAAAAAAAAGGAAGTTTTAAATTGTTAAAGATGATCAAGACAGATGTCTTGTTCTCTGAAATAACAAAAATAATTGAAAGAAAACTCAAAAAGAAAACACAGGCATACCTCATTTTACTGTGCGTCATTTTATTGTGCTTGCAGATACTGTGTTTTTTACTCGAAGAACTGGCAGCCCTGCATCAAGCAATGGATTCCATTTTTCCAACAGCATGTTCTCAATTCATTAGCAGTTTTTGGCAATAAAATATTTTTACTCAAGGTATGTACTTTTTTTTAATACATAATGCCATTGCACACTTAATAGATCAAAGTATAATGTCAACATAACTTTTGCAAGCACTGGTGATATGGTTTGGCTGTGTCCCCACCCAAATCTCGTCTTGAACTGTAGTTCCCCGTAGTCCCCACATGTCATGGGAGGGACCCGGTGGGAGGTAATTGAATCATGGGAACAGTTACCTCCATTCTGTTCTTGTGATAGTGAGTGAATTCTCAAGAGATCTGATGGTTTTATAAGGGGCCTTTCTCCTTTTGCTTCACAATTCTCCTTGCTGCTGCCATGTGAAGAAGGACGGTTTGCTTTCCCCTCCACCGTGATTTTAAGTTGCCTGAGGCGTCCGCTGCCCTGTGGAACTGTGGGCCAATTAAACCTCTTTCCTTATTGAATTACCAAGACCTTCATCGCAGTGTGGGAATGGACTAATACAACTGGGAAATAAAAAATTTCCATTGTTCTCTTTATTGCAATATTAGCTTTATTGCAGTGGTCCAGAACCAAACCCAAAATATCTTTGAGACGTGACTGAAACATTTCTCACTATGTGAGCCTATGTTGTGTAAAGCTGTGTTTGGCAACCACCTAAAATCAAATTATACATCTCCAGGGCCTCCCTGTACACTTCCAATAACACTGTTCTAATATATTGAGTATAAAATCAATTTTATGCCACTAAGAACATTTCAAATAGGTATACTGAAGCAGAAATGTTTTTCATTGACAGAAACATTGCAGTTACACACCATGACTTTCATTTTTTTAATGGAGGCCCAATCCAGTGATCGCCAGTGTAGACACATTATACCAGAAGAGAGATATCAGTATCTGTATCAATTGGCCTATTGATCAATTATATATCTATCTCAGTTCATGAGTTCATGACTTCCTCTGCTATTTTAATCCTAAGTTGAAGGCAAGAGATAAAACTATTTTGAATTATGGCTTTGAATATACTAGCTTCTTTTCAGAAACAATAGTATTTGATGCATGAAAGAATGGGAAATACCAATATAGTATTTTAAAGTTTTCCATTAATTTTGCCCTAAAAATTAATCTTGATTCAACCTCAGTTTTCCCTTAGGTCCCAGATTGTCCTGGAAATCTTCTTGCTCACTATTTTATATTCAGCAGTTTTTAATTTTCAGTCATTTAAAAAATTATCTTTTATTAATTTCATGTTGTCAAAATATTTGTATTATTATTTATGTGATATATTATTTAAGTTAACCTCTATGGGTAATAAGAACATTCAAAAAGGAAATAATATAAACTTACCATAGAGGACAATTATGAAAATAAGTGTCGTGAAATGGAACATTGCAATTCCTTGTTGTTACCTGTATAAAGCCTTGAGCTTAGGTGGGCCTCCTTTCTCTTAAAAAGGCTGAAAGTGTTAGACATTACAGTCTCAAAAACGAATAGATTTTTCTCTGTGATGCAATCTGAAGAGCTCAAAAAGAATTGGAAAGGAAACGAGTTAGTCACTATGATATTTAAATTTATTTGATTTCCTTTACATAACACTGAGCCATCTGTCTCATCATGGAAAATTATCTCATTTCCTCCCTGAGAGGGCTGCTTTGTTGATGACTCTCTTGGAAGGCCACCCACAGCCATTCATTATTTTGTTCTGACATCTGATGGGCAGCATATTGTCCCTTATCCAGACTCAGGGCACAGATCCTGATTGGTTCAGGTCAGTCACAGAAATTCTGTGAGGATATGCCCATTTCACATAAGCCTGTGATTGGTTTGGTCTGAGTCATGTGACCTGCATCTGGCCATTGAGATCTAAGACTACGTCTTATGGGGATTTCAGAGAAACACTTTCCTCCTTCATACAAATAATATTAAGCCAGAATGGCCTCTTTTTGTCCCTTTCTTCTCATCCTGCGCTGGGGGCTGTCCAGTGAAAACGTGGTATTTAAAACTATGAGGGCCATCTCCCAATTATAAAATAACCGTACTACAGAAAAAAAGACAAATACGTTAACGATACGGGGTTTTCATGACCAACTATCACTGAGTGTAGCCCAAACTGATGACAATAAATAACAAGAAAGTCCTCATCCTTTAAGGGATCATTAGCTAAATTTTCTGTTGTTGTAGCCAACCACATTCATTACTGATAATACTGCCTTACCTTTTCCTGCTTAAGTCTTGGGTATTGCAAACCTTTAGCTTTTATTCATTTTGTGTCTGCTACAAGATTCAGTTTCCTTCCTAGGCTTACATTAATCTCAACCATCTATTTAGAATCTGCTCAAAATTTAAGACTAAGAATCATTAGCCAGGGGACTTTTTCATGAACTTGAATATTCTTGGAATTCACTCTGATTAAAAAAAAAAAGAAGAAGAAGAGGAAAGAACAAGACAAGAGTAACAAAATACTGTAGCATCTGTGTAGACCAACAGATGAAGGAATGCAAAGTAAATTTCAAAGTACGTTTGTCTTATTCATTAACTCATTAAATATTTAATGAGCATCTACTACTTGCTCAGTACGCCATAGTGAACTACGCAACAGAATCCTAATTGTTGTTGGGATTATAATTATTACAACTGCTTATGTTTTCTGTTGTCATTGCACCCTGAAACTCTTCAAGGCATTGACTTTTTGATATTCTGCTGCTCATAAAAACCTATTTTTCACTATGGAAATATAGAATGTTGTCAGACCTCAGGCTGAGTTCAGGCTTTCAGGGGACAGAAGAGGTAACAAGTATGAAAACAAAACTACAATGCTTCCTTTGTTCCTGTTGGTTCAACGCATGAGCTCTTGTTTCCTTCCTAGAAATGAGATTTTGTTTTTTGGCATTGATTTATTTTTAAACTTAAGAATGGCTCACTAGTATGTTAGGAGTTGCATGATGGTAAACAGTCCTCTAGTGTTTGTGGTTTAAAGAGGTTGGAGGCTGGGACAGGCATGGCATAATCCCAGCACTTTGGGAGGCCGAGGTGAGCGGATCGCTTGAGTCCAAGGGCTTGAGACCAGACTAAGCAACATAGGGAAACCCTGCTTGTATGAAAAATAAAACAAAATAGACGAAAAGGTGGAAAACAATGCAAACGTTCATCAAAGAATGAATAAATAAACAAAATGTGGCAAATTCATACAATGAAATACTATTCAACAAAAAAATGAGCTATTGATACATGCTACTATAACATGGATGAATCTTGAAAATTGTGCAAAATAAAGCCAGTCCCCAAATAGCACTTATTGTACCATTCCATTTATATGAAAGGTCCAGAATAGGGAAATCCATAGAAACAGAAAACAGATTGGTGGTTGACAGGGCTCAGGAGTGGGGGAAAAAGGAATGACTGCTAGTAAGTATAGAGATGTTTAGAGTAATAAAATGTTCTGAAACTAGACAGTGATAATGGTCGCACAAAATTGTGAATGTACATAATGTCACTAAATTGTCTCTTTTAAATGGTTAAATTTGTCAATATGTTATATATATTTTAGCACAATTAAAAAAGGAAATGAAATTGGAAATTTGCTCTTAGATTTAATTTTTTTCTTTCTTTTAGAGTGTCAGTTTCCACTGCCAATGAGCACAGCAAGCTAGCACTCTGGCCACGTTGAAAGAGTCCAGGTCCCAAACTTTGATGGTCACTGTCAAGACTAAATGCTTAGTCAGGGTAGGTTTTAGTTCTAGATTAGACTATGGTAGAGGGAAGCAGTTTTACCACATCTTCCTATTTGAAAAGCAGCAACAAGATTTGAACTTTTATCCGGGTGTCAAGGAAAGAAAGTAAATACAGATCTTGAACAGCTTTTAAAAAATTACCTTGACAGCTTTACTATTTTTATTTAGTGGCTCCAGCACTGAAGGTCTATATTGTGTTTGGATTAAATTGTCACAGAAGAGGGCAGTTCTCATGCTGTAAACAAAGGGTAGATTCTAATGAATCTGAGGTCCTTAAAGTTTCCTTTTTAAATTGTTTAATTTAACTCATTTATTTTAACAAATCCAAGAAGCAAAGAATTGGATAACAACATAGAGAATAAATAAACCCCATGTAAAAACCATCGAGAATGGGATGCTCTTTGTCATTCAATGGATCATTTATAAAACTGCTATGTTTGTTTGACTGCTACGGTGTGACAGGTAAAATAAAAAGGCATGCCAACGGATGCCTGCAGACATTTCCTTTATTTCTTTAATTTTCTTAGAGTTCAGGAGAGATTCTGCCACTCAAAGCTAGAAATGAATAACACACTAACAACAAAACAGAAGTGAAGGTATGAACTGAAAATATTCTGGCCTCACACAATAACTCTATATATCAAGTTAAATGTATTTAACTCAGAAAAAGAAAAATTCCACCTGTGTGAGATGCACAAAACAAAAGCACATGAAATAGCTGAAATGGAGCAAAAGAGATTGATGACTCAGGTGCCCAAGCTTCTGGGTTTTAGTTTTAAATATGTAATACTCCTAGGGATATCAACAAATTGAAATAGATTGATATCTTCTGCTCACAGAAAGTGGGATATGTCCAAAGTTCCGTAGTTAATTTATAACCAATGTTAACAGAGATCTTTAGTCACTTACTCTTTAGGGTTGTAGAGCCAAGTGCTAAATCGGTATGTGCTCCCGAGGGCCATTTTCAGGATATTTGGTGAGCATTACAATACTACCAATAATGTTTCCTGTCTCATCCACAAAAGCAATTAAAGGAGACAGCTGAGATTGAGACGTCTCACATCTGTCTACTCGCATTCACTCAAATGTGATGGCCCCAATTTGGCTATCAGACATGAATAGATAACTACAAATTGAATTTAAATCTGATTTTTGCCTAAGAGAAAGCTGAAGAAGAAAATGCACACAAGGCACTGGCTAAGATAGCATATCCTATTTCTGTGAGGTGCAAGGAATGTGTTACGCCTTATAAGTTGAAGAAAAATAGGTAAACTGTCACAGGAAGCCTACTTAAATATATCAATATGCTATGCATATTTTAGCACAATAAAAAAGAGACATGAAATTGGAAATTTATCCTTATGCTACCAAACACTCAATAGGCTCACTGCCCAATGCGCATAGAAGCAATAACATGGCATCAGCTTTGGGAGAAAGAGAAGCTTTATTGCAAGTTGACTGGCAAGGAGACAGAAGGAAATACTCAAATCTGTCTTCTGGAGCTGGAGATTGGGTCAGGTTTTATAAGCATAAGGTAATGACGTGTGAGCTGATTGGATGTCGTGATGATGTGATGACAGGAGGTATGATCTGACTGGATCCTGCCATGGAGCGACAATCAGGGCTCTATCTAATTGGATCCTGGACTCTGCCATGCTGTGTACGCTTCTTAATTCAGTCCCCACTCCTCCATCAGAGCACTTAGGTTCCCCCCGTGGTTGCCTGCTTGGCTCATCTGAGCATGCTCAGGCCACATGGCTTTCAACCTGGGGTCCACAGAACTGAAAAACAAGTCACAGCTTTGTTACATAAATGTTGAACCACGTTAGTCTGATACAGACCCACATAGACTTAATTTTTTTCTTTTTAACTTTTTCAAATGAACAAAATCAGATATAACAAAATTTGATTTCTACCATAAGTTAGCTCCTTCTCAATCCCTCAAAAAAAATATGCCCATGAAGGGATCAGAATTTGACTTTCTTAATCACCAAAATTTGACAATATTTTCAGCAAATGCTGCTCTGGGAAGCCGGCCATATTCAGGATGGATGGAAAGATCAAGAGTATTTTCTTGAGGAATATAATATGTTACTTTAATGGTGAAAAGGAGGGTCACAGCTTTCTAGATTTACCTGGGAAAACATCAGAAGTGTTTCTTCTTCTCACATTTACCAATTTATCCCCCTGGGCACCTGGGGAAAATGAGAATTCTGCTGAATTTTAAGACCAACATACTTATGACCTCTCTTATCGAGGAGATAAGTGTCATTTAGTGTTAGTTTTCTAAGACTCGCATAGCAAAGTGACCCAGACCTGGTGGCTTAAACAACAGGCATTTATTGTCTCACAGCTCTGAAGGTTAGAAGATGAAAATCAGTTGTTGTCAGGGTTGGTGTCTTCTGAGTCCTCTCTCCTGGGCTTGTAGATGGCTATCTTCTTCCTGTGTTTTTACATGGTCTTTTCTCCATACATGTCTGTATCTAAATTTCCTTCTCTTGAAAAGACATCAGCCGTATTGGATTAAGACACACTCTAATAAC
The DNA here is from genome assembly GCF_000001405.40 of Homo sapiens. NCBI lineage: Eukaryota > Metazoa > Chordata > Mammalia > Primates > Hominidae > Homo > Homo sapiens. The sequence continues at coordinate 127,253,115 of NC_000012.12, read as the reverse complement.
CTCATTTTTAGTTAATTACATCTTTAAGGACTCTATCTCCAAATATAGTCATATTCTGAGGTACTTGGAGTTAGGACTTGAACACACGAATTATTTTAGGGGGACATAATTTAGCTTATAACAAATGATAATAACTATGTTTCCTTTAAACATCTGATATTTATTTCTTGACTCAAGCCCACAGTGGCAGAAGAATGCTCACTTGGTGAGAGCTAACATGGCTATAAAGCTGTTTTAGTCAGCTTGGGTACCATAACAAAATACCACAGACTGGAGTACTTCAACAACATACATTTATTTTTCATGGTTCTGGAGTCTGGGAAGTCTAAGATTAAGGCACCCAAATATCCCATGTTTGGTGAGGGTTTTCTTCCTGGTTTGCACGGGGCAAAGAGGAGCGATAAGGATGCAATTTTCTCATGTCTCATCTTATAAGTGAATCCCATTCGTGAGAGCTCTGTGCTCATGACTAAGCACCTCCCCAAAGCCCCACCTCAAAATATTGTCACATTGGGGGTTAGAATTTCAAGATATGAATTTGGCAGGGATAAAAATATTCAGTCCATACCAAAGCTCAAGGAATGAAGTTGGCCCTGGTATTCATCTGAAGACATGGAATTTGCAACTGAGGTTACAAATCTTAGGTGTGAACTTCTCCCATGTGCCCTAGGTTCCATTCTTCCCACCAGGAGAAGAGATGGGATTCAGCACAAGGTGAGTGTTGGCTAAGTTGGTCTCAGACTCATCTTTTTTTTTTAACCTGTCTATCTCTAGCCTATTCTACACTGAATCTCATCTTTTCCAGCAAATAAAGAGACATTAACACTTGTCCGGGAAATGAGTGATGGAGGAACTGTACACCCATCTTTATGGAATAGGATGTGTATTTAAGTCCTACCCTATGAAGCAGGCAACACAAATTGGAGTGAGTGGTGAGAGCTGATGGTATCTCAGACATTGAGTCTCTCACACATCTCAGCTATGGAAATGTAAAGGATGCCCTGTATTCCGTTTCCTCCATGCTGCTCGTTTACCTATTTGCCGTCAGAATTATTTCCCATTGTTGCCCTGCTCTCTTCTCTTTATTACCTCAGCTGCCCATAGCTACACTTCTCATGTCTCTCTCCCTGCTATCTTTTGGGTAGATTTAGCCAATGGGAGGCACTGAAGGACAATAAGCAGAGAGGAGAATAGAGAAGAGAGAATATTCTTTCTATCTCTCTCTCTCTGCTTTGGGTAGTATTTCTGGCATTAGCTGTAGCCTTTCCAGAAGAATTTAAATTTGTTAAAAATGAAACAAGACTTACAGAAAAGGTGCAAAAGTGACACAGACTTCCCATATAAGCTACGTACTGTTTCCTCCCAAGTTATCAAAATGAATAAATTTATATTGGTACGATATTATTAACTGAACTACAGACCATCTGAATTGCACCAGCTTTTTTCCGACTAGGGTCCTATACCAGGGTCTGTGTTTCACTTGGCTGCTGTATCTTTTGATTCTTCTTTACTCTGTGACAGTTCCACAGATGTTGCTTGTTTTCCACAACCTTGATACTTTAGAAGAGTGTTGGTCAATTATATTTAGACTGTTTCTCAAACTGGGTTGTCTGATATTTTCCTATGATTTCATTAAGATTATAATTTACTGGAAGAATGCAATGGAGGTCATGGACCCTTCTCAGTGCTTTGTAAAGGGGCTACATGAAATGCATATGTCCTATGTTTGTGTTGACCTTGATCACTTGACTGAGGTGGTACTTTCTAGACTTTCCAATCTGAAGTTACTAGTTTTCCCCTTTAAAGTAAAAACAAAACAAAAAAAACTAATTGATTCAAGGAATATGATTTGAGTCTATGCAAATTTCCTGCTTCTCCTTAAACTTCTGCTCACCAATTTTAGCATCCACATATGGATGTTGGATGCAGCAAATTATTAATGTGTTAATTCTCTAAGTAGTAATTTTTCTCTTTCCTTAATTCTTTTTACATGCATTAATTGGAATCCCCCTCTCAGGAAGAGCTGACCTTTCTCTCCTATTCAATTATTTGTTCATTTGCATCTGGATTTAAAAATACTTTAGTCTTTGAATTACAACTCGATTCTATCATTATTTATTTTATTTTTCAAATTGTTCCCACTTCTGCCATTTGGAGCTATTTCAGGGCAGTTTCTATACTCTTTTGACGTCTCTCTTTTTTGAGCACTTTCTTAACTTGCTGAAACTACAGAATGCTTCAGGTTCATCGTGTATTTTTCCTGCCTCAGCCATGAGACCAACCAAGCAGCTCTGTTTTCTTTTATTGGAGTTAGGTATTTAGAAACTAAGATCTACCTATCATGTGTGCACTTTGCTGCTGCAGTGTCATTAATTCTACCCTCATTGAGGAAATCTTGGAAATACATGTTTACTAATCTGTGCAAAGATAAAAATAACCCTCTCTATCTAGTTATATGTATATGTATGTCAAGATATAGACAGATGGATATCCATCTTGTCTACATGCAGATACAGATGCAGATACAGGGATGCATGGAGATATAAAGAGATAAATAGAAAAGATAGATGATAGATGATAGATAGATAGATAGATAGATAGATAGATAGATAGATCAGATAGATATTTGAGTTCATAGCGATATCTCTGATTCTAATCCAATAATGAAGGTTCATTGTAAGCTGGTCCCTTTTAGTAAGGCTATCTTGTTTTGCTAACAGTTGAGAAAACTGGCTCTAAATAGCTACAATATATTTACTTATTTGTTCAAACCTTGTATAAATTTAAAATAGTTTGAGAAATGCTAGCACATACTCCTGTGAGAAGCAAATTGACCAACAAGAATAGTGTTTGAGCACAGTTCTTTTGTTTGTGACCTTAAGACATCCAGTTAAAATAATGTTTTACAAAGTCATTTAGATCAGCTTTTTTCTTCTCCACCACTTTCTGGAGGGTTAATTGAACTATTTGTAATACAAAAGTATAGTCTGGCATATCATCTTGCATTTTCCTACAGTTTGATTTTTTAAAATTAACGTACATGAAAATCTACTCTTTATGCTATATAGTCATGTGCATTTTGACAAATACATAGGGTCATATACTCACCAACACTGTTCCTTAAATACAGCTCCATCACCTCCAAAACTTTCTTATGATGCCACTTTGTAGTCAGCCCATACACACATCCCAAAACACTATGTTTTCCACCTCTATATCTGTATCTTTTCCTTTTCTTTTTCTTTTTCCAGGAAGTCATAAAAATAGAATGATATAATACATAGACTTTGTGAGTGGCTTTTTTTCACATAGAAAAAAATTATTTAGTATTCATCCATGGTATTTTGTGTATCAATAGTTTTTTGTATTTTAGTATGCTGAGTAGTATATGAATGTATTATAATTTCTTTAGCCATTCACTGGCTGAATATTCTCAGGGTGTTGCCAGGTTTTTGTGATTTTAAATAAAACTCTTGTAAGCACTTATGTGCATGTCTTCTTGTGGTCTTTAATTTTCCATTTCTCACTGGTATATGCCTATGAGTGAATTTACTAGGTTATATGGTAAGTGTATGCTCAAGTTTAAAATAAATGATTACATTGCCACCTTTTATATTAGTCCATTTTCACACTGCTATAAAGAACTGCCCGAGGCTGGGTAATTTATAAAGAAAAGGGATTTAACTGACTCCCAGTTCCTCATGGCTGGAGAGGCCTCAGGAAACTTACAATCATGGTGAAAAGCAAAGGGGAAGCAAGGCATGACTTACACGCCAGCAGGAGCGAGACAGCACACAGGGGAAACTGCCACTTACAAACTATCAGGTCTCATGAGAACTCCCTCACTATCACAAAAACTGTGTGGGGTAAACTGCCGCCATGATCCAATCAGCTCTCACCAGGTTCCCCTCTGGACATGTGGGGATTACAATTTTAGATGAGATTTGAGTGGGGACACCGAGCCAAACCATATTATCCTTACAGAGTGGCTATACCATTTTGAATTTCCACCAGTAATGTGTAAACGAGAATCCCAGAAAATCTGCCTCCCTGCCATTATCACATTATATTGTTAAACATTTTAGCCATTATAATAGCTGTGTAATACTAGCTCATTTTGCTTGAATTCACATTTATTTAAGGACTAATGATATGAAGCATCTTCTTAACCTGATTTATTTGGCATCCATTTCTTTTCTTTGGTGCAGTATTTGTGCAGTTATTTACCATTTTTTATTTCATTCCTTCCTCTCTTATTTCATTTTGAGTCTTTATATATTTTTGATGTAAGTATTTTAGCAGATGTCTGAGCTACAAATATTTTCTCCCAAGTTTGTGACCTGTCTCATCATTCTCTGTACAGAGTATTTCACAGAGCAGATAATTTCAATCTTGATGGAGCCTAATTAATCCATTTGTTTTCTTGGAACATGTTTTTGGTTTTGTATCTAAGAAATTATTGCCACCTGAAGTCACAAAGATTTTCTCCGATGTTTCATTCTATAGGTTTTATTGTTTTATGTTTTATAGTTAAGTCTGTGATCCATTTTAAGTTATTTTATAAAAGATATGCATGAGTTATTTTTTACATATGAATATCTAATGTTTATAGAATCATTTTTTGAAACTATCATCTTTTATTCTCCACTAAATTGTTCTTGCTACTTTGTTAGAAATCAGACATCCATTTATGTGAATGTTTATTTCTGGAGTTTCTGTTGTGTTCCATTTATCTATTTGCCACTCTTAACAGTGACACTACACTGTTTTCATTGTTGTACCTTTGTGATAAGTCTTGAAATAAGTTTCTCTAAATGTGTTCTTTTTCAATGTTATTTTTACTCTTTTAGATCCTTTCAATTCCTTTGTGAATTTTGAGGTCAGTTTATCAATTTTCTCTAAAACATCTACTTGATGTTTGAATTGGATTGCACTGAATCTATACACCAATTTAGGCATGATTGACATGTTAACAACATTGAATGCTTCTACCCATGAGCATTACAAGCCTCTGTATGATTTTCACGACAGCTCCCTGCAGCTCGTGGACCAGGGGTTATTTCCCACTTCAAGGAGAGGAGGAAGTTGATTGGTCCCGCCTGGGTCAAGTGTTCATTCCTGGCCCAATCAGCTGTGGCTGCATGACGGGATCAAAGGCACTTTTCATGACCATGAGTGGCATGAAATTAAGGAATTTACCTATTCCTTGATTCATCTGAGCAATGTGTTATTGTACTCAATGTGCAGGTTTTGCACATCTTTTGTTATATTTAGCCCTAAGTATTTCATATTTTGTTGCTGGTATGGTAAATGGTATTTTCAAAAATTGTCTATTTCATGATTATTCATTTTTTGTTGATAGTAAATATAATTGGTTTCTATATACTGACCATGTTTCCTGCAGTATTATTTAACCTAATTATTAGTTCTAGTAATGTTTTTATAGATTTCATCACATTTTCTGTATAGACCATTATGCCATCTGTGAATAAAAATAGTTTTATGTCTTTCTAAACTATATAACTATTTAAAATTCATGCATTTATTTAAATATATATACATTTACTTTTTTACTTACAAATTTAGGCAATATTGCACTGGCCAGAACAGTCAGTAAAATATTGAATAAAAGTAGTAATAATGGACATCCTTTGTTGTTTCTGATCTTAGGGTAAAAACATTAATTCTTTCACCATTAAGTATGATGTTATGTGTATGTTTTCACAGATAACCCCTTATCAAGTTAATAAACATTTCTTCTATTACAGTTCTTGAGCGTTTTCTATTAAGGGAGAGGACTGAATTTTCTCAAATGTTTCCTCTACACCTACTGAGATGGTAATATGTCTTTTTACCCTAATATGGTGATTTTCAAATGTTAAATAAATCTTGTATTCTACAGAGAAAACATACTTGGCCATGATGTTATATTCATCTGTGTTGTTGCATGATACTTGATTAAATTTTGTTTAGCATTTGTCTATCTATTTCATGAAGTATATTAGTATTCTTTCATTTTCTCTAATGTCTTTGATTTTGTTATCAGGGTAATACTGGTCTTGTACAATGAGTTTGGAATTCTTTTCTTTGCAACTTTTTAGAAGAGTTTGCATGTTTGTGTATGACTTATGTTATTTCTGTATTACTTACTTGGTAGAATTATCCAGTGAAATAACCTGTACCTCGAATGTTGTCTGTGAGATGTTTACCTATAAAACCTATAGTAATATAATCACATGTGTGGTGATTCCAAGAATATAATTTTCTTCAGTAAGCTTTGTCAGCACATGCCTTAGGAGTTACATGTCAATTTTATCCAACTCATTATATTTGTTGTTAGAGTTATGCATAATTTCCTTTCATTATCTTTTGAATATTTCAAGAATATGTAATTACTTAACCTCTTTTATTCTTGCTACTGGCAATTTGTATCTCTTTTTCTGTCTTTCTTTTTTATTGTTCCTAATGAGTTTGGCTAGAAGTTTATCCATTTTAAAAATCTGAAAGAACTAGCTTTTGGTTTCATAATGATCACTTTTTAAAAATTTTTCTTAAGGTAGAAAGCTAAAATTATTGCTTTGAAATCTTTTTTCACAAATTTTCTAATTTGGGGTGTATGTGCTATAATTTGTCCACCTGAGTCCTGCTTTAGTGACATCACACACATTTTAATAAATTACGGTTTCGGTTTCATTTAGTTCAAAATACTTTCTAATTTCCCTTTCAGTTTTTTCTTTGATCTGTGCATTATTTAGAAGAGTGCTACTTATGTTCTGACAGTTTGGTGGATTTTCAAGATATCTTTTTGCTATTTGCTGGGAACATTTGTTTGTATGACAGGAATCATTTCAGATTTATTAAGATTTGTTTATGATCCAGAATACAGTTTAATTTGGTACGTGTTTTTTATGCACTTGAAAAGATTATATATTCTGATAATATTGGGTGGAACATTCTAAGGTCTACTTGATTGATATTGTTGTTCAAGTCTTCTATATCTTTGCTGTTATCTTTCCTCTTTGTTCTAGAAATTATTAACCAGAATTGTGTATTTGTTTATTTCTCCTGTAGTTTTGTAAGTTTTGCTTCATGTATTTTGGAGATCTTTAATCAAGCACACGCATGTGTAGTAATATTGTCCTTTTGAGGAATTTTCCCCTTTATCATCTTTATCATTATTAAAGTCTTTATCGTAATTAAATGACTTTGTTTGTCCATGGTAATGTTCTTTGTTGTGAAATATGTTATTGTTTTCAGAGTTTGTTGAGTTTCTTTGGTCTGTGGGTTTGCTTTCATTAAATTTGTAAAAAGCCAAAATTCAGCCCATATTAATTTCTCCCTCACATGATTTCTCATACCACCATGCATGACTTGCTACAGCAAGCAACAGGAAGAAGTGACTGTTGAGCTACCAAACTAACATTAACTGTGCTGTCTTCTTTATGGGGCTGTTGTACTAAAATGCTGCCAACAGATGACCAGTCACAGGGTTTCCCCACATAATCACACTTAAGGCCAAAGGTAACCACGTGCATTTTTTTCCCCTGAGAGGATATTTCTTTAAATACTTCAAGAACACAAGTTAGTGGTGATAACACCCTTGTGGCGTAAACAGTATGCCTATTAAATATTGGAGTAAGAAAGCTTGAAAAATATTGATAGGTTGGACCTTCTTTAATGAGATAGTCCAGAAAACTCTCTTGAAATTTACACTTACATCTACAGGGGCATGGTAGGGTAAGCACCATGGATGGCAGTTGGACATAAAGAGTAAGGATTTCTTTTTCTTGACAATCTTAAAAAAAGGAATATGGTACCAAACAAACCTCAACTCACAGGAGCCACAGGCCCTCAATGGGTTTAGAATGAAGACTGTTAGCAAATCAGCAAACATTCCTGAAGGCCAGGAAAACAGCCAAGAAGGTGACCTAACCATGGCCTGTTTGCTTAATGGGGAGTTACCGTAGAAAACAGAACCTCTTGAGGAGTAGAGTATTGATACTCTATTGAACAAAACTTGACATCACTGGGAGGTTGGATTTTTAGTAGCCAATCTTTCTGTCTCTAGTTCTAGGGCCAAATGGTACTTTATTACATTTATTTCTGTACCTTGGCTCCATTTTCAAACTGTCCCTCAGTTTTATCATTTGTAAAATGGGAATACGATAGTTCTTCCAAGACTGTTGTGAGGATTCAATGTGCTAGTGCATTTAAAATAATTTAACCAGCTATTGTCATAAGTAAGCTATTAATGAGTTTTCTTCCTTCCTGGCACCTGTAGGAATTTCAGCTTGGGACCCCAACATCTAATACTGTGAATATTATTATTATTTTCCAACTTCTCAGTTCCCTCTCTCCACTTGCCCTGGTCCCTGGCTGCCTCAGGGCTCCCAACACCTAGTCAAGTGATTTTCACTTCAGCTCCCTGCAGCTCATGGACCATGGACTCTTTCACACTTCAGGGAGAGGAGGGACGTTGATTGGCCCCCACCTGAGTGAGGTGTTCACTCCCGGTCCAATCAGCTGTGGCTGCATGACGAGGTCAAGGGCACCTTTCATGCCCATGTGTGGTGGGGCATTCCCAAGAGGGAAGGGTGATGGGAAGAAACCAAGGGTGCTTCTTCTAAATCTGTGTTTTGCTTTCGTGTGGTGTTGCTTTTCCTCTCTAGAGTGTTAAGCTCCATGAAGGTCAGAACCATGTCCTCTTGTTCTATAGCAGCAAAGTAGCCAGGTTTTTGATATCTATTATGTGCTCACCACTCAAATACTCAGGATGTGGTGGTCTCTCTGATTTGGCCCCCTGTAGCTTCTCCCCGCCCCCCTCCCAGCTGCTCCCTGCCCGCAGGCCATGCTGTCCCTCCAGCTACTCCACCCACACGCCAAGTGTGTTCCCTCCTTTGCACTTGCTGTTCCCCATGCCCGGCACATCCTCACTCTGACAGTCATCTTGCTGGTTCCTGCTCATCACGCAGGTCCACCCTCACATGTCCCCTCAGAGAGGACCTGTCTGGCTACTCTTCCAAAGTGGCCCAGCCACCTTCCACTACATCACCTGCTTCTTTTTCTTTTTTTTTTTTCTGATCATAGAAATACAGGAATGGTTTAATATTATAAAATCCATACATATAACTGACTTTTAAAAAAATTTTTAAGTTCTGGAGTACACTGGCAGGACGTGCAGGTTTGTTATATAGGTAAACGTGTGCCATTGTGGTTTGCTGCACCTATCAATCCATCACCGAGATGTGAAGCCCAGCATGAATTAGCTATTTTTCCTAATCCTCCCCCTCACCTCACCCCACCCCACCCCTTCAGGTCCCAGTGTGTGTTGTTCCCCTCCCTGTGTCCATGCATCACCTGCTTCTTTAGTCTTTATTTGAAACTTCCATATCTGTTTATTTTCAGTGCTTTTATCTCCCAAGTCTCCTGACTAGACTGTAGATTTCATCATTTCATGAAGGAAGTATCTTGTTGTTGCTGTTTTAGTCCATCCATCACTTTACCTAGAACAAAAATGAGCACCTAGAGTCTGTCCTATCAATATTTGCTGATGAGTGAGTGAGTGAAGGAACACCTATATCTTGTCTTTTAACAGCTGAGAATTCTTTTAGCCTGTTTTTGATTGCTAAGAAAGTAACATACGACTTGTGCAGTGACTGCCCAGTAGTCCAGCTTATGATACATCTTACCTTTTCTTTTTTTATTCTGACAGGCAGTCTTGCCCTGTGCTGTTTTGCCCAGGCTGGCGGGCAGTGACTTGATCTCAGCTCACTGCAACCTCTGCCCCCTGGGTTCAAGCAATTCTCCTGCCTCAGCCTCCCGAGGAGCTGAGATTATAGGCGCCTGCCACCATGCCTGGCTAATTTATTTATTTATTTATTTTTTGTATTTTAGTAGAGATGGGGTTTCTCCATGTTGGTCCGGCTGGTCTTGAACTCCTGACCTCAGGTGATCTGCCCGTCTCGGCCTCTCAAAGCGCTGGGATTACAGGTGTGAGCTCCTGTGCATTTTTCTTTCTATTCTCCCCCAGCTTCGCATAAACCACCTCCAATACAAGTGAGATAAGATTCCTCTTTTATAGCTTTCTGCTGCTACTATGACTTCTTCTTCTCTTTCCTTTTCTGTGTTAAAATAGCTAGAATAGAAGATAACCTTCATTCTTCCAGTTTCAGTGTATCAAAAATTTAAATTTCCAGGAAGTTCAGATGGTCCTACTGGCTTGGCCTGCCCATGAAGGCCAACACTGGTTCTCCAAGTGGGGTGGTAGCTTCCCCATCCATCACTTGCTCATCCCTGTGCTCACCCTATCAGCAGTCCCTGCCCCATACAATGGGCACCTGCTTCATTAATTTGTCCCTAATCAAAATATGAGCTTTTGAGGGCACTGATGTGAACCCCATTCTTGTTCTTCTTGGCAGGGTGTATGTTGCAGAGGTCTGGTCAGTAAATATTTTTGGAAGGAATACATGGATGAATGAGTGAGCAAGCATTAGAATAAAATACGCTTTCTTGAGATATGCGTATCAAGTAAGTTAGCCATGCTCAGAAAGAAAATTACTACAAAGGTCCCATGTGTTTTGTGTGAGTGGTCCTGTTCTGTCAGGAAGTGTTTTTAGAAAGGGAATTATTGACAACATTTAAAATTCATAATATTTTATGTAAAAGTCCAGATTTTAGTTTTCTCTGGAAATTGTAGAAGTTCTGATCCCACTGACACTTGTTTCTGTCTGGTAAAAATCTGTGGAACACAAAGAGAGGCTGCTGACTTTAGAAGGACAATCCATGTCATCCCTTACTGTCTAATCCTGTGGCTGCTGACTTTGGAAGGACATTTCACACCATTGTTTACCGTCTAATACTATGTTGGTGTGGATTGCATTCACTATCATGACTCTGCCATTTTATTTACTTCTTCTAGTAATAGAGTTAAGAAAAAAGTGAAGTATTTCCTGTTTCATGTATTTATCAAAAAGGAATAAACAAAAACAAGATGAAGAGAACCAGTTGCTTCCAGAAAGGTGGGAGACCTCAGACTTTATTGTTATGAAAGCGAAAGAGATGGCTATGTGCTCAATATTCCAAAAAATGTATCCTGAAGAAAATTCCCCAGCATTCTTACTCATTCATATTCCTTCCTGGCCCCTGTAGGAATTTCAGCAGGGGACCCCATCATCTATGGACCAATGATCCTGAATGTATTATCTCATCCAGAGGGGCAGCAGGGATATCCCCAATGTTCCCTGAGCACTGGCATTGAGACACCAACATGGTGGCCACAAGGTCATGCCAAGGTCAATGCTGAGCCTTTCTTGCTCTTACTGCTCTTTTATGCTTGGATGAACTCAATAAAAGTCTCTTTTGAATACATTTTCTTTGGATGTGTTTTTGGACAATCATATGGCCACAGAACACATTTTAAATAGTGGCTGTGTGACTCGTTTAGCTTGGTCAAGCTGGTGTGTCCTCAGTATCAACTCTTCAGAGTTTCCAGTAAAATTGGATTATTTGGACTGAAGTCTGTATTTCACAATATTTACTGAAGAGTATTAAACAGGAAAATAAAATTAAAGTTGTGTGAAAGATTAAAGCTCTTTGGTGCTGAGAGACATCTGTTTATTGCTTTCTTTGTAAATGCGCATTAGCACAATAGGCAAAATGTGAAAGAAATTTAAATTAACGTAAAAAGACCCAATGCAAACGATTCTGCCATGCCCTTGAGAGAACGATCAATCTTGGCCATCTATAGTTAGAATAGCTGTGCTTAGAGAACAGAATGTGCCGTGGAATTCCCAGGATAGCTGCTGATGAACGTGCTTGAATTTCTACCCTGCAATTACTCATTGTCATATTCACCATCTTTCTTGCACTCATGCATTCCACATGTGTTAATGAGCACCTCCCACGTGGCAGGCTCTGTGCAATGTACAGTGGACACCTTGACAAATAAAGGATACCTGGTCCCTCCCTGGCCTCAGGCAAGGGCTGTAACCCAGGCCTGGCAGATTGGAGCTGATGGCCAAATGCAACTCTAAGTATGCTGAATTTTCTTTACATAATTTTCTTTTCTATTATCTTCATTTTATTTTATTTTCCTTTCTTTTGTCTTCATTCTCTTTTCTGTGGCAAATTGTGGTACCAACATTTAAACTTTAAAAGGTACCAGAGTAAAACCTAAATTTCTGGACTTTCTTGAAGAATAGGACGATCTGGCCACAGGGATCTCATGGCCATAGAATTCATTAGCAGGAGCTGAGAAGGGGCTTCAGACCTCAGGCTGGCCTCTGACACTGTCTTCCTCCTCTAATTCCCACCTGTCACCACCTGGCCCCTGTGTGCATTTGAGTTTGAACTCTTGGCTAAGAGAGGCCTCCAGGATTATGAAGAAGCGGGTTAATTTTTGACTCTTGAAAACTTACAGCTGTGTAACTTAGGCATAGTTATCCAACCCCTCAAAGCCTAGCTTCTGATTTATGACATGGAACAGTTATAGCACTATCTCATGGATGTGACTTAGGGAATAAATGAGGTAAAGTAAGCGTGCTTAGCATAGACTGTGCCCATCATCACTGCCAATTAAATGGTGGGTGTCAATAGCAGTAATCGGAGGAGTATCCTGATGTTCCTGGACTCAGCTCAAGGATTGGCTCTAAATAGGATTTTTAGGAGTTTTGCCAAACAAATGGCCAGGTGGCCTCTTTTTTTCTTATCAGTGAGCACAGCTGACGACACACACACACACAAACACACACTCAACAAATAATCCACCAAAACCCAACAGTATCATCACCTGTAATTCCATTTTTTAAAAACACAATATTAAGCTAGTTTAGAGGAAGCAATGGGTAGCTCTGAGGGGAGATATTAGCGATGGCTGACCCTGAGCATCTGAAATGATTGCTCGTGGTGCATCCACTCACCCGAGTGTGAGGGATATTGATCATGAAGTGCCTGGGACAAATGGAGAGGGAGAGCTGGGGAGGGGACCCTCATTAGAATCAAGGAATCCTAGTGGGGCGAGGGTAAAACCTGTCAGCATTGAAGGCAAAAATTGGAAGTAATCAAAAACTTCTTTGGAAACCTCTGTAATCTCCGACAAAGCCCAGCCCAACCCTCTTCCGATCCAGTGTTGTGGTGAATCACCGTTTCTGTAGCCGAGCTCTAAACGCAGAGGAGTACTGGCATTGAGGGCCAAGTGGTAGCAAAAATAAAATAAAATAAAAAAATCTCTGAGCATTGGAGGAGCCTTCACTGACTTCATGCTCACTGAGGGGTGTTGGTTGAGTAGAATGGTGGTAGAATTTTTGCCTATTTATTTATCCAACCCTCCTTTCTCTTCTTCCAGAGATACATGCTCAAATTTATGTAATTTCAAACTATTCAGGAAACTTGGAGCTAATACTTGAAAAGTAAACAATACTTATTTTGTGGGTTTCTAGAAATTAAGATTAAAATAACAATATCACAAAAGCTTTCCAAAACTGGACCAGACTGCCCTGGGAGCTAATGAGCGCTCTGTCAGTGAAAGCAGATTTAGGAAAAATGAGGCTCCCTGTCCATGTCTCATCCAGAGGTTGTCTCGTTTGTCATTGTTGTTTGCTTCTTTGATTTTTGATCTAACAGAAACTGGCATAAGATAAAATAAGCACAAAATGGAATCGACTCTTGGAATTTACAGAAAAGCAAAGTAAACTATGGCTCAGAGAATTAGCAGGAGCCAAGAGGGCCTGCGTAGTTTAGCAATACAACCATAAACTTCACCAGGATGATGTGGCTAAGACATGGCTACTGGTGCTGGCACCACTGAACACTCACGTTGACCCCATCTAACCAAGAGCCACACATAGACCACCTTTCTATACAACAACTGGCAGGAGACAGGAGGCAGGAGGCGCACGTGTGGCTTTCTGAGTGGAAGGACCATCTAGACACATTTAGTTAGCTTTATACTCCAGCAATCAACTTACTAGATGAAAGACAGTCCCTGGAAAAATGTCAGCAAAACAAATATCCATCGAAGTCAGGAATGTTATCTATTGCTGACTTGCTGAAGAGGGTGGGGCATGAAACAAGATAGTTTTATAAGTGCCTTCCTTTTTTCAAAACGTTGTGGGCTACCGAGTCATTGCAACCCAAGGGAAAATATTTTATTGTACAAATATTCATGAATTTTAGGGAGGAAGTTTTATTATGCAAAGGCAAAATCCTCATTGCTCTGGCTTTATTTTCATTGACTAGATTTACCTGGTTTTCACCTATTACCTTAGTCCAGGATCTGCTATATTCTTGTTTCAGGTTATTTGTTTACAAGGGACAGGAAATATCTCCAAGTAGTTCAAGCTAAAAGGAATGACTTATTCCAAGAAAGAGAAGGAAGGTAGAACCAAGGTGTGGATGTACCTAAGAATCAATGGAGAGCACTTTCTGCCTCCTATGCCTTCTTTTTCCTCCTTGCTATATAGGTAGACTTTATCTAGGTGACAAACAGAATAATGCACTTTTGAATTCTCAAGTTCACATCACGAATATGACCAGAGTAGATGTAAGTGTGAGGTGGGTCTGTGAGATAGCCTGCTGTGGATAGGCTATACCAACCATAACGTATTTTTCCAGCCTTTACAAATGGCAGAGTCATTGTGAGGAAGGAACTGGCTGCCATTCAGGTGCCACATCTAGTACTGAGCCCTTCCTAAGATGTGCTGTTCAGTCTTATCGATGTCACACATGACGTCGATTTGCAGATACTAATGGCAACAAATGCATTGTCACAATAATTGAAGAGTCATTCTCTTGTCTCCTGCTAAACTTCCAGTAAATCCATTAAAGTCACATAAATGTTGTCTTGTGATGCACAACTGAGCTAACAAGAAGAACAGGGCTTTGTTTCACAACTTGTTGCTCAAATTGTTGTGGCATTTGGGGTTTTCCCCATTAGAAAGGAAAGAACATCCTGTCTCAAAAATAGAGTAAGTTTTGGTGAAGAAATTGAAAATCTAGCGGGGCTACAAATCTCAATCATTCAATTTAAATTATTATTTAAAGCACTGCTTTAGGGATTTCATTGAGGTTAAAGCACTTTACAACGCAGCCCAGAAGCACTGCATTTTTGTTTCATTGAATGTTGAACAGGATTGCAGGGTTTCATAAAACCTTTTAGTGACTGTTGCTAATCCAAGCCACAGCATCAGCTTAGTTCTGCTGTGATAGGTAACCAGGATGCTCCACTCACCAAACCCTAGGTTCTGGCCTGGGACTGCATCTGCCTAGAGGAACCAGAGCCTGGAGCCAGGAGTGGGCCAGAGAAGCCCTGCTCTGGGGCTGGAGATTAGCAAGACGTGACTCTGAGGGCCAGGACACACTTTGCAGGCTTATGTCCTCTGCCACCTGGTAGTATTTCCACACCCCTAGAAGTCACCACGCACAGGGCGTAATTCAAGGTCTGAACTTAAGCATTTCTAATGCAGCGAACTGCATCGTTGAGGAAAAGACTGATGAATGCTTCCATACAATGTGGGGAGAAAATATTACAGCTAATATATTTTTTGTTTGTTTCAGAAAATGCAAGAGTGAAAAATAAGCTTTCAGCTCTGGGATGATAGAAATCCTCAGATTGGACGGCATGAAGTGGTCAGAAAATGACATCAGCCCAACCTCACGAGGCCCAATCAATAGACTCAACATGATGGCGTTTCTGAGAGCAGTGGCTTCTAAGGCATGGGTAAGACCCCAGCTCTGCCCCTACGCCTGACCTACTGTAGATTTTTTAACTTCCTCAAACTTCAGTTCTATATTTGTAGCAGGAATGTTACAGTAGTTCCTAATTTCAGAGTTTCCGGAAGAGTCTATGGATTGAGCTCTACCGTGAAAGTACAGAGATTTAGATGACTGGCGTAACTGATGTGTGAGACATTATTTTCACCGTAAAATTACTCCGTCTTTACTAGCAAGACTCCCAATGTCTCTAAATCTCACCAAGAAGCCTTTAGCCAGGGGTCCCTTCTGATGGCAGCCTATGTGAAGAGGCCACACCAAGCCTGGCAGAAGGTGAAAGTACCCCCAGGCCACGATTCTCATCAATTCCCGTTAATTCCCAGAGGTTTACATGGTGCTGTGTGGTGAGGGCTGCCCCCGTTCTGTCCAGTTTAATCCTGAAATGAAATTAAACACCTTCATTACATTACACACAAGCACACATATGCAGACACACAAACACACATACCCACACACAAACACACTTATGCCACACATACACAGACACACAAACACACATATACACGCACAGACACACACACATATACACCCACATACACACACAGACACACACATGCACACATACTCACACAGACCCGCAAACACACTTATGCACACACATACACAGACATGCACAAACACACATATACACACATACACACAGACACACACACATATACACACATACACACAGAAACACACAGACATATACACACAGACACATACACAAACACACATATGCACACACATACCCACACAGACACACAAACACACTTACACAAACACACGTATGCACACACATACACAGATACACACACGCATATACACACAGACACACATAAATACACACAAATATGCAAACACACACAGACACACATATACACACAATACATACACACAGACACACACAAATACGCACACAAACACACATGCACACACACACACAAACACATACACACATATGCACACATACATACACACACATGCACACACACAAACACACAGATTAACAAACACACATATGCACACACAGACACACAGACACATACACAAACACTTCTTTACCCCAAGTATTTCATGATTTCGGGAACTTTATTAAACGTTTAGACAGTAACATCTTCGGCTGAGATCCCCTGGAAATAGATGCTGAAGCCAGACCTTGAGCATCCAGAGTCCATTTGGGACACAAATTCACGATGACGTAAAGTATATTTATGAGCCATTTACTGCTGTGAGCAACTGGGACCCAATCCCGCTGAGCCCTTCCATGAGAAGGTGCAGGGCACAACTCTGAACTGTCGCCCGAGGGGTGAGGAAGCAGGGCACACGTCCTCCCGCTCCTGTTTGTCACTGGCCGAGGGCTGTCCCAAGGGGCGTCGACTCTGCAGTACTGCTCACTCAGCTGGGGCCCAGCACATACCTGCTGCCAAGTGAAGCCCTCAAGCTGATCTGGGCTAGCCCTGCCAGCTTCTTCTAAGGGGCTTGCCTTGCTGAAGCAATGGCCTTTCCATTTGGCTATGAGCCATTTCCTTTATTATTCCTCAGTTCTCTGGAGCAACTGATATTTTTTTCCTCTCATTCAAGCTTTGGAGGCTTAGCATCTGCAGTAAAACTTCCCAATAGGGGAAATACTGTATGGTTCTTGAAGCATGCATAGGAGTTCACAAGACAGGAAGTAAAACTCTAGCTTGACCCTCCAATCCTCTCAAAGTTAACCTTATAGATATAAGATATAGACTACATCATCACCTCCCAGAAAAGTGCGAAGTTTCAAAGAAGGTCCCTTATTCAAATTTTGTGGGTTTTTTTTGTTTGTTTGGTTGGTTGGTTTTTTTTTTTTTAGATGGAGTCTCACTCTGTTGCCCAGGCTGGAGTGCGGTGGTGCCATCTTGGCTCACTGCAACCTCTGCCTCCCGGGTTCAAGCGATTCTCCTGCCTCAGCCTCCTGAGTAGCTGGGATTACAGGAGCGTGCCACCATGCCCAGCTAATTTTTTTGTATTTTTAGTAGAGATGGAGTTTCACCATGTTGACCGGTGACTCACACCTGTAATCCCAGCACTTTGGGAGGCCGAGGCAGGCGGATCATGAGGTCAAGAGATTGGGACCCTCATTCAAGTTTACCCTTCTTTGGAGAATGGTCTGTGGTCTAGGGGCCTGCCTTCCCATCTAAAATATGCAGTAGGCTCTGAAGCACCAATTTGTGCACTTTCACAAGGATCCCTTCATTCCAAGTTGAAACTCCCACATGAGCTGAGATGCCTACATCAACAGTGCGCTATCCCTTCTCTTGGAGTTAATTCAAGTCTTAAAACATGAGCGCTCACATTAGACCTTGTTTGTTGTAGTATTTAGCCGAGGACAGGTTTCACTGGATTCTGGTGGGGGGAAAAGAGGAGAGTGAATCAAGTGACCACATCTGTGACATGGTCCCCAAGCTATAATTAGCAGTTTGGGCACCATATTTGGAGGGAGGCATGCTCTGGGGAGATAAAGGGGCACTCAGAGACACCCACTTGCCCCAACTCTGCAACTTTCTCTTCTGTGAAGAGAAAGGGAGAGTATTAGATGGCTTGGATTTACTCCCAACCTTTGGAGCACAGTAAATTTTCAACACATCCAGGTTGAAGGGATGTATTCAAGCAACTTATCTTACAACGTGTTAAAATGCTCCATGACCGTTTCTCCTGACAAATGATACAGAAGCTGCTTGCTTTTAAATTTTGCTTTTAGACTCAAATATAGATTCAGTCTTTTTTGAAGTAATGCAAAGGACAATATTGAACCTTTAATATAGGTTAAGTACTTTGCCTAGAACCTTAGATATTTTCTTTTGCTGAAACTATCCAATAGCCCTCTGAAGGTAAGCATATTACAGATGATAAACCTGGGTCTTAGACAGGTGAATTAAATCTCTAAGATCACAGAGCAGGTAAGAGGTCAGGCTTTATATTTAAGTCCTACAAATCTAGAGGCTGAAATCTTAACCGCTAGACGGTGCTAAGGCTGGATATGAATTAAAATAAATTCCTAATGCGCCTCTTCTCCCTACACCCTCTACCTACTCCCACAAAGAATCTAAGCAGGTTAGAGCTAATATGATTTGTGATTTTCCAGAAGGCAAATGATCCCATTCTTGAAGACATCAGTTTTAATTAATAGGTGCTCTTTTAAGAATTTATCAATCTTTCAAGATACTTCTTTTGGTTTCTGAAAGGTGATAAGAGATCTGGATAAGAACTGGAAGCATAATTCAATTAGAAATTTCATTCACAGGAAAGAGCCAATTATGATTATATTACAACAGCCTTCTTTGGCAGCTGTAGAGGAGAGAAACACAGATCTACAGGTTATATTCCTTGAAGCATTGTATTTGAGACTCTTACATATTTGTATCAAGTAGCATTTTAGATTGAATGTCAGATTTTTTTGCCTTTTCTTACCTTAACACACAATAAAACAAATGATCCACAAAGAATAAACTATTTAATCTGACATGTAAGGTTTTAAATATGCAAACATTTCAATATGTAATAAAGCAAGTAATAAATGAAGTTTGGTGTACTTTATAGATTTTTACAATGCTTTTGAAGAAAATTTGGTTAGAAACATTGTTTACTATTTAACCAATTACATTCTGGAACCTATTTTTTTGTTTGTTTGTTTTTTAGTGAATCCCAATTCAGAAATATTAACATCACCACAAATGTCACAGTGTCATTATAAAGACCGCACACTGTACATTGTTTTGAAGTATAATAGACTGAATTTAGAAGTGATGGAAATTGTTTTTTTAAGGCTTATGGAGTTTTCCTGTTTCTTCAGGGAATGAAGTTTTAATGAAATGGAGTTTGTATTGTTCACTTAGGGAGTATCTATCTATTACCCAGGACTTTTCTGAATTAGTTAGGAAAACGTGAAATACAGGAATAGACAAATCCTCAGATCCCAGGGGCTTAATCCAAAAGGTTAAGATAGCATCTAATTTGCTGTGGGTTAGAAAGGGAGATGCAACCATCACTCTGCTCTGCATAGTCACTCAGAGGCCCAAGCTCCTTCCATCACATGGCTCCACCATCCTGTATCCTGGCAGACCTCAGCTAGAACTTACACATCTGGCCAGTGCATGGGTAAGAGCACAGCTGGAGCACAGATTGATCACATGGGAGGATATTATGGTCCAAACCTGGGAGTAATAGGCATGACTCCTCACCCCAACTTCATTCATCAGACCCCAGTCACAAGGCCCACCGTACTACATTGGAGGATGGAAAATGCAGTCTAAATGAATACCCGGAACAAAAGGGAATCAGATTTTATGACCTATATCAATGTGAGCCACACATTCACTATATGTATTGATAGTACTCCATATTTAAACCCAACTCTGCAATACGGAATAGAAAAACAAACAAATAACCTACATCTCCCAGGCTTCCCGCAATAAGGATATTGCATTGGAGGTCTACTCTTAGGTTTGGTGATTTTCTAGGAGGCATCACAGGACTCAGCATATAAGTTTTACCTCCAGCTATGATTTATTATGGATACAAGCAAAATCAGCAAGAGGAAACGGCCCATGTGGTGAAGTCCAGAGAAAACCAGGCTAAAATTTTGAAGAGTCTTCTCTCTTTGTAGTAAACACTTTTAATTCCTCCAGCCTCAAATTGTGACTACAAGACACTCAAGACACTCTTCGTTCCCCCAGCCTCAAATCATGACTACACACTTGAAATATTATCTACGCTAGTTCCATTGGAAATTCAATGCCCAGGGCTTGTATTGGAAGCCAGTTACATAGGACCCCTCTGCCCGGCATGCAGCAAAATTCCAGACTCCTAGAAGGAAAGCAGCAATTCAGCAAGTGAAGCAGACATTTTTCCTGACTCCTTCATGGACGGGAACTGGAGTGTGGGTGCTGGAGCTAGCTGGTCACTTCGGTGACAGCAGGGACAAACTTCACTTACTCAAACCCATTGCTTCAACCCCTTATGAGAGGCAGCATGCAGGTGAGTGGGCGCAGGAGGTGGGGTGAGTGCCTTTGGGCACCAGCAGGAACAAAACTCCATGCAGGGCCTGCGGCAGTATCTAGGGGGATACCCACCACCCTCGAAGCCCTGGAGGGCGTGTGTTACAGTGCTCTCTTTTGGCCTTGCTGTCCATGGATGGCTTAAGTGTTAAACAGTTCAGTGGGCCCTCTGCCTTTTCACATGAAGTGGTTGCTCTCCACCAGCAAGGCCAGAGAGTCACTGTGACAGCCTTTAGCATTCACATCCGTGGCAGCCAAGCTCTTATTCAGTGTCCAGGAAAAATCAGGTCGCATGAATGAACTGAAGGGTGGTGAATGGGGAGGATTTATTGTTGATGAAAGTGGCTCTCAGGAAGGAGAGCTGGAAAGGGGATGGAGTGGGAAGGTGTTCCTCCCCCAGACTCCGTTCAGAAGCAATGCCGTCAGGCAATCCCTCTGAAGTCAAGCTGCTTCTCTCCATCATCAAATTGTAGTCTCCAACGTCCAGCTGCTTATCCTCTTCTCCTCCACTCTCTGCAGGTGGAACCTGGGGTTTTTATGGCACAGGATATGGGGTGGGGCAGGCCATGGGTGGTTTTGGAAAAGGCAACATTCAAGCACATGGAAGCCAGTTACATAGGAACCCTCTGCCCGGCGCGCAGCAAAATTCCAGACTCCTGGAAGGAAAGCAGGAATTCAGCAAGTGAAGCAGAACATTTTCCCTGTCCCCTTCATGGACAGGAACTGGAGTGTGGGCGCTGGAGCTAGTTGGCCACTTCGGTGACGGCAGAGGCAAACTTCACTTACTCACTTCACTTACTTCACTAAAAATAGGAATGCATCTTCTCATTTTGGCCCACAGTTCCAGGCTTGAGAGTGGGGCCCTTGCCAGAGACCTGCCCTTTTCTGCCCAGAATTTCCCTGTCTAGTGTCTCTATCACGAGGACCATGTTGTTTAGGCAAGGTAAGCCCCTTGTATCAGTTTTGAGAATGTGAGTACCTACCCAAAATCCAGGTTACCAGATGCCAGCCAATGGAGAAGCATCTCGAGCCGCCATCTCTAAGGATAGTGTAACTGCCCAAAGGGTCCACTTTGCCCGCTACCTAGACAGAGCTGATTTATCAAAACAGGGGAATTCCAGTAGAGAAAGGGTAATTCACACAGACCTGGCTATGTGGGAGGCTGGAGCTTTATTATTACTCAAATCAGTCTCCCTGAGCATTCGTGGATCAGAGTTTTTAAGGATAACTTCGTGGGCGAGAGGAAGTCAGTGAGTCAAGAATGCCAATTGGTTTGGTCAGAGATGAAATCATACGGAGTTGAAGCTGTCCTCTTGTGCTGAGTCAGTTCCTGGGTGGGAGCCACAATATCAGATGAGCCAGTTTATTGACTTGAGTGGTGCCAGCTGATCCATCACGTATAGGGTCTGCAAAATACCTCAAGCACTGGTCTTAGGTTTCACAATAGTGATGTTATCCCCAGGAGCAATTCGGGTAGGGTCAGAATCTTGTGGCCTCTAGCTGCATGACTCCTAAACCGTAACTTCTCATCTTTTGGCTAATGTGTGAGTCCTAAAAAGGCAGTCTAGTCCCCAGGTAAGAAGGGGGTTTGTTTTGGGAAAGGGCCGTTATTGTCTTCGGTTTATACTATAAACTATAAACAAAGTTCCTCCCAGAGTTAGTTCAGCCTATGCTTAGGAATGAACAAGGACAGCTTGGAGGCTAGAAGTAAGATGGACTTGGTCAGGTCTGATTTCTTTCACTGTTTCAGTTATAATTTTGCAATGGCAGTTTCAATAGCAGTCTTGGGCCTGCTGTGTCTACTTTTTCTTCACAGATTAGCATATAATTTTGAGTGGCAAGTGTGAGAGTTTTTAATATGGAAGCTGAATACATGAGAAAATTGATGGCCATCATCTCCTTGCTCATTTTTTTTTTTTTTTTGATGTGAGTGGTAGAAACATGGCAACCCTTCTGAGACTAGCTGGGGAAGCTTCTCAGGTATGGCAGAGCCTATGAGAGTCTCTTCCCTGGATGACACAGAATCCTTTTCAGAATTGTCCTTAAAAGCTCAGATTAGAACCCCTTCCTCACTTCTGACAATTCTCTTTGATGTTCACTAATAACTCCCTTCCTACAGATATTAAGTGAATCTTGTGAATGAATGACTCTTGTTTCCTGCAATGAGAATTATATTAAATATTATAGCCACATTGCTTTGGAATAAAACAAAAAAGCATCAAATCACAAACAAGAAATCCCAAGGAATTGCAAATATAAAGAAATTGCACACATGTAAATATAAAAATTTATTTTGCCACTTCTATTTTAACATTGTGGGATTTTATTTTTAAAAACTTTGATACTTGGCTTCTCTTGAAAAATCAGACTGGTTGGCAACTTTAAGGAAAAAAGCAGAGTTTGACAATAAATATAAGAGAATTTATGAGGCATATTCATTAATCACTGATTATTCATCAGCTAAGATAATTAATTGATTATTGAATGCCTACCATTCCCAGACCCTGGTCTAGGAGCAGAGGTTAAAGTAAAGATAACAAGAGGGGCGGATGCTCCACTTGTATATATACATATACACATATATATGTATATATAAAAAAAAGAGCCTGGGGCCCTGAATGACTCTATGGAGCAGCAGCTGCAGCCCCCACTGTGCTGCCCTGGACAGTGAAATGCTGAGATCTTTACTGTGTTATGCTCCTGAGATAATACCAACCCCTAAGCCCAAGCACTGACATGTGATTTCAGTACCCAAATTGGCATTTTTATTTAGGATTCAACTGGTGTCAATGTATTTTGAAGCAGAGGTTGTACTGCGAAGTATGTCTAGATGCAACAAGTAGACCCTCTAGATAAAAAACTGGTAAAAAAAATTTTTTTGAATTATTAGCCAATAATTAAAAATTCAGAAATTTTACATGAAGTGTAAATGTCCAGTATCTTCTTATGGTTGGCAGAATTTTATTCTCTCTGACCTTTTCCCTCCACATCTCACCTTTGAAGATGTCACCTTATATGGCAAGAATGACTTTGCAGATATAATTAAGATTACTAATTAGGTGACCATGGAATAGGGAGATAACTCTGGCTTATCCAGGTGGGCTCAATGTCATCACAAAAGCCCTTAAAAGCAGAGCTTTCTCTTGGCTGAGAGAGGATGAGGAAATCAGAGAGATTTGAAGCATGAGAAGGATTAAATGTGTCCTTGCTGGCTTGAAGACGCAGAGGTCACGTGGAAAACATGAGAAGGACATTAATTTTGCCAACATCCTGAATAAGCTGGGAAGAAGATTCTTCCCCAAGGCCTTCAGTGAGGAATGCCACCTTGCCAATACCTTGATTTCTGCCTTGCAAGACCCTAGAGGGAGAACCCAGCCTGGCAAAGCTGTTGACCTGGTGAAACTGTGAGATAATGAAATGAGCATTTTAACCAATGACATATATGGTAATTTCTCAGGCAGGAATGGAAAACTGACACACTTCTGAAAGCACGGGTACAATGGGGCCCAGGTGCCCACCTGGAAAGTGTTGAGTGGAGCCAAGTGTAGGTACTGACTTAAGGTGAGTCAGAGGTCGCCAGGTTATCCCTTCCCCTGGCCAGCCTCATCATTTCTGTTACCTGCCTGCTCTTTGAGCTTGGAACCTCTGCCCCAATATGTCAAGGAGTAACTATCCATTCCGTGTTTCTGAAACTAGCCCTCTGAAAAATGATCGCAGGTCCCTTTTTTTCCTCAACTTATCAAAGAGGTCAAAGCATCTCTAGAGTTTGTGAAATTGGCCTCTATTCTCCTCTTTTCCATTCCCGTATTCCTTCACATTTTCTCCTTCAAAAGCCCGAGATGACTAAATATATATATTTTCAATTTTCTGAAAGAAGTTTTGCTTTGATAAGGACCCAGATTCCTTTATGTAATTTTGCTCTGTGTGTTCATAAAGAACCAAAATTTGGGGATCGGTGACTAAAGAGTGGGTCGACATGCTGGAATTATAAATATCTTCCACCTGGATCCCATATGAAACCTCCACCAACAGTCTCTTGGTGCATAAAATGCAATCCATTTTTAATTGTCTTTAGAAACAGGTTTTTTTTTGGTGTATCAGTTTAGAACAATCTTGCTTTTCAAAGCCCACTGATCCAAATAATTCACAATCCAACTAAAATACTTTCTGAAATAATGAGATTTTTAAAGGAGGAGATATAGTTGCAAAGTACCAATGGGACAGTGTGATCTGGCTCACAGACAGTGCATTTTATTTTACAAGTAGGATCTCTTGGGGCAGAATATGTTTCTAAGGTGATTGTCACTGTTAGCTTATATCCTTTGTGTTACTTAGGTTGAAGTTCAATTAAAACCTAAATATCACTCCTGATACCCCTTCCTTTCTTTTTTCCTTTCTTCCCTTCCATCTTTCTTTCCTTTCTTTCTTTAGCAATTTTATTCCAATAACTCCTCATGTTTCAGAGATTAAGATAAATACCTATATGGTCCTGAATTCATGAAATTAATCAAGTAACTATCTTTCTTTAGCAAGTGACAAAGACCAAAACACATAAAAAAGCAATTGCATCTAGCTTAAACAAAATGAAACGCTTTTAGCTCATGCACTGACGCATCTGTTGAAGTTTGATCTGCAGGCATAGCTGTATCCAGGGGCTCATCAGACGGTGTTGCTCTTGCTCTGTGTCCCAGGTTTCCCTCTGCTGTGTCAGTTCCGTCATCATTCAGGGGTTTCTTTTACAGAGGCAACATGAGCTTCTGCAAATCCAGGCTGATCTCTTTCTAGGTCTACATCCGGTCAAACAAAAAGCTTCTTTTCAGAAGCATCCATCAAATTCTGGGTTCACTTTCATTGCATCATGGATCAGCACTGTCAGGCTCAGTCTTTCTTGGGTCTTTAGTTGATAGTGTCTGTCCGTAGTCTGAGTATTATCATTACTTGCAGATCATCTGCGATGATGTGATATTAATTCATAATTATATATAACCCATGAGCCATTTAGCAAGAGGGTACGGGAAGGTAGTAAAAAACTGAAACTGAACTTCAGAGTTGGATTCTGACAAGTGGACAGCCAAGGTCAGCTTTCCCCAATGTGTAACTGATAACATTTGAGTTTTATGGTAAGTGGTTGGTGAAATGAGACACTTGGCAAGCCTCCCCCATTCAGGACTTTGTAAGAACTAGCAGGACCTCATCTGGCACAGTCAGAAAGTTGTTATTCCTGATTCTAAATGGAATGGAAAAGTCAAATAGCTGCTCAACAAATACCTTCCAACTTGCTCTCTCCTGAGATAGATATGCTGTGTTCACTGCAAGAAACTGGAAATACTTTCAGGTTTGTATGTCAGAGGGCTCATTAGTCCCAAGCCACCAATGCCACCCTCTATGGGATTTCTATAGTCATGTGTTTATCCATGAAGTAATGATGGGGGCTGCTGAGAACCCCCAAGGAGATTCTGTGCTCTCATTTCCTATTCTTGAGTCACACAGTTTGCCCTAAATCCTCAGTGGCATCTCATCTGAAACACCAACTGGAGCGAGGGCTCTTTCCCTAAACATACTCGGGAAGCCATGATTTAAAGGAGGAGGAATGGATATTAGGTATTCAAAACATCACTATATCAAATGAATTGTACTAGCAACATTATAGATGTTATAATGAAGGCATGAATTTCCTTTAGGATTGGGTACAGAGAATTTTGTACCCAAAAGTAACTTTGGCAGAGAGTGTCACAGAGGCCTCCTAGAGGAGGCCAGGTTGAGATGCATCTCCATGGACACATCTCCAGGGTTGAGATGTGACTCAGAGTGAACAAGTATATGTGGGATGAAGACTGTGAGAAGGACCTTTCTCCAGGTGAGTTTGCAATGAGTTGCATGGAACAGCAGCTCAGTGATTCTTTTACAACCAAGACATTTAGTATTACAAAAGAAATGTAGAGGTAGGGAATCTCCAGGAGTTGTTCAGTGAGTCAATGATGCCACTGAATAAATACATGGTCTTTGCATCTTTTCATCCAACTTTGCTTCTGTCAGTCTAATCTAAAGATTAAATTAGACTAATCTAATTTAGACTAATCTAAAGATTAGATTAGTCTTCTCATGGTCTCAAGAAGGCTGCTGCAGCTCCAGGCAATGCTTTCTCACCCAACCAGGTCCAAAACAGGAAGGAGGAGGATAAGGAGGAATGTTCTTTTAGGGTGCCTCTTTTTATCTGGGGGAAAAATGTTTCAGAATCATACTTGCAGGTGTCTGCTTAGATTTCCTTGGCTACGACTGTGTCATATGCCCATTTTTAACTATAGAAGTGGCTGGAAGAATGAGTATCTGGCATTTAGAGCCTCACTACAGGAAGGAGGGCTGTGCTTATGAGGAAGCTATAGGGATAGCTTCCGCCACAGCAATTCAGGGAAGAGAGAAAAAAGAACGTGGCCAGGTGTGGTGGCTTATGCCTGTAATCCCAGCACATTGGGAGGTTGAGGCGGGCAGATCACGAGGTCAAGAGATCGAGACCATCTTGACCAACATGGTGAAATCCTGTCTGTACTAAAAATACAAAAATTAGTTGGGCGTGGTGGCAGGTGCCTATAGTCCCAGCTATTCGGGAGGCTGAGGCAGGAGAATTACTTGAATCTGGGAGGCAGAGGTTGCAGCGAGCCGAGATTGTGCCACTGCACTCCAGCCTGGTGACAGAGCAAGACTCTGTCTCAAAAAAAAAAAAAAAAGAAAAGAAAAGAAAAGAAAAAAAAAAAAAAGAACATGTCCAGGTAAATCTGCTGTTTTTACCTCTTTGGCATTTTTTTTTCTTTCAGGCTTTGTTTTAAACCAACATAATGCATTTACAAAAGCACAGCCAAAGGAGAATTTATTTTTATTAATTCAAATAATTTCAACAAATATTTATTAAGCACTAGTGATGCTCGATTGTAGGAAGAGGTGGTAGGTTGGGAAAAGCCTGGAGTTGAGGAAAGAACCCAGCTTGTTTGTTGAATGTTGAGGAGTGTGGTTTGGATGGAGCATTTGATACTGGTCTGGGAGAATCAAGAGATAAGAGATATGGCTGGGAAGGCTTGTTGGGAACATATTATGAAGGGTCCTTCTGGTTTCCAGGCTGTGGGGCTTGTATTTTATTTTTTGTTGCACAGGGAGTAAAGATATGACATGACTGAGGCATCATTTAAACAGGTCCCCTGGTCATGTGTGATGGATTTGCTTATGGTGATTGTCTGGGAGATACAGCTTTCCTTGAATGTCCATGTGTATGCATGTCTGTCTTTGAATAATGCATATGTGTGTCTATGTATGCATATGTGTGTTGTATGTGTGTGTTCCTGAGTCAGGGCACAGTGGCCTTTAAGTTCAGATTAATCATGAACATGTCAGTCCAATAGCTTATCATGATTCATTACTCTCATGTTAGCCAGCTGAGCTGCCCATTAATTGCTTTTTGTCTGACTATATATTCATACCTTTAGGTGTTAAGGCTCTGTTCAAATCTTAATGTTCATGTTTTTCAAATGCTTCTCTCTCTCTCTGTATGTGTGTGTGTGTCTGTGTGTGTGTGCCCACACACACACAGACACACACACACACAATGGAGGAAAATTAGACCTTATTAATATTTAAAGCTTATCATGTTTTTTCAATGTTCCCAAACTAATCTCAGTTTAACAGTCCCAATTAGCCTTTTATTGAAAACCAATAATCTTTCTTATTTTCCTATCTATATTATTTTACATAATCCCAGATTATAAAATTTCACAGCCACATAAATGCAAGGGAGGAATTAAAGTAATCCACGTGTCCCCACTTTATGAAATCATACCTGAGTCTAGGTACATTTGTATTTTTCAGAAGTGTCCCCTTTTTGTGGAATTTTATTATTTTATAAAGGTTTTAAATTAAACACAAGTCTAAATATAATTTTATATTTTATCATTCTCAGTATCTCCAGGTGTGTAAATTTATATTGAAGAAAATATTATCTTTCTTGTCTCACGTTTTGGTGTGGTCAGCTCATTCATTCTAGCATTTTTGTGCCTGCTTCTCACACATGAAACCAGGTGTCAGGCCAGTTCTCCTGCAACCTGGAATCTGGAAAAAGCTGATTTGAAACATTATCTTGGTAGAAATCTTAAACCATCCTAAATTGTCTGCAAATTCCCGAGGCTTATGTTCTAGTGGTTGCTGCTGCTCCTGGGGTCTTGCTCTGAAGTTTCCTGTCTCTGGTTTGGACCGCATAAATCAAAGCATGAAGCTCAGCCTTTCCCTTAATTTTCCCAAATGAATGATCACAGAAAGAATATGTGAGTACAGCAGATCCCACTGGAGATGGGAGGTGTTTGGAAGAGAAAAGAGGATTGCAACCCGAGCCAGCTCAACAGTTGCATGAGGCAGGCCTGTCCTTGAAGCTATTTAAGTAGTTTTTCTGCTGTTCAGTTATAAGGAGGCTTCCTCAGGCCCCTGACCTCCACTGTCTGTTAATATTCCACTCTCTACACCAAGCTGCAGGCCTCTAGCAGCAGCTGTACACTGCACAAATGTGGGTGGATTGGGACAGTGGGTCTGGCATCTTGGCTGCCCTGTGCAGTCCGAGCTGGGTGTCTTGGCCTGATGCTGTCCTTTAGGACAATAAGGTGTCTCCCAGATGCACAGAAAGGGGCCATGTGTGTTGGCTGCAGCCTGCTCCTCCACTGCCCTGCTCTGCTCAGCCTTCTCATCTACCAGCTTTTCTCAGGAGCATGTGAAAACCATTCACTTCATTTACTCAAGAAGCACAGCTAAGCAGTGTGTTTGGTTGTTTATCCCTCTGCTAACATCAGCACTCCCAGGTTCTCTCCAAATTTCCTGTTCAGGTTTTTTTGCTGAAAGGAAAGTTTCCTACCTTAGGGGAGCATGATAGAAATTTCTGTTTCAGATAATAGAAATTTCTGGGGTTTGTGTTAGTTTTGTCGCATTGCTTATTTTTCTTCTCTTATTTTCCTTCCTTCTTCCTTCTTTGGAGTTATGTTTTTTTCATTCTTCCTTTTATTCCCCAGTCATTTGTGGGAACTTCAACAGTCTACTTCTATTCTTCAAAATAGCAATGATTTTACTTTAGGTCTAATGGCTCATGAGTGCAACTGATGAGTTGGCATTTCTCTGGTAAGAGACATTACGGTCTCACTGAAGTTTGCATGTCTGTGTCTGCATGGTCATGTATGTTGAAGTTTGCATGTCTGTGTCTGCATGTGCATGCATGTTGAAGTTTGCATGTCTGTGTCTGCATGTTCATGTATGTTGAAGTTTGCATGTCTCTGTCTGCATGTTTATGTATGTTTATGTGTGTGTGTGCATGTGTTGCTTCTGCTGTGCTCAGTGCTTGCCCCTCATTGTTTCTGAGGAACTTTTGGAGGTTTTTAAGTGCACTTATGTCCATGCTGCTTCTTGATCACACCAGCTGTGCCCAGCCCAGAGCAGCATCCCAATATGCTTTCAGCAACACCATCACAGACTGATGGATACACTTAAACGAAAAACACAAAAACAAAATTCTGGATCCCCAAGCCCTGGCCAGGGTCTCACTAACCATCCAAAAAATGAAATTAAAACCACAATGAGGTATCATCTTACACCAGTCAGAATAACTACTATTAAAAGATAAAAAATAGCTGATGTTGACAAGGATACAGAGAAAAGGGAATGCTCATACACTGCTGGTGGGAATGTAAATTAGTACAACTACTATAGAAAACAGTGTGGAGATTTTTTGAAGAACTAAAAATAAAACTACCATTTGATCCTGTAATCCCAGTACTGGGCGTCCACCCAAAGGAAAAGATATCATTATATCAAAAAGACACCTATTCATAACAACAGATATGAAATCAACCTAAGTGGCTATCAATGGAGGACTGGATGAAGAAAATATGATGTATATACACAATGGAATACTATTCAGCCACAAAAAGGAGTCATGTCTTCTGCAGCAATACAGATGGAACTGGAGGCCATTACTTTAAGTGAAAAAACTCATAAACAATGAGACAAATACTGTATGCTCTTATAATTAGGAGCTAAATAATGTTTTCATGTAGATATAGAGTGTGGAATGATAGACAATAGAGAGCCAGAAGGATGAGGAGTGGGAAGGATTGGATAAAAACTTACTTAATGGAACACAGGACCTTATTTGGGTGATGGATACACTAAAAGCCCATATTTCACCACTACACAATGTATCCATGGAACAAAATTACACTTGGAGCCCATAAATTTATACAAGTGAAAAAAAAAGAAAAAAGCAAACAAAAAGAACCCCCCAAAAAGCCCACCTTCGTATAGACACCTCCTTTGAAGCAAACAATTCGACTTAGAATTTAAATCCATTGCAGAAAACATCAGACCAAACTGTTTGTAGAAATATCCCTTTTAATGATTTCTCTGCAATTTCTAGCCATAAGGCAGGGGAGGTTTCCACTACTTTGCCTATCTTTATACCTCATGATTTTTAGCATAAAGATTCTTAAGTGTTTTGCCGTGTCCGATTGCTCTACCGAGAATAATTTTCTCTATCATGGAATGCTTGTACATGGCTTTTTCATCAATTCTTTTGAGATCCAGCATTATTAATTTAGGTTTGTGCTCTTAATTTTATATCTTCATATGAAATACTAATATCTTATTACTTGTGATAGTTTTGAAATTGATTTTGTTGTCTAGAGTCCAGGCTACAAAACCATCAACAAATTTTAGGATTCAATTTTGTGATTTGCATTCTCATATTTGAGGCATCTGTGTAGTGGTAAAGCTTCACTTGCATTAACCAAGAAGGGAAAGAAATTACGAGAGGAAGATAACTTTAACGGCATCACCTGACCCAGGCAGGGCTGCCATGGAGAGCTGTTCCTGCTGTGCCCTGGTCAACACTAAGAAGCGAAGCATCTTCATATCATCGTGTATGTAAATGGGACTTTCTTATTTGAGTAGTGCACGACCTGTACAACTGTATATGGTAAACTTTCCAACACTTCTATTTCAGGCCTTTTGTCATCATGCCTTAATTATTTCCTCAATTGGAAAGCCCTTATGCATCAAATAAACACGCAAATACTGAGAGCTTACCTTGCAATAGTCCTTGTGTTGGAACCTAGCAACACAGCCATTAACGCAGCATTGCTTCTGGCTTCAAAGTTTCCCAATCTTCTGGGAGAGGCAGATTCGTCAACAGAATTTTTCCATTAAATAGGAGCAAATGAATGACACTTTCGGAGCTTAGACTAAGGTACCAAGAAGTGATAGATGACGGATTCCTCAACTGGCCTGAGAGACAGGCCACATGCACATTTCAAAGGCAATTTCTGGTAACCAGAGAGATGACTCAGTCTTGTTGAAGGTAAGTAGTAAGTCTTGATGGGGCAATGGAGGACTGGGAAGGAGCATTCATTTAGATAGAGCTGGCCTCCAAGTTTCACCCCACCCCAAGCCGAAAGTGTAGGGTATCCAGCCCCAAAGCCCCAGTTGGTGAGAGGAGCTGTGCCAGGAATTGTACCTGTGCCAGGAGCTGTACACGTGTCTCTTGCAATGAGGCAGGCACGGAGGACAGGTCCCGACTCACACTGAGAAAGCTAACGCAGCCTGTGGTGGCTGAGCAGGGGGCTGTACCTGGGAGAGAAGGGGAGAGAACGCGCCCCTCTGTTGTAAGCTAAAGTTGTGCTACTCCTGGGACCCATCATAGATTCCACCTTAGGGGTAGGAATACTGGCCTGGGGACATTTTTGAATGAAATCCTGCCGAAGGGGTAGAATGCCTGGGCAAGAGGGGCTCACTACTTTTCTGGAAACAGAGCTAAGGGGGTTTAGATAAAGTCAGCAGACGGAAGGCCTTGCCTGATTCAAAAGAATTTGAGTGAGAGGTCTAGAAAGAAAGCCCTGAGAGTCGACGGAAGTGTCCCGTAAATAAACATTTGGCTTTGAAGATCTCCTTGGCCCAGGGGATATGCAGCCATCTCACTGCTGCAGCAATGAAGTAAGCATTGGCTTACCATCTCTCCTCGCTTAGCAAGCTGATTCTGGAGGGGTGTCCTTAGTAGAGAAAGAAAACAGGTGTAGTGTGTTTGAAGATGTAAGGACTGACATGGAAAAGACAAGGCCACAAGACACAGTATCTCATAATGGGCTTTGCGTGAAAGGTGCTGTGACAGATTGCATGTGGGACAAGGCCTTCCATCACGACATCTTACAGGAACAGTTGCCTGGGATGCCACCACCCAGGAGGAGAAGAAGAAGACAAGGAAACTCCTTGGGGAGAGGGGACTAGTGAGGGGGCTGATGAGTCTGAAAGATGTTGCTCAGCCACAGGACGGGGAGCCTCTGTGTCGGAGAGGCTGAAGGAGGGCAGTGACTTAGGGTCTTTTACAGTGCCAGAGTTTCTTTGATCTACTGTTGGCAGTTACTGAGTGCACTTTTGTGGGATATGCAGGGCAGGACTTCTCTAAACGGCTAAACGGATGCCCACTTGGACTATACTTAAAGCAATTGGATATGGGAGGATTTGAGTCTGGTGCTGCGGGGCTTCGGGCTCACGGTCCTAGCCTCCTGTGAGCAACATGGGGATCAACATGCGGTGGCCGTCCTTGTTCATTTGAATGGCATGTTACGAGGTCCTGGCCGTAGTCTCTGACAGGCTTCATGGGAGTGGTGTTTGATGATCGGGGACTGGGAATGTTAGAGATAATAACTTGACTCTTACGTTTGTCACTTAAAATGAACATAAAACCTGGCATTCTCTGTG
This sequence comes from Homo sapiens, assembly GCF_000001405.40. Taxonomy (NCBI): domain Eukaryota; kingdom Metazoa; phylum Chordata; class Mammalia; order Primates; family Hominidae; genus Homo; species Homo sapiens. The sequence continues at coordinate 127,219,570 of NC_000012.12, read as the reverse complement.
AGTGTATTCTTTAGGATAAGGCCTGGCTGGGAATAAACCCAAATGCATTCTTGGGACCAAAGTTTGTTGGAGGGCAGAGGGGAGGGCAGGCCCAGGAGTTAGGGGATGTGAGGCTGAAAGGGTCCCTGTTAAACTAGGTTATTAGGCAGAGAATAAGTGACCGTCTCATCTAGGAAGGGGTTATGCCTTCTAAACCTCCCCTATGGGAGTCAGCCCTGCTTCCTCAATCCCAGAGGTACCTGGTGCCATTTTTTTCTGAGCCTTTGCAGGTGGAATGGGCTAAATTAAATTTCTTCTTGGATTGCCTCAATTTTGACATATGATTTAGCTTCCAAAATGTATCTCTCTCCATATCTTCTTCTAATCCCTCTGTTCTTACACATTTGGATCCAAAAGAAAAATAAAATTTATGCACTTTTCCCTCCTTTTAGGGGCATTTTTGGAGGAAGTGAAAAAATCCTGAGTCACTAATTCTTCACATTTTCGTCTGAATAATTTTATTATGTGAGTGACGTTAAAATAGTGTGCACCATGTAAATGTCTAAATAACAGTTAATCCGGTTTGCAGGTATTATCAGATTCTCTTTTCGTCATGTCAACATCTCTACATTTTACTGCTGTCTAATCAGAAAAAGTCAATGTTGTGGATCTCTGTGACAATAAACGTTTCCATGCTCTTTCTCTCTCTTCAAACTACAAAACCAGGATTTTAGTGAAAGCTGTGGTTTACATGGAGACAGAAAAAGAACCAGGGGTTGGTGGGGGGCGATGGGAGAAAGAACAAACAAAATAAATTCCAAGTGCTTATTAATTTCTGCCTACACTTTCTAGGCATGTGTTCCCTGTACTCTTTGGTCTGCTGAAGGAATAAGCAGAGCCACCTCAGACAAGGCACTCACCAGCCTTTGCTCCCTGGAGGCTAAACTACAGAGCAAAGAGTCACCAAAAATGCCGTGTATCTTTCTATCCAAAGTCAAGTTTGCTGGGTGAGTTTCTGTGACAAATAATCATAATTAATCCCAAAGTAATGAGAGGCGAAGACAGCTGAGCTTCTGGGTCGGCTGGGGACTTGGAGAACTTTTGTGTCTAGCTAAAGGATTGTAAATGCACCAATCAGCACTCTGTGTCTAGCTAAAGGATTGTAAACGCACCAATCAGCACTCTGTAAAATGGACCAATCAGCACTCTGTAAAATGGACCATTCAGCACTCTGTAAAATGGACCAATCAGCAGGATGTGGGCGGGGCTAAATCAGGGAATAAAAGCTGGCCACCTGCACCAGCAGTGGCAACCCAGGTCCCCTTTGACGCCCTGGAAGATTTGTTCTTTCCCTCTTCACAATAAATCTTGCTGCTGCTCACTCTTTGGGTCCTCACTACCTTTAAGAGCTGTAACATTCACTCCAAAGGTCTGCGGCTTCACTCCTGAAGTCAGCGAGACCACGAACCCACCAGAAGGAAGAAACTCTGGACACATCTGAACATCTGAAGGAACAGACTCTGCACACACCATCTTTAAGAGCTGTAACACTCACTGCAAGAGTCCGCGGCTTCATTCTTGAAGTCAGTGAGACCAAGAACCCACCAGAAGGAATAAATTCCAGACACGTTAACTTGCTAACAGCACACAATGATTAATGACTCTATGTTAAATAACAAATATTTGCATTGTCTATAGAGAGTATGATATGGTCACATAACAGGTAGCTATGAAGGTAATAGACGTGTTTAATTATTTACTTGTAGTAATAATATCACTATGTATATGCACATGAAAAACTCTTGTTGTACATCATAAATAAGTAAATGAAGAAATAACTGTGTGACTTGTCCAGAAAAGACACTTCATCTTCCCTTGACAACTCAAATGATTATTTATCTTTGCATCTTTCCTTTTATTATTTTATTGCTGTATTTGTTGTTACTTAATTCATCAAAAATTATACCCTGCAAACGTGAAAAATACACTACTGCAAGATAGTTGATTTTGTAAGATTTACAAATTTGACACAAAATTATTTTAATGTAAAGATTATAGGCTTTTCATTGACAAGATTAAAAGTAAAACATTATAGAAGAGGTATGTATTTCCCACTTCTTCCTTCCACTTCTCTCCCCTCTCCTTCTCTTCTTTTCTCTCTTCCCATACACTTTGGCGTTTAGTTTCTTTTCTGGAGCAAGTAAAAGCATAGATACAGAAAAGACCCAAAGAACAACAATCACTATTATATATAGTTAATTGACCCTTGTGTATTATAAACCTGCCACCATCTTTAACTTCTGTTTTAGTATTTGAATTTCCTAAAGTCACACATTGTTTCACATTGGAGTGAAACTTTATTTTCCTAAGAGCCACCCTTTTCCTCCCCTGGAAAGTCAAAACTTTCACTAATTCTTGCAGTGATTGCTATCTACTTCCCTAAAGGAAAAAAAAAAAGACTTATGGGGAATGCTGTATCGTAAAGAGAAGCTAATGAAATCTCAGAAAAAGAAGGCTGCTTGCCACCAATCTGAGGGGTGGGTAAATGTGAGACGAGCCATCCTCCAGAATGCGGTGAGGACCACAATGAGCTGTGTGTCTGGGATGGCAAACTTGAGGGTTTTTATACACCCTCATCCCAGGGTTGGTAAAATATAGACCAATCCTGCACATTGGGCTGAAATTTGTACATTTCATATGAATGCATAGAGTATTTCAGAGAGAGGTTTTAGCCCTGCTCACATTTCTGCTTTAGACAAGTAGCAGTAAATGTTTCAGAAGTTGAAATGATTTTCTACATATTGTAATGGTGGGGCCCCTGTCTGCCCTACAGCAATCTTACAATTTCAGAACTTTTTGTGGATAACAGAGTTAGCGTTTAGCTCACCTCAGGCTGTAGGTTTGTTCTGAAGTCACAATTCAGGGATTATTCTACAGTTAGAAATAAATCTAGTGAATTTGACATGTGTACGGAATCTGCCTGCCACACCTGTTTAAGTTTCCAATTGTTTTCAGTTAGAAACCTAGACCTGGGAAAGAGTCCTGCCTTCCTAGAATTTGTTTTCCGTTTACAAAGTTGCTCCGAAATGCCATTAGATCTTTAGTGCCATCTCCAACATTAGGGAAACAATGTGTGTCCATCGGGCCTCCATGTGGACAGTTCCACTTTTGCCTCCTTAGCCAGAACTCTGGGTCAACGGCTTTCAGATCGTGGGACTCCTGGACGGCTCTGATTTTCCAGCCTTTTGTCTCCTCCATCCTATTATCTTAACCTGGTGAGTCCATTTGGATTTTTTTTCCCCAAAGCCGCTGACCTAGTCGTATAAGAAATCGAAAGAGTTTTCACAAAATAGTCATCGACACAGGATGCTGGAACACAGGTTTTCTTCTTAAAATTTCTTTCTAAATTTTCTCTTTTTGTTATGAAAAAGAGAAAATGCTTGTGAGATGATGATTATAAGGGGATAGGAAGAGATTCGTTAAAGGATACAAAATTACAGATAGGAAGAATAAGTTCTAGTGTTCTATTCCACTATAGGATGACTACAGTTAACAATCTTTTATATAGTTTCAAATAGGTAGAAGGAGGATGTTGAACATTCCCAACACAAAGAAATGATAAATGATGGATATGCTAATTACCCTGATCTGATCACTATATATATCAAAACATCACTCATCATATGTACCCATAAATATGTATCATTATTTGCCAATTAAAAATACATTAAAATTTAAAAAGAAAACCTGGGTTCCAGCAATATTGAAATGGAATAATTCCATACTAATAAAAATGTATACTTTTAAATACCAAAACTTCATCACAACCAAGTTTTAATGGAAAGTCTGCCTAAAAGCAGTCCTCTTTCTTGTAATCTTAATACAGAGAGACTACTGGCTAACTTTCAGGTGTGTGCCAGAGACCCACCCCATTTGCACTGACTATTTCTCTGTGACCAATGTGGACTGCAGCGACCATTACCAGAGTTATTGGTTTAAGCCAGCATGTCCCCTTGTTAAATGACCCAAAAGGATAAGCTCTTTAAAGTTTCCCTTTTGATTTTGTGGTGTTCCTCCCATCTACTCTGTGATGTTACTCCCTACTCTTTTTTTCCCCGTCTCAGGCTCCATACCTTCTCTCTTATTTCCTATGAACACCTTTCGCCTGGGAGACCATACAACTTTTAGACTACAGGCTTCCTGAAAGAAGAGACCTTGTCTATCTTGCTCACCTGGCACCTTGTTAGTACAGCGTCAGGGCATTAATTGATTCATACATATTTGTTGAACGAATAACCAAACTTATTGCAATTGCATTGTAAAATAAGTGTCCATTGGTTCAAGAATTAGAAGAGATTTCCTTTGTTGAAAGTGCAGGCGTTTAAAGGATAAGCTCAGTGGGTCTACATGGGACTTAAGAAGCTTTAAAATTACCTCTTCAATGTTGCTGTTGTCTGGAGGGATGCACTATTGCACCTCATCAACACTACTACTTTGTCTCACAGTTCTGTCTTCCTACTGCTCTTGGGAAATTCTCCTTTTTCTTCCTCCATCTATGCAACTCTCTATAGGACTTTATGTCAATATTCAGAAGATCCCCAAACAACTATTTTTTTTAATGTTTCATTTTGTGGTCAGACTTTGAAGAAATCCTTACAGAAATATAATCACCAGAGGTTCATGATTTTATTGTCTTTTTTTATTTGTTTGCTTTACAGAACTTGATGTTAGTATCCATTCTCACATTTTAAAAATATTATATTGTCTTAGTGGAAACTAGTTATATCTATTAAAAATTCTCTATATAATAGAACCCACTTTTTTCTTACTTGTAATTGAATGAAAAATGTTGAAATTGATAAAAACACAAGAACCTGAGTTAAGACTTCGTTGTTCACTTTTTCAGAATGTCCATTTTTGGCACAAATATTTTTTGTTAAGAACAAGGCCCTAGAGACAATGGGAAAGTTTCAGGCTTGAAAATTGGCATTAAATTCAGCCAGTGTTACTTTGACACATTTAGCTGAAAGTCTGAGCTGAAATAAAAGATGTTTTTTCATTCCATTCAATAGGTTTGGGTTTTGTAATAAAAGACACAGCCCTGGGAAATTTTCCTTATTTCTCCTTTTGGTTTAGGGTCATTTAACACTGAATCAGCAGTCTTTCCGGGATAATAAGCCAAGTCCCCAATTATTCACTTTAAAAAACTATCTACACATCTTCGTTTTGTGTCAAGATCAACTGGTAATTTATTTTAAGCTGTTTATGTCTCTCTGGGGAACTCCTCTATGCATCTCCAGTAAATTCATTCTCAAAGAATGTTTGCTTTTTATGAAACAGCCCCCATTTTCGGGTATATCCTGTGTTTCTTAGACTCTTTGCTGTACCTGGAGTTCAGTCATTCAGCTTTCTACCTGCATGGCGAAGTTTAACATAGCAAGTGCAAACTTTTTTAAAAAAATGAAACATCTCCAGATTTTTTGTTCTAGTTTGCAGTCTATTTTTGGATTTATTTCTCCTTTCTTTTATAATTCAAGTACGATTTCATGGAAATTGAACTTTAATAATGGCTGCTCCTTGATGTATTTACCTTTAGCATGTTTTAGCTGCTCTTTTGCTACTGGAATTGCTTAATACAATAAAATATTTTGTAGACCAGTGAAAAAGAAGGCTTGAGAGATTTTGTTTATGCTAAAACAAATTTGAAAGGCTATTCAAAAAATGTCTTCTAAAACACTGTCAAATTAGAAGGATATCACAATAGCACATAGATGTTTTTAGATGATAGCAATTTATAAGTATTCTTCACTGATTCTGATTTCTTCCCAGGCATCTGTAGGCTCTTGGTCTGCTTTAAGCTGGAGATCGCAGCAGACCAATGGCAGGAGTGCTGCATGTAAGGAAGATGTTGTGGCTCCTTAGTCAGCAAGCAAAGAAGAAGCTTCAAGCTGGCTTAGTTGGAGTTCCCTCAAAAGCAGAGCCTGAGACAATTACTTGGGGTTATACAGTTTAATTGGGAGCTGACCCCAGAGAATGGAATCAGGAGAGAGGTCAGGAAGGGGGAAGCCAAGAGGGATGTGCACTGTTTACCGTGGTGAGCAAATGCTGGTCTCGGTCATGATGCGGAGCTTCGGAGGAGTTGCATGGAGCACTCCTCAGACATTCTCCCCTTAAGGATAGACGTCTGGGACGTTGGTCCATGGAATTGCGTTTCCTCTTCGTTGAGAGTTACCTCGAAAGTGTTGGCTGCTTGTCATAGGTGGAATGGTCCCGTCTCCTCCTCAAAGATGTCCACATCTTCATCTCTGGAACCTGTTGCACGTTACCTTACATGGTAAAAGGGATCTGTCTATGTGACTAAAGTTAAGAAAGTTCCTCACATCTGTAATCCCAGCACTTTGAGAGGCCAAGGAGGGTGGATCATTTGAGGTCAGGAGTTTGAGACCACCCTGGCCAACATGGTGAAACCCTATCTCTACTAAAAAAAAAAAGTACCAAAAATTAGCCAGGCATGGGAGTGGGCACTGTAATCCCAGCTACTCTGGAGGCTGAGGGAGGAGAATTGCTTGAACCCCAGGAGGTGGAGGTTGCAGTGAGCCCAGATCATGCCACTGCACGTCAGCCTGGGTGACAGAGCAAGACTCTGTCTCCAAAAATAAACAAACGAAAAACTTCAAATTGAGAGGTTATCCCTGATTATCTGGGCAGGACAAATCTAATCATATATATCCCTAAAACTGGAGAAACTTTCTACAACATAGACAAAGCCGTGACTATAGACGTAAGATACAAGGAGATGCAGCACTGTTCCCTTAGAAGAAAGAAGAGGGCAATCAGCTAGGGAATGCATGTACCTCTGGAAGCTGAAGAAGGAAAGGAAAACGCGTCCGCCCTGGAGCCTCCAAGAAAGAGTACAACCCTGACGACTCTTTGATTTCGGCACCGTGAGATCCACAGTGGGCTTCTATTCTACAGAACTGCTTCCTTCTGTTTCCTGAGGCGGTGCTGACTTCAGGGGCCAGCTAAAATCCTGCAGATCCATCTCTCAGGGCAGTGGATTGGGAAGGCAGGTGCCCTCTCTTTCTGCACTGGTAAGCCCAAAGCACCTTGGCCACTCAACAGCAGATTGGACAGAATTCTGCTTCTCAATCCCACAGCAATGAATGGAAGACACCCCATGATATGGTTCGGCCCTGTGTCCACACCCAAATCTCACCTTGAATTGTAATAATCTCCACTTGTCAAGGGGGAGACCAGATGGAGATAAGTGAATCTTGGGGTGGTTTCCGCCATGCTGTTCTCATGATAGTGAGTGAGTTCTCACCAGATCTGATGGTTTTTTAAGGGACTTCCTCCTTCACTGGGCACTCATACTCTCTCCTGCTGCTCTGTGAAGAGGTGCCTTCTTCCTTGAAATTATAAGTTCCCTGAGGCCTCCCCAATCATGCAGAACTGTGAGTCAATTAAACCTCTTTTCATTATAAATTACCCAGTCTTGGGTATTTCTTCATAGCAGCATGAGAATAGACTAATACACCCCACTCCAAGGGGGTAATTAAGCACAGCTGCACAGTCCTTAGGGTTGTTAAACTCAGAGATACCTGTGAACACTGGTCCAAAGACTCAGGCGGCCCTTCTCAGAGTCCACTGGTCCCCGTACCGTATTTACTCATTAATCCCTGTAACAGTACTCACTCAGAAGCTAATATATTTTATGAACTCAATTTTCATTAGGAACAAACCCTTTTCTGTCTTGGAAATGCTGCCCATTTCAAATGAGTAGACTATTGAACACTACAGCTTTTGAAAGTAAACATTTAGCCTGGTTGAGAATGAGCAGTTTGGAAAATTGCCTGCTGAGTGATGGTAATACCGTTGTTTGTTTTCAATAAGGATATTGTTTCCAAGGCCTGAAGAATTAATTGGGAATTTATCTAGTGGCTTCTGAACATGAAAAAGGATTTTAAAAGTGCAGTGCTGTTTGATTCAGATATTGCCACTCTAAACTATTTTCTGCCTAGTACTATGGAGTTTTAAGTTACTGAATAACAATGTTTCTCCACAGAAAATATCCTAGCTGTCAACATTCCATCTTCTAAAGAGAAGCGTAGGCTTTAGTGTCACTCTTTTAACAAGGAAGAACTTATCGTCGTCTCTGAGGCTTAAATAACTTGTTTTCCTTTGAGTTCACAAGACTGTCAAATATTTTTGAAGATATTTTCACATCCCTTGGAAGAAGTTACAAGCTCCACCTGGGGTGGCATATATGGCCTTCCTCACCATTGAGCACATCCCCAAATTCTCTACACACCATGCAGTGCTCAATTAATAACCTCTTGTGTTGTAAAGAAAGGACTGATGTCTACATATCCCTATTTATTCCAAACCCGCACCAGAAATTTATGGTACCCAAAATTCCCAGAGCTTTCAATTTACCAAGCCAAACATCTGAAGTAAATTTTAATTTTTGACAAGAAAAGTTATTCTAGGTCACATACCACCAACAATCATAAAATGTAAGCTAACATCTTTTTGCTGAAATAAGCAATGGGAATTCTCCTGTTACTCAAACCCATATTGTTGTTTCTGTAAACGCTGCTTTTCTTTTCCCTAAAATACCTTTAAGGAGTTTCTGACAATGCTTGCCTTTGGAGAACACCTGTTTTTAGAGGAAAGTGTGTGTGTGTGTGTGTGTGTGTGTGTGTGTATGTTTGTGTGGTCAACAAACTGCCATTTTACAAAATCAAATACCTGTCACATTTGAAGGAGAGAGTCATTATGAATTATGGATGATTTGCAAGAAGAGATACAAAATTGGCTCCTGGGCCTGTTTCCAAAGCTGGAGTGAATTTATAACTAAATATTGATCAACGATTTATGATGTCTCGAATTTGTCAGCACAGACTATGAGTGAGGATTTGTTAGGTGAAATAAAGTAAGTTGTAATGAAATAGATTGTGTCTTTCTGAAACATTAAAATGCATGCGATATGGTAATTGAAAGGCAAAATTTGAAATCTCCACTTTATGAATACTGTATTTCAAATTGTGAATGTAAACATGCCAAACCCCAAAGTTAAAAGGGCTACTAAACATGATTAGCACCAAACTCAGGATGGTGAGTATCTTAAAGCGAGAGGGAGACAAAAGTATCCCAGAGGCTTCGACTGTATTTGTAAGATTTTATTCCTGAAGTCACTCCGGCATACACGGGAGTTGCTACATTATTCTTGCATTTATAATAAAATATAATAAGGGGCCAAGTTTATGGTTCAACAAAGCAATATTGAGGTTAAGAACCCTCATTTTTCAATGTGAAGTGCTAAGCTAAACTAACATTGTAAAGATGGTGACTACAAATATGGAGGCCACAAGAAGAGTGACATTCCAAGAGGCTAAGCAGTGCGTGGGGATTTCTTTGGAGAAAGATGTCGAAATGTTATAACCCCCATTCCTCCCTGAGCTAGCAAGGGGGGCACTTTACTTTTACCTTAAGCTTGGAGTGAGATGGGTTTTTCCTTAATTTGCATTCTTCAAAATAAAAATCTGAGACCAGAATTCAAATACAAGTTCTTTATGCAGAAAGTGTGTCCCAGAAATATTGGTGGAGACCAGTGAGACAGAAAAGAAAGAGAAGCCAATAAAGGGTGGTTTATTTTTTTTCTTTTTAAATTTGAGATAAAATCCACATATCGTGAAATTCACTATTTAAAGCACACAATACACTTTTTAAATTATAGTCGTAGGTTTATATAACCATCACCGCTATTTAATTCCAGAACATTTCATCACCTTCAAAAGAAACCCTGTACCCATTAACAGCCTCTCTCCCTCCTCCTCACCACTGCTGGTACCCACTAATCTGCTTTCTATACCTATGAATTTGCATATTCTGAAAATTTCATATAAATTGAATCACTTTTGTTACCAGCATCTTTTGCTTAACATAAGGTTTTCAAGTTTCATCAATGTTATTAATTTTTATGGTTGAATCAGGTTCTATTATATGGACATATAACCATTTTGTTCTCTGTAAGTTGATGCATATTTGGATTGTTTCCAATATTTGGACAATATGAGTAATGCCCATGGACATTTGTGTAACAGTATTTTTTAAACATATATTTTCAATCATCTTGGTAAATACCTAAAGATTTCTGAGTCACATGGTAACTCCATGTTTAACTTGTTGAGAATCTTCCGTTTTTTTCTGAAGTGGCTGTAGCATTTTGTATTTCCATCGTCAGTTTTTCCACATTCTCACCAACACTTGTTAATTTCCATCTTTTTAATTATAACCATCTTAATGAATGGGAAATGGTATCTTATTGTGGTTTTGATTTGCATTTCCCTAATGACTAATGTTGTTGATCATCTTTCCATGTGCTCATTGACTATTCGAATAGCTTCCTTAGAGAAATGTCTATTCAAAGGATTTGCCTATTTTGTAAATGGGTCATTTTCTTTGTTTTCTTCAGTTGTCAGAATCCTTTATATATTCTGAATACTAGAATCTTACGAGCCAAATCATTTGCAAATATTTCTCCAATTCTATGAGTTTTCTTTTTAGTTTCTGGATAGTGTCCTTTGATGCACTATTTAAAAATTTTTTGAGGTCTAATTTATCTTTTTTTTTCTTTTTTGCTTGTACTTTTGATAGCATAACTAAGAAACTATCAACTAATCCAACACCAAGAAGATTTATGACCATATTGCCTTGTAGAAATTTTATGTCTTGGCCGGGTGTGGTGGATCACGCCTGTATTCCCAGCACTTTGGGAAGCAGAAGCGGACAGATCACCTGAGGTCGTGAGTTCGAGACCAGCCTGACCAATATGGAGATACCCTGTCTCTACTAGAAATACAAAATTAGCTGGGTGTGGTGGTGCATTCCTGTAATCACAGCTACTCAGGAGGCTGAGACAGGAGAATCGCTTGAACCCGGGAGGCAGAGGTTGAGGTGAGCCAAGATTGTGCCATTGCACTACAGCCTGGGCAACAAGAGCAGAACTTCATCTCAAAAAAAAAAAAAAAAAGAAAATTTATGTCTTAACATTTAGGACTTTCATCCATTTTGAGTTAATTTTTGCATGGGTTGTAATGTAAGGTCCAATTTCATTCTTCTGTATTTGGATATTTATTTATGTGACACCATATTTTGAAAAATAAAATTATTTTCTCCACTGACTGGTCTTGATAAAAGGATAAATTCCTCAAGAAAACATCACAATCCTGAGATGTATTCACTCACAATATAGCTGTAAAATATATAAAGCAAAAATTGTGTGCACAGGAAACAAAAATGGAGAAATTCATAAATGAACTTAGAAGCTTCAACACCTCACTAAAAAAGTGACAAGTAATTACTATATTAGACAGGAAATCAGCAAGTATAAAGAAATCCAGAAAAACATAACCCAACCTGATCTATATGAGATTTATAGAACATATCCCCTATCAGCAGAATATACATTATTTCTAGGCACACATAGGACATTTATCAATGTAGACTATATTCTAGGATATAAAACAAACCTTAAAAAACTAAAATAATTTAGATGATATAAGGTATAATTTCTTATTATTAAATAAGCAAATTAAAATCGGTAACACAATTTTTGGAAAATCACCAAGTCTTTGAAAAGTAAACAACACACTTCTAAATAACCCATGGATTATAAAAGAAGTCTAATGACACATCTAAAAATATTTTACTTAAATTAAAATTAAAAGACAACATATCAAAATTCGTAGGAAAGGGATAACACCTTGATAGAATTTTATATCATTAAATGTACACATTAGAAAAGAAACAATGTTCAAATCCATAATGTAACTTTTTCCCAAAAGAAACCAGAAAAATAAGAACAAGCTAAACACATATCTAGGAGAAAAAACACAATAATAAAGATGGAGACGCAAATTAATGAAATTCAAAACAGAACAAAAGAACAAAGTGAACTAGGCAGTTTCCTTAATTGCAGAATGCTCGAACTGTTAGCTTATTAGATATTTTATATTTATTTTATTTGTAATTTATAGATTATCTAAGGCATTTTATTTGACTTCTTCTTAGTTTAAATCAATTTAGTCTCCAACTCCTAAAGTCAAGGTGTATTTAGTGCATATATGAGGGCATATATGGGTGTATAGATGTATATTGAGTCTATTTAACATTGCTGCAGACAATACCAGTGGCTTTATGATATCTGTTTGTCAGGTCTCTTCCAATAACACATCAGATCAGCTTAGGTATAAAAGGTAATTTAGTGCCTCGTGTATTGGAAAGTTCCAGGCAGACTGGCTCAAACATGGCTTCGTCAAGTTTTTTAGCAGTTATCATGAAGCAAACTAGCAACTAACACTCCAAGGTGAACCACTTTAAAAAACATCATCTTCATAACAAGCAATCTTACAAAAAAGGAAAGTAAAATTCTCTCTCCCAGGATTCAGATCAATAATTGCCATAAACTGGGTTCACCGTGTAAGAATCCACATGACAACCCTGAACCACTCACTGATTCGAGAAAGTGGAGTCATCCAATGGGCCAGTCTCAGTCACATGTTCATCACACTGTAGGATTTAAAACCAGAGACCCTTGAGTGTAACAATCTGTATGTAAATTCCAGCTCTGTCACTTACTAGCTGTATAAATTTCATTAAGACACTACATTTACCCATGCTTCTATTTTCTCACCTGTTAAATGAGGTAAACAATGGAAATCACCACATAAGCTTGTTGTGTTAAATAAATTAATATTTTAAAAGAATTTAGAACAATCCCTGGAAGAAGTAAGAGCTACGTGGTTTTTACTAACTAAGGGAGCCACACATTTCACCACTTCACCAGAATCACATGGAGTTGGTAGACGCAGCACCTAAAAGGAAAAGGTGGAGTAAATAATAATTATGCCAACTGTCCTGTTTTATTGCTTAGGTATCATAGAAGTTGAATGATGTAAGGGCTTCATTTCAACAGTCAAACAATGTGAGGTTCAATAAGTTTAAGCTATTTGCCCAAAACCACAAATTTAACAAGCAGCAGAGCTTGAACCCAAGTAATAAATAAATGAAGATCTGTGTTCCATCTACACTAAACATCCCAAGTGACACCTGTGCCCCACAAGACTTTCAGCATAATGGGATTAAGACAAAAGCCCTAATTAAAGCAACAGCTTGAAATGTGACTCAAATGTCAACAGAAATGACTCCCTCCCTCTATAGATACAAGTAAATCTTTTACTACCTGTGAGCACAGATGAATCTTTCCTGTTCACATTGTCCAGGTTCAGCAAAAATCCATTAAGTCTCTGCAGAAGTTTCAGCTTGGAGAAAGTCAGCCTTCCCTGAATATAGAGATAAACCAATAGAGTCCCAAGGAGTCAATCTTCATTTTGTATGTGGTCCAACATTCCTCTCTAATCCTTTATAAAAACATGGTGGAGGGGCGAGTGAGGGTTAATTTTAATAGTTAACATGACTGGATTAAGGAATATAGAGAGAACTGGTAAAGTATCACTGATCAGTGGGTCGTGAGGGTGTTTCCAGAGGAGACTGGTGTGTGAGTCAGTGGATCATGTGGGGAAGACCCACCCTCAATGTGGGAGAGCATCATTCAAGCAGCTGTGGACTAGGATAAAACAAAAATAGAGAGAAAAGGGTTTCCTTTTGTTCTCTCCTGGAGCTGGGACACTCTTCATCTCCTGAACTTTGGACATTAGAATTCCATTCTCCCTGGCCTTGAGACTCTGAGACTTACACAAGCAGCCCCACCCAGGTTCTCAGGCCTTCGGACTCACATTGAGAATTACACCATCAGCTTCCCTGGTTCTGATTCTTTAGAACTTGGACTGAGCCACGCTACTATCATCCCAGGGTCTCCAGCTTACAAGTGTCCTGCCATGGGACTTCTCAGCCTCCATAATCATGTAAGTCAATTTCCTTAATATGTCTCCTCATATATCTTTCTATATCTGTCTATGTATCTACCCTATTGGTTCTGTTTCTCCTTACTAATACAGATGGGCACAAAAGAGACTAGAAGATTCTTAAAATATCCTCATCTCTATTTTCTGCACTTCCACACAGAGCGTTCTTTTATTATGGAACTACCATGCAAGTAAAATAATCAGTCAAGGGTCAAAATGCTCTCAATTTATCTAAAATGTATTTAGAAGTATGCCTTTATCATACTGCTCAAAATGGACTTTCTGTAACCAACTGGTAAAATTCTCTCAGAATGAACTTTGAAATTAGCTGCTTCATATTCTAATTTTGAAAAATCTGAATCCCAGAGGATTCCATGCAAGGTACTAAACATAGAAATATTTGAAAATTGTACTCAAAAAGAGGCAGGCGGATCACGACGTCAGGAGTTTGAGACCAGCCTGGCCAACATGGTGAAACTCTGTCTCTACTAAAAATACAAAAATTAGCTGGGCGTGGTGGCAGGTGCCTGTATTCTCAGCTACTCAGGAGGCTGTGGCAGGAGAATCATTTGAACCCGGGAGGCAGAGGTTGCAGTGAGCTGAGATTGCACCACTGCACTCCAGCCTGGGCTACAGGGCGAGACTCCATCTTAAAAAAAAAAAAGAAAAGAAAAAGAGTATTATTACTCATGGCTTAATTATCTCTAATTTGGGTTTGTATGGTCCCAGTTGTGCATATATATGTATATATATATGTAATTTCAGGTTGATAATAGTTGGTTAAGAATTATTATTGTTTAGGATAAAGCAGAGCGTGAACCCAAGTCCATACATAAACCAAAACCTGTGTTCCATCTACCACTAAACATCCCTAATGATGCCTGTGCCCCACGAGGTTTTCAGCATAATGGGATTAAGACAAAAGCCCTAATTAAAGCAACAGCTTTAAATGTGATTTAAATGTCAACAAAAACACCTCCCTTCCTCTATAGCTACAAGGAAATCCTGTACTGCCTGTGAGGACAGGTGGAACTTGCCCGTTCACATGGTATAAAGTCAGAAGCCGGTCTTCAGAAAATTAGCAGTGTTCTTTGTCTTCAATCTTGTATTTATTAATTTAGTTCTTTACCTGGCCCAATAGCCAGACATTGATTACTGAGCTATTGATGTTTGCTGAGTTCATTTTATGAAAGACCAATGGAACCATCTTCTTGAATAATAAAAAGGTACAAAATTCTCAATTTTAATGACCAAACTTTATCAGAAATCGCGTCTGTATGCTGTCTCTTCCGCTTCCCAGAATGCCACGTTTTAACCTGCATCAACAGCTGTCAGGGAAGGTTTAGAGAGTTCTGGGCAGTCAACATGAGGGTTTTTCTCCTGTTCGGCTCACTGTGTGTACATTGAGAACCAACAGCGTGAGCTTCTGCCAATCCTGCCATGCTAGAACTCTTCCTCGTTCACTTAAAAAAATTACAAAAGGTAACTCAACTCATGGCAGACATAAAGTCTAACCAAGCAACCTGGCTTCCAAGGTGAGGCAGGGTCAGTGAGTGTTTTTCTCAGCTTCTCTATAGCTTGTTGAAGGGAAATGCATTTTTTTTTCTCAGCTGTCACATTGAAGAAAAGTTGGACTATGCCACAGCTGGATTGGGACCAAATGCACGTCGACGGAGATACAGTCCTTAACTACAAATAAAGCAAGTGCTTCATGATAAGGAAAGTTGAAGCCTTCCTATGTGGTTTGGGCTTGTGTCCCTGACCAAATCTCACGTTGAACTGTAGTCCCCAGTGATGGAGGAGGGGCCTGGTGGGAGGTGATGGCATCATAGGGGTAGATATTCCCCCTTATTGCTGTTCTTATGATAGATTTCTCACGAGATCTGGTTGTTTAAAAGTGTGTAGCACTTTCCCCCACCCTCTCTCTCTCTTCCTCCTGCTCCAGCCATGTAAGATGTGCCTGCTTCCCCTTCACCTTCCGCCATCATTGAAAGTTTCCTGAGGTTTCCCAGCCATGCTTTCTGTACAGCCTGTGGAATAATGAGCCAACTAAGCCTCTTTCCTTTATAAATTACCCAGTCTCAGGTAGTTATTTATAGCAGTGCAAAAACAGGCTAATATATCATCTGTGTGTTATTTCTCCAGTTGCAAGGGGTAAGCAATAGCACTGCCTACCTGTGCAGGAGGGATTGTGGGGAAGAATGAGCGGAGGGAAAATGCTTTATGACCAGCAATGTTGCTTGAATCTGAGATTTTTACTTGCTACTCAGGAGTTTAAAGTCCTCTTCAACACTGACAGATTATCTCACCATCTCCTACCATTAAATTCGCTGCCAGCTAGAATGAAATACGGGTTCTCACAGGAAATGTGCCTTTGTTTCCTTTTAACACTCTATTATCTATCCCCATCACTGCCCTGCCAGGAATCTCCATTGGTAAATCCCACTTCCCATTCTGATGTCACCAGGAACTGTCTGTGTATTTTAGCCCCTTGATTGCCAGCCTCCATAGCTTTCACGAAGGGATAACGATGCTGGTTTTACCTGGTGTGTAAGTGATGGTTGTTTGTACTTATATCTGGAAACATGAGGCATTCAGGAAGAAATGGTCATAAGAGGACATTTTCTGTTTTGTCATTTACCCATCCCTAGGATATTTTTATTATCGAAATGTTTCAAGATGATGCATCTCCACACCCTATGACAACGAGTGAGAAGAGGGGCATAGAGAAGAGACTCTGTTCTTTAAAAAAAAAAAATAGCTATGGCCCATAAGAGGGATACATTATTTTTCCATATCCTACTTGCAAGAACTTAATCATGGGACTATATTTAGCTGCAAGAGAGGCAGGAAAATGCAGTGTTTATTCTGCATAGCTAGCTCAGACCGAGGATTTTGTTAGTGGAAAAGAGAGAGAATGAAGTTGTATGTGCTGGGGTGGCAGTTGCAACTAGTGACTGTCACAGCTACAGACCATGGGGCATAGGTGATTCCTCAATAAATATATGCTGAATGAGATTAATAATAATAATTATTATTATTAACATTAATATCTGACTCTGGTAGATATTCTCTGATCATAAACGAATAGAAAACATTTTTCAAACCACCCATTATGATTGCTCACATCTGCTTACATACAAAAGTGAATTTCATTGCTTAAGAAGTTATTTTGTACATACTGAGAAAGCCAATTTTGGAAATATCTCTTTCAAACATAGCCAAAGTTTCCCAGAGATTAAAGATAGTTTTCCAGATCATAGTTAATAGAACTCAGAAAATTTAACTATGAGCTTATATGATAGAAATTTCAAAACCATTTCCAATTGCCCTATTATTTTCATACACTATCAGCATGGCCACCACTGTGCCATTCAAGAAGGGATAGAATTTGGGGAACCAGGTGAATAACACTGAACCTCATGATTAGGGATGCTTTTATCAATGGTAAAATTGCAAGAGAGCACAAAGCTAAACACTGCATAATGGAACAATTGGACCAAATGTGTGCTTTCTTAATGTATGTTTAGATATAAACTCTGTGTCAACTCTCCCATCTTAAAAAGGAACAGGCCAGGCGTGGTGGCTCACGCCTATAATCCCAGCACTTTGGAAGGCTGAGGCAGGCAGATCACCTGAGGTCAAGAGTTTGAGACCAGCCTGACCAACATGGAGAAATCCCATCTCTACTAAAAATACAAAATTAGCTGAACATGGTGGCACATGCCTGTAATCCCAGCTACTCGGGAGGCTGAGGCAGGAGACTTGCTTGAACCAGGGAGGCAGAGATTGAGGTGAGCCGAGATCATGCCTTTGCACTCCAGCCTGGGCAACAAGAGTGAAACTTCGTCTCAAAAAAAAAAAAAAAAAAGAACAAAAATATAAAGCCTATGTTTAGCCAATATTTATATTCTTCTAGAGAGTCATCCTTTTCTCCTTTGAGTATAAATGCCAGTTTTAATTTGCGTGCCAAATTAAAATTTATTTCTATACATTTAAGAAATATTAAAATTTTTAAACGATAAGTGTAAAGAGGATTTTAACATCATTAAAATGCAGAAATAAATTACTATATAGGAATTACTTCTCTGATAAGCACATGACAATATTTAAAACATAAAAATACAAAGTAGCTACTTTGCTTAATCTAATTTACTTTGTAGTTTATCAGATTAATATTTTGATAGTCTGCTTGTTGCTTAAAAGCAAAGCAAACTAATTTGTGTAATTGTTGCCTTGGGGTTGGATAGACAAGTTTTTCCTATTAGTTATCTAGAAATGCGGCTTTCATATATGAACAACTGTGAATAACATTGGTAATCTTGTTAGCATTAAAAATTGGTATAGAATAAGAAATATTTCATTAACTTCTCAAAATATGCATATTTGGGAAGCAACAGTGATAACGTCAATGCTATTAGCTCTAGAAATGCCATCATAGTATTCTAAACTTGAGTTAAAACTTCATAATACAGTGCTACTGTTTATCCTGCTGATGGCCCTGACAGGCACTCTCAAGCAATCCTATCACTGTTTGAGGTAAAACGTGCTCTCAGAATTCCTCTCCTTCTCTTGCCCCAGGATGCCACAACAAGGAGATAAGACTATGCAGGGGAGCTCACCCTGATATGTGCTTCTGATCTCAGACAGTCCTGCACAGATGGCTTGCTCTGTCTTAGACAACTCAGTGTGAAAGCTATAAAATCTGGCCAGGCATAGTGCAGAGCTCACTTAGACCTAGGAGGTGGAGGCTGCAGTGAGCCATGGCCACGCCACTGCATTCCAGCCTGGCTGACAGACTCCATCTCTAAAAGGTGAAAGAAAAATTAAAAAGATGTAAAATTTCCCAAATAGGAGGCTCAGAACACATTAAGGTAAAACAGTTCCTTTAGTATAATTTCTCTTAAAAATGCAATAGTAACATATTTTTGTTTAAAAATATCAACAAAAATTACCTGGTGCCTTTAATCCCATCATAAACCTACTGCTGCCAGCTTAGTGTCCTTTCTCCCAGTTGGGGTATAGGGGCTAACAAGGTGCAAGCTGTCTGCTGCTATGTAGCTGGTCCTCCTGTGGGAGAGGTCAGCCGTGGCCAAGTAAATACATAAAAAGAATGGTACCAGAGAATATAAACACACACACACAAACACACATGCACACACATATGCCAATACATATGCCATGTGCATGTATATAAACTTTTATAAACTTGCTAACTTCCTGTGACGGTTGTAGACTTTTGGTATCTTATTACCTTCAGATACTTTCAGAAGTAAGGGTGAAGAGAACCTGGGTATCTTTCCAAGTCAAGGTTGATTTTAGAAAGTTGTGTGTAAATTTTTCAAGTGCTGGGCATTCGGCTGGCTACAATTTTTCTTGCTGTTTTCTAATTTATATCCATGGATGAGGAAACTAAGTCTATGGGATGATAGGAGCTAAGGACACATTGGAGAGGGTTCTAGTGATTTTCATTCCAACAACTTCTGTGGTTGATGACGGTGATCAAACAACATAAACATACAAAAAGATGAAATAGTTTTATAATGTATTGTATGGGAGGTGTTCAACAGCAACCCAATGCTGTGGAAAAGAAACATAAATGTGCAGTTAGAGAAATGTATTTTGAGTAGGGAGTGCAAGTGTGTTAAGTTATGCTGTTCACTGACTGCATCAATCATCTAGGCACCTCATTTAATTTCTATCAGTCATTCTCACCAGCCTTAATTTCCTCAGAGGAAGAGGCTGTCTTGTACATTTTGTGTCAGTCACTTCTAAGATAGTGTCTAGTAGGTGGATATGCTACATTAGTAAGGATGGGCTAGGTTATGCCCTTGTAACAAACAGCTCCACAATCTCAGCACCATAAAATATAAACAACATCACAAGAGATTATTTCATGTTTCTGCCACATATCCAACCTGGGGTTTTTGTTATTTGGAGGGAAGCATCCTTACTGTAGGGACCCACATTGACCAGAGGCTCAATCTCACCATGAGATCCAATGTGTACAGAGTTAGGGAAGAGTAGGGTAGAGAGTCAAGCCCCAGAACTGGTTTGTATGTGAGTTAATTCTCACATTTCATTGGCCAGAGACAGTTTCATGGCCATGAGTAAATATAAAGTGTTTTTAGGCAGCCAGCATTTGCCTCCACAAATACGTGTGATATCAGCAGCTTCCCTGTTCCAGGAACCATGCTGGATTCTGGGGAGGAAAGAGGGTGACATGAGCCCCACAAAAGAGAAATTTACAGTAATTTGAGTAGTTAACAGTCATTATTGGCCAGGCACAGTGGCTCACGCCTATAATCCCAGTGCTTTGGGAGGCTGAGGCAGGAGGATCACTTGAGCCCAGGAGTTCAACACCAGCCTGGGTAATATGGTGTCTCTGTCTCTACAAAAAATACAAAAAGTAATGATATGGTTTGGCTGTGCCACCCGTATCTCATCTTGAATCCCATAATCTGCATGTGTTGTAGGAGGGACATGGTGGGAGATAATTGATTCCTGAGAGCGGGTTTTTTCTATGTTGTTCTCATGATAGTGAATAAGTCTCATGAGATCTAATGGTTTGATAAAGGGCAGTTCCCCTACACACGCTCTCTTACTTGCCGCCACGTAAGATGTACCTTTGTTCCTCTTTCACCTTCCACCATGAGAGTGAGGCCTCCCCTGCCATGTGGAACTGTGAGTCTATTAAACCTCTTTTTCTTCATAAATTACCTTGTCTTGAGTATGCCTTTATTAGCAGTATGAGAACGGACTAATACAATTATCCAGGTGTGGTGGGTACATTTGTACTCCCAGCTGCTTGGGAGGCTGAAGCAGAAGAATCACTGCCAGAATTTTGAGGCTACAGTGAGCCATGATTGCAACACTACACTCAAGCCTGGGTGACAGAGCGAGACCCTATCTCTTGAAAAACATAAAAAATAAAACAGTAATTCTTGAGACAACTTATAGTTACTGCAAAACATTCACCATCCCACAAATATTTGTGAGGGTCACTTTCTACTAATTAGTCATTGGGAATACAGTTGTGTACGAGGGGCAAGATCTCTGCTGATATGGAGCTGATATTCTGTGGGAGTGGTCAACTGGGCATGGGTAAATGAAAAAATAAGATGGCTTCAGAGGGTTAAAAAAAAAAAACCTGGGCAGGTGCAGTTGCTCACCCCTGTAATCCCAGCACCTTGGGAGACCGAGGTGGGTGGATCACCTGAGGTCAGGTGTTCAAGACCAGCCTGGTCAACGTGGTGAAATCCCCTCTACTGAAAATATGAAAATTAGCCAGGTGTGGTGGCTGGCCCCTATAATCCCAGCTACTTGGGAGGCTGAAGCAGGAGAATCACTTGAACTTGGGAGGCAGAGGTTGCAGTGAACCGAGATTGTGCCATTGCACTCCAGCCTGGGTGAGAGAGTGAGACTCCATCTCAAAAAACAAGCAAACAAACAAACAAACAACGACAAAAAAAAAAAAAAGGAGACAACAATTGGAGAACTTTACTCCAATTATTTCCATCACTTTACTCCAATTATGAAGTTATGAAGTAAAAAAATCACTTTTTACTTCATAACATCACTTTTAACTTCATAAAGTGAAGTTATGGTGCTGCTTTAATTGAGAGTCTTCCAAGAAGGGCTCTCTGAAGAATGGACATGTAACAGAGACCAGGAGAATGTAAAAGCCAGATGTGCTAACCTAAAGGAAAATAATTCCAGAAACAGGGAACAGGAAATGCAAAGGCATTGCCTGGAGTGTTTGAGAAAGGTGAAGAAACCCATTTTTTGGAAGGTGAAAGAGATGAAGATGGATGGAGTAGACTGGAGAGGCTGACTACAGTTGATGGTGTTATATGCATTGAGAAACTCATGGGTAGGTTTTTATGCAAGAGAGTGAGGTAATGTAGTTTAAAAAGTCACCATAAATCCTGTGTGGATAATGGATTGCCAGGACAAGAGTAGACTTGTGGTGAACTTAAGAAGCTACTGCAATAGTCCAAGCATAAGAATAGGTGAGCAAGGAGTAGGGTGGTGGAAATTAGGTGGAGAGAGGAGGGCATTTAGTGGCTGGAATAATAAAACTTGTTCCAGCATTGGATATGAGGGTAAGGAAATTGCAAGACTGAAGGATGACACACAGACAAACTAGCAAGTGGCAGAATAAAACTAAAGGGACCTTCAAGACGTGCTGTGGATGCACAGAGGAAGGAGTGTGGAGGAATTCCATGCCACAAAATTATAAGGACTCCCAGACCCCAGGACTGTGACTGAAGTTGGAAGAATGGCCGGTAGAACGACTGACAAGCCCAGCACAACACAAATGATGTCCCCATTTTGCCCTCAGCAGGCACTAGTCAGAGAAGAGGACAAGGTAGGAAAATCCATGGAGAAAGGATAGAAAGACCCTTGCCCCCTTGGCCACATTGTCAGCTCCTCAGAGGTCCCCTGGCAGCCTGCCCTGTCCTCTCCTCTCCTCTTTGGGCCCCTGGCTCTTCTCATTCTGCTCAGGACGGATGGCAGCTCGTTTGCAGGCACAAGCTGAGAATCTGCATTAAGAGTCTGGGAGAGATTGTGGGATGAGACTTTAGGAAGTAAAGAAGCTCACAGGAGAGATATCAGGGCAGAAGAGTATAACAAGTTCCAAATAAACACCAACAGCCACCAGAGAGGAGACTTAAATTACTTAGGTGAGACAAGTGGAATGACAGGAATAGCGACTGTGGTGTCAGCAGAGCAGATCCTTTGGCTGGCTGGAGCAGCTGCACACACAGCTCAGATTGGGAACATGAGCTTGGAGTTACTACATGTTTCTTCTTTTTAAGAGAAACTGAAATATAGTTTTTTTTT
The DNA here is from genome assembly GCF_000001405.40 of Homo sapiens. Classification (NCBI taxonomy): domain Eukaryota; kingdom Metazoa; phylum Chordata; class Mammalia; order Primates; family Hominidae; genus Homo; species Homo sapiens. The sequence goes on along the minus strand of NC_000012.12, from coordinate 127,196,816 downwards.
TTTTTTGAGACGGAGTCTCGCTCTGTCACCCAGGCTGGAGTGCAATGGCGCGATCTCAGCTCACTGCAACCTCTGCCTCTGGGGTTCAAGCCATTCTCCTGGCTCAGCCTCCTGAGTAGCTAGGACTACAGGCACGTGCCACCATGCCTGGCTAATGTTTTGTATTTTTAGTAGAGTTGGGGTTTCACCATGTTAGCCAGGGTGGTCTCCATCTCCTGACTTCATGATCCACCCGCCTCGGCCTCCCAAAATGCTAGGATTAGAGGCATGAGCCACCATGCTCAGCCTGAAATATACATTTTTACATGTTAATTACAGGGGTTTTTAAAAAACATTTCTATTTTTATTTTTTAAACTTTTGTTTTAGATTCAGATAGTATATATGCAGGTTTGTTACCTGGGTATATTGTGTGATGTTGAGGTCTGGGGTACAAATCTCATCACTTATGTAGTGAGCATAGTACCCAATAATAAGTTTTTCAACCTCTACCTGTCTCCCTCCCTCTCCCCAATGTCTATTGTTGCCATCTTTGTGTCTGTGTGTACCTAATGCTTAACTCCCACTTATCATTGAGAACATGTGGTATTTGGTTTTCTATTCTTGTGTTAATTTGCTTAGGATCATGGCTTCCAGCTACATCCATGTTGCCATAAGGGACATAATTTCATTCTTTTTTATGGCTGTTTAGTATTCCATGATGTATATGTACATTTTCTTTATCTAAACCACCAATTATGGGCACATAGGTTGGTTCCATGTCTTTGCTATTGTGAATAGTGCTGTGGTGAACCTACAAATGCATGTGTCTTTTTGATAAAATGATTTATATTATTTTGGGTATATACCCAGTAATGGAATTGCTGAGTTGAATGGTAGTTCTGTTTTTAGTTATGTGAGAAATATCCAAACTGCTTTTCACAGTGGCTGAAGTCATTTACATTCCCACCAATAGTCTATAAGCATTCCCTTTCTTTTCTCTGGAGCCTTACCAGCATCGGTTGTTTTTTGACTTTTTAATAACCACCAATTTGACTGGTGTGAGATGATATCTCATTGTGGTTTTGATTTGCATTTCTCTGATGATTACTGATGTGGAGCATTTTTTCACATGTTTGTTATTCACTTGTATATCTTCTTTTGAGAAGTGCCTGTTTGTGTTCTTTGCCCATTTCTAAATGGGGTTATTTGTTTTTGGCTGTTGATTTTTTAAGTGCCCTCCAAATTCTGGGTATTAGACTTTTGTTGGATGTATAGTTTCAAATATCTCATTATGTCTTTACCACGTTTTGGTATCAAGATGATGCCGGCTTCACAGAAAGTTCAGGAGGAGTCCCTCTCCTCTTTTTTGGAATAATTTCAGAAGATTGGTAGCAGCTCTTTTTCGTATGTCCAGTAGAATTTGGCTGTGAATTCATCTATTGTGGGGCTTTCTCTTGGTTGATAGGGCTTTTTTAAAAATTACTGCTTCAATTTTGAAACTCGATATTGGTCTGTTCAGGGTTTCTATGTTTTCCTGATTCAATCTTGGGAGTTTGCATGTTTCCAGGAATTTACCCATTTCCTCTAGATTTTCTATTTTGTGTGCATAGAGATGTTCATAATAGTCTCTGAGGCTCTTTTGTATTTCTGTGGGATTGGTTGTAATTTCACCTTTGTCATTTCTGATTGTGCTTACTTGGATCTTCTCTCCATTTTTCTTTGTTAATTTAGTTAGTGGTTTATCAACTTGTTTATCCTCAAATTTTGGCTTTCTTGACTCTTTGTAAGGATTTTGGGGGAAATTGGTCCACCTCACTTTAGCACACACACTATTGATATCTAAGAATCCATAGAGTAGTCTCTTTTCTGCAGAAAATGTCATTGTCACCAGGGGATTCTATGGCCTGGCCAATTTGCAATCACTGTCTTGCTATAGTTATTAACTCTAGCCCTTTCATTTTCAAAGGCATCCCAGTTTGAATGATAAAGTGTTTGGTCATCTTAATTAAGTTCTTTTACAGTCCACCTTTCTCAATGGATTTAACCTATCACTTGACTAACAGGCTATTCAGACACAGGTAGTCTAATGAATAAGACTGGGACAGCTGCCCTTGACTCATGGCCCAGGCTTTGACCTTGAGCAGGGTGGGGTGTGCAAAAGGAAGAGGCATTAGGGCCAGAATGCCTGAAAGCCCTGGGCAGCAGGAGTTTACTTCTGCAGTGCTCAGAGGGGCTGAACTGCAGGCTTCAGGCTGGATAGGCCACTGGGCTTTAGGTCCGGGAGAGCTGTACAATACAAGGGCCAATATTCACCAAGAGGGTAATGTTTTTAAAAAGAGAACAAAGATCCAGCTTCTCCTTAAAACCTAGCCTGGACTTCTATTCTCTCGGCAAGGTAATTAGCAGTTCCAGGCATCCAGTGTGTGGTTTCTCCTAAGTGCTTAGCCAAGCATACCTTAGCTGAGCTGGAGACAGGGGGAAGGAGGGAAGGAGGGAAGGTTGGGGGAGGGAGAGAGAGAACATGTGTGCATGCCCATAGAAGTGCAGGCATGCAAGTGTCCTGAGCTCTTTCCGTTTCTTGGGGGGTAAGAGCAGCCAATCAAAGACACAAGCCAGAAATGGAAGCATTAAGCCTTCAATCACTTACTGCCAGGGTATAAGCAAAAGTCTAAAACCAAAGAAAATGCCTACTCCCTCTGTGTAATTTTCCCCCATGGAACTTCAGAGTAGAGTGCAGGAAGACTACATACCCCTGTTGAGGGAGCCCCCCACAAAAGGCTCCTGAAGTGTTATGGACCCTGGGGCCTGTGGAGGAGGAGGAGGTATAGGAGTGGGAAACAGCTGGGCACTGAGTCAGAATGGAAGCATCTCACCATTTCCCTGCCTCTCTCTGACCCTCATAAGGAGGACCAGGCAGAGGCCTCTGAAGAAGACCTGGGCCCATTGCCTCAGATCGAGACCTAAACATGGAGTCACTCGGGCTGGGAATGGAACCATGAAAAGGCATGGTGAGCCAGGGAGGTCTGAGGACTGGAGTGCAGCTCCCTTCAGAGTCTGCAAAGCACTAGCTATGCCCTAAAGCTGGTTTGAGGGGAGCAGCTTCCCCCACCCCAGTGAGGCCTAGCAGGGAAAGCCTTTATAATTGTCTTGTAATTGTCTGCGGTCAAGGCTTAACCTACTGTTCCAAGTTGTTGTTGTAAGGTAAGGAATCACAACGCCCCCTGTTAAAACTCTCAAATGATAATGTGGTTATCTACAGCAGCAAGTCTCAACCTGAGGCCATTTGCTCCCCAGGGAACATTTGGCAATACTTGGCAACATTTTTTATTGTCCAAGCTTAGGAGAAGGCATGACTGTCATCTAGTTAGCAGAGGTCAGGGATGCTGTATTCTACAGTGTACAGCACAGCTTCCTGCTATAAAGAATTATCCAACCCTAAATAGCAATAGTGCCAAGGTTGAGAAACCCCACCTGTAAGGTATGGCCTTATTGAAATGATAAGCAGGCATCTCCAGGTGGAAGGAACTGACAGATTAGCTACTCCAGGATCCTGAATACAGAGATGGAGGCACAAGGAGTTGGGTGACCTGCCTAATGCCCTGTAGACACTTGGTGGTAAGCAGGGTTCAGACTGAAAGACAGGAGCAGGGAAGTCTTGCAGGCAGTAGTTGAGACTCTAGTCCAACAGTAGAAGAACAGTGTGGCTAGATACAGCTGAGAGGAAGCACACTTGGAGGTCTATATTCATGCTGGGGTCAGTGTTACCTCTGCAGATGTGCTAGCTTAGGCGGGCAGCTGGGTGAAATCTGAGGAAGGAGTGATGACGGTGCTGGGGTGCCGTAGATATTTTTTCAAGATTCTTCCTTGAAAATATAAGCTTCACAAAGATGTCCCACCCGCATGAGGGTAGGGGAGGTGTCCATTCCTGCTGTCCTCAGAAGTATAGGCAAAGCAACTAATTCTGCTCTCATCTTGCCATTACTTTTGCAAACACTAACTTAGGTTCTTCAATATCTCTGAAAGAGGAGAAGATGTGATAAAGTTACTAGGCAATGGGAGATCACATCCTCTTTTCTAATTATTCAGTGTGATCTATGGATCTAAGTTTCCATTAACTTTTTGCATTAGCTACTATCTGCCACCATCTTGCACTGTTTAGAAAGTTTGAAATTTCATTTCCGTTTTTCAAAAAAAAAAAAAAGAATTTTGATTATAATGATTGCTCAGGGCCTGGCAGGAAAACATTGCACAACTCCACAATGTGGAATCATAATCGGTCCTTACTCATAATTTTCCACAAGTGATCTATTTAGATATACATTTTAAAAAAGGAAATACATTGATTATTTTGCTCATTTCGTTTCTGGTAGATAGTGCTTACATTTTTGATTAAAACTTTCCATGATGAAGGCAGAGAAGGAAATGGACATAGAAGAAAAAAAAAACAAGAAGGATAAATACTTGTACATTAGCAGTTTTGTTAAAAAGCTGTCCGTAAGGATAAAAAAAAATAAAAGCAGCAGGGGAAAACTTAACAAATATAAATTGCAGCCACCTGCTTGCCTATTTCCAAAGGAAATGATTTTGTGAAGTATAAATCAATTTCTTTGAATAAGCGTTGTTGCAGTCTTTGCTGCTCAAGCTTTAACTAGTGTTTCTTACCACTAACCTTGCCCAGCCATGTTCTGTGTGAACAGCAGGAGGTCACCTGCAAGTGGTCAGCTTTCGGGGTCAAAACGTGTCCAGCTGATACCATTTAAAGTAACACCACCATTGTCCAGATTTAGAGAAAGCTGGAGAATCCATTGTGCTAATGGATTATTGATTTCAATCCAGCGGCACATTTATAAGTTGTTGATTTGGCCTGTGACTAATTACAGAATGGTGTATGATGCTGAATGAGAGAGGAACAGAGCTACAGTGAGTCCTAAGCTTTAAAGTTGTATCTACAGGGTTGTGGTTGAGCTCACATCAGAGGCATCAGTCTGTAAAATATACATTTATCACGTCAACTCAGGAGTAGGACCAATCAGCAGGAAAGCAGAGAAACTACATCTGACTATTTTGTATTTTTGATATATTTTGGAAATGCTATTTGTAAAGAACATTATTTCCCTGGATGGTAGAAATTTCATCACATTCCATTTTTAATCTCATCTGTATTTTCTACTTTTTTACTTAAAAATATCTATGTATTAAAATATTTTCAAATGAATAAAAATGTTTTGCAAAAGAATAGTGCTCACTAATTTGCAGAGGAGAAGTTGAAGTTCCACCAGCTAGTAACATAATTGCTCATATATCAAACCTCTGGCTTATTGGAATGGAAGCTGATGGAAAAGCCTGCTCTTCACTGCTGTAATTAGTTTGTGTCCATTTCTATCCACCCTTATTGGCTCATGCCTCACATGACATCATATTTTTTATTCTCCTAAAAGTTGCAAATGCATGAATCATTGCTGAGCAGCTTCACATATACAGCAGAAAAGTCTGAATGAGTTTGATTATTATTTCCTGGTGTCTCTCATCAGAGATTCAGCTATTAATGTAACCAAAATAAGCTCATGTAGGCTTGATTGCACATGAGCGAATTCCACATCATGTCTGAGTCATCCATGATAAATGAATGCAGTTTTTGCAAAGTTAGTACCACTACAATACGTGGGTTTTGCATATCATTGTTAAGGATCTATTTGACTTGATTGTGAAATATTTAATTGTGGCAGCACTTCAGTGAACCACCCCAATCAATGACTTAAATGACTATGAAAAATGACTACGAAAAATAATTTGTCACTAAATGATTGATTTAATCTGGAAAACTCAACAGAAATTGTAGTAAAATTACATTTGCTTTTGCTTTTTTTGTTTTCAATGTAAAAGAAAATTTCCTCCTTCTACCTAAAACTGCCTTCCAGGTTCTTGATTTGCACAGGGGATCTTGAAAGAATTCTATTTGTCCACACTTTGAAATTAAAGTTTATTAAAAAATATTCTTATCATTTCACTTCTAAACATCTCCCTTTGGCAGCTAACAGAGCAATGTGGCATTATGGTAGTCATGTTTAATACAAAGAGCCAATTTTTAGGTTAGAGGTGACCAGAAGGTGAATCTCTGGGAAATCTCAAGTTTAGATTAAGAAAGTAGCTAATTTTCACCTGTATTGCTTTTCTTTGTAAGGGAAAAAGGATAACCGCGGTAATTTTAAAAATAATTCACTGGTGCTCATTAATAGGACCTTTTCACAGTCAAAACTCCCAAACGAGCACTTTCTTCATTATCTCCCACCCAGCAGAAAACCAACTTGTGCCCAAAGCTGTTATCCTCCTTTGGCCAACACCAGCAGCCATTCTCACTGTCTCCCAGTTTCCTAAACCTGATGTTATTGGGCCAGTCATATTCCCAACCCAGAGGATCTAACAAGACTGGTCTGATCGTTACTGCAGTGCTGTTCCCAGTGACTGTGGGGCCACATCTGACTTATTTCTGGACAATGGGACATAAGTCAGAACTGGGAGCTCTGGAGAAAAATCCTTCACTTATTTTTTTTAATGCATAGGCTATCTTTTTCTCCTGTATCACATTCAGTACTGCATTGTATGCTGTCTGTGATGATGTGATGCCTGGAGCTGAGGCAACCCCTTTGGGACTGTGAGGCATTGAGCATTAGAGAGGAAATAACAAGTTGAGCATGTTAGAGTGAAACAGTGGAAGGAGCCTGCATTTCTAATAACATCTTTTAATTATTACTAAGCCAACCATGAGGTAGCCACTACCGGACATTTCATTAAGTGAAGAACAAATGTCTTTTTGTTTTAAATCACTCAGACTTAGGTTTTCTGTTGTTTATAGTCAAACACAGCCTAGAAGATATACCTCGTCTGTCATAGATGACATTCTACCAATTGCATTCCTCTTTTATCTGAATCCCCAGACAAAAGGGTAGCTGCTCCAGGCAGGAACTCATGAACCCAACTCAACCTGATGCTCACCCTTCACCACCCATTTTGTTCTTCCCCTAAAAAAAGCAGGTCTGCTGTGGAAACTATGGGTCCATGGAACACAGTGTGACAACGACTTATCTATATTAAAATATAACAGAAGCATTGTGGTAAACTCTTCATACTGATGATTGCAGCCTGGGGCCTTATGAGGCTTCACATTTATATAAAATCAATCCTATAAAACTATCTTTACTATAATGACATTGTCATGCAGGCATAAGAAGTGTTAGAGCAGAAGTTCAAGCTGTGTCTGGTTCTATCAGTGTTACCAGTAATGTTTAATAGGATGGTGTAGCATTTTAAAATTCCACACCATTAATGGCTCATGATTAGTTTAGTGTACATAGTGTTACATTACGTTAAAATGTTGGTGACCCAAATTAATAAGATAGTTCCCTTATTATCTCATTTAATCTTTATGAGAAAACTATATTTTTAGGTATTTTAGTTGCCATTTAATGTAAATACATATGATGATTTATTTTTAATGATTGTGTTTCCCACATCTGGATATAAAAACTCATGCCATGGTAATGAATCCCCAGCTACCAGTAGCCCCTTATTAAATTTGATATGTACTTGGTGTGAGCTAAGATTGTCTTTGTGTGAGATACATATTTAATAGACAATAAATATTGACTAGGACCACAACATTAAGTTAAAATGATGAGACAAGATAAAAAACAGAGATGTGTAATCTTCAAAAGAAGGCATATATTTGATGGTTTTCATGGTCTTACAAAACCTTGTTGGCTATCTAGTTCAAATAACCCTTTCCTTAAGATAACTTATAAAAATGTCTTTTATCTTTTTCTTTCATATATACATACATATATGCATGACCGTATGAATGGTGTATATATACATAAATATAATTAGAAAATATGTATGTTTATATATTTTATGTGATATATGTATAATTAGAAAAAAGGGCACATTTTTCATTATTCTTTTATAATATTTAGCAACATATTCTTGAGCATAGATGCATCTCCTTAGGTGTCACATAAAATCAGGAATTATTTACATTTTTTTATTTGTTTCTAAAACTTTTTTAATGTAATCCACTAAAGGGTAATATTAAAGTAAAATATGCTCACATGTGTTCTGGTGCTAATTAATTAACAAATGAAACCTTTTTTTAATATGTAATGGTCACAGAGGGGCACAGTGTGGAATAAGGAAGCCAGTCCCTGCCTCTCTGCCTGTGCAGGCTACGGGAGAGAGATAGTCCCATAACCATATGGAAAATTACAGCACCTACAAGTCTATGCAGAGGAGGACCATGAAATGGTGGAATTGACACACTCCAGGATGTTGGGATGGCTTCTGAGGACCTCACATTTGACTTGGAGCCTGAAGGATACAGAAGCATTTACCAGGTGAAAGCAGGAGTTGAGGGTTCAGAACAGAGGGAGCAACCTATGCCAACGTCCTGGGAAAGGAGAGAGCATAGTGAGTATGAAAGACAAGGCAAGGCCAGCGATGCACAAAGATGAGTGTGAATGGGAACTTGGGGACCTTAACCAGAGAGAAAAGTGGGAATTGGGCTACATGGATTTTTGTCAGCTATATCAAAGAGCTTTGTCTTTTTCCTAAGTCAGCGGGAAGCCATGGAACCATTGCCTGTCTTGTTCGATGTTGGCTTTTGAAATAATCTCTCTAGAATTTGTCCGTACATTTTCTGAACTTAATTTGCCAAACCCTTGCTAAAGCTGCCAAATACAAGGTTCTGGGTAGGTATGGTAGAGCAAGGTTTAGATCCTGTTTTTGAGAGTTTCGAGAATGCCCTCAGCGACAGATTCATAGACCAGTGACAATGAGGCTATAGGACAGTTGAACACACATTGCCATAGATGCCTTTTGAAACGATCAATAAATTAGAAAAGGCAGGTTATCATGGAAAGTAAAAACTAGACATAAATCTGAACAGTGTCTTGATGGATAACGACTAGAATTAATAACACTCATTGGGATAGGATTATAGGAATTGCCCATGAAGTGACTTCATTACTTCATCACTATAACAATCCTAGAAGGATGAAACAGCGTTCACACCCATTTCATAGATGTCAGGAAAGAGGGCCCAGAGAAGAATAATGATCTGTCTAGATTCACTAAACCTGTAAGAGGCAGAACAAGAAGTCACTCAAACCCAGGCCACTGCTGCCCCAGACTGTCCAACCATGCCCAGTGGAAGTGGTCAAGTGAAACCCCACGATATCATTGGTGTATGGAAGGTGTCATGCCTTGGATTGTATCCGCAAAAAAAGAAAAAAAAAACTGTTAAAGTTCTAAATCCAGTACCCCAGAATGTGACTTTATTTGGAAATAGAGTCCTTTCACATATAATTTGTTCTGATGTAGTCACACTAGAGTAGGAGGAGCCCCTAATCCAATATGCCTGGTGTCCTTCATAAGAAGACAGTCGTGGGAAGACCCAGGGAGAAGGTCTGGTGAAGATGAAAGCAGAAATTGGAGTGACACATCTCCAAGCCAAGGAAGGTCAAGGGTCTCCAGCACTCCCCGGAGGCTACAACAGACCTAGAGAAGGTTCCCAGCACAGCCTCAGCAGGAACCAACACTGATTTCAGAGTTTTGGCCTCAAGAACTGTGAGAAAATGAAGATCTGTTCTTTGAAGCCACTTTATTTGTTGTATGTTGTTAAGGCAGCCCCTGGAGTCTAACGGAAGGTGAAAGGGTATGGACCAGGAAGACCAGAGTGAGGCCTTCAGAGGCTCATAGGGGCTCATTTCTGGAGAGCCTTGATTAATTCTCAGGGTCCGAGGAGCAGGCAAGATCTGGAATCAGAGGAGGCAAGTGACAAGCTGTGTTCACTCTGGCAGGTGCCACAGAGGAGGCTGGTTCTGTGTGGTGTTTCACATGCTGTACAGAATTTATGCATCTTTTGTCAGGTTTATTCCTCTCTTACACATATTTTTATTCCATTTTAAATGCTAGCCGTTTCTTTAAATTTGAATTGTCTATTGCTAATAGACATACAATGGATTTTCAAAATATTGTATCTGGCAACATTTTAAAACTCACTGATGAGTTCCAGGAGATCTTTTGTGAAATAAAGACATATTTTCAAGTCTTTTCCTTCTGTTTTCTTGCCTTATTTCTCTGAGTAGAATCTCCTGGACAATGTTGAATAAACTATTAGTCAGAGCTGGCATCATTGACTTGCTCACCACCTTAAGGGTCTTTTATCTCTGAGTAAAAACTACCGCTAAGTAAAACTGTCTTTTACCTGTAAGGATGATATTAGCTGGAGTATTTCTGTAAATATTCTTTACTCACTTGGGAAATCATTTATTTCCTATTACAAGTTTACTGAGTATTTCTTGTTTGTTCATTTGCTTTTTAACAGAAATAGATGTTGGATTTTGCCAAATGCAATTCCTACTTTTTAAAAAAATAGTTATATTTGTTTCTGTTTTTCAGTCTGTTAATAAATTTATCCCTGATTGATATTCAGAAGTTAAAAAACACCTTGTATTACTGGAGTAAACCATACTAGGCCATGATAAATTATATATTGCTTATATATATTATTGAATTACGTTTTGTTCAGAACTTTTGCATCTATATTAAGGATATGAATCTACAGCTGTCATTCTTATTTTATCTATGGCAGATTTTGGTATAAAAATAATGCTGCTCTCATGGAATTCATTGGCCAGTAAATGTCTTCTCCTCTTCAGTTTTCTAGAAGACATTGAGTAGAATTGCTATTATTTATTTGTATATTTATTTATTCTTAACATTCTTAACATATGGTAGAATTCACCAGTGGAGCCATCTGGCTGCTTTGTGGGAAGGTTTATCTTAAATTTCTTTAATAAACTCAGATATTAATTTTATATATTTATTTCTTATTATCTGAGACAAAGTCTCACTCTGTCGCCCAGGCTGGAGTTCAGTGGCACGATCTTAGCTCACTGCAAACCTCACCTCCCGAGTTCAAGTGATTCTCCTGCCTCAGCCTCCCAAGTAGCTGGGATTACAGGCACACACCACCATGCGTTGCTAATTTTTGTATTTTTATAGAGATGAGGTTTCTCCATGTTGGCCAGGCTGGTCTTGAACTCCTGACCTCAGGTGATCCACCCTCCTCGGCCTCCCAAAGGGCTGGGATTACAGGCGTGAGCCACCACACCTGGCTTAATACATTTATTTTTGAGTGTGCTTTGGTAGTTTGTCTTTCAAAGAATTTACGTATTACAACTAAGTGCGTGCATTTATAGGCTTGGGGTTCACCATGTTTCATTTTTATTATTTTACCGTCTGTAGAATCTGCAGCGAAATGACCTCTCTAGTCCTGCACATTGCCAAGTTCTGTCTTCTCTCTCTCTCTTTGCTTCTTGGTAAATCTGACTGAGGGCTTTCAATTTTTCTTAAAGAACTAGGTTTTTTTTCTTTAATTTTTATCTATTGCTTTTCTCTTCAATTTTATTGGTTTTCACTTTGATCTTTTTTCTTTCTTTTCTTCTGCTTACTTTGGGTTTTATTCGCCCTTCTTTCTTATTTCCCTTTCTCTGTTTGGGATTATTTCTGAAGGTGAAAGTTTAGGTCATTAATTTGCACCCGGCCCTACTTCTTTTCTAACACAGACTTTTTTTCCAGTAAATTTTGCCCAGGTACTGCAATAGCTCATGCCTATAATCCCAGCATTTTGGGAGACTGAGGCAGGAGAATCACTTGAGGCCAAGAGTTGGAGATCAGCCTAGGCAACATATCAAGGCCCTGTTCCTACAGAAATAAAAATTCAAAAAATAGCTGTGCATGGTGGCACATGCTTGTGGTCCCAGCTACTCTGGAGGCTGAAGTGGGAGGATCACTTGAGCCCAGGAATTGAGGCTGCAGTGAGCTGTGACCATGCCACTGCATTCCAGCCTGGGAAGCAGACCAAGATCCTATCTCAAAAAAAAAAAAAAAAAAAAGAAACAAAAACAACTTTTCTGATTTTGGCAGAGTCACACAAATTTTCATGAAACAACTTTTCCCAAGTAATGTTTTAGCCATGTCCTACGAATATTGATATGTTGCATTTCATTTCCATTTCATTCCATTTAATTCAAAATGCTTTCCAGTTTCTGATTTAAGTTTCTTAAAATTGTGCTGTTTGATTTCCAAATATCTGGAAGTTTTTTGTAGGTCTTTCTGTTACTGATTTCTAATTTATGTCCATGTTGGTCAGATAATAAAATTTATATTATTCAAATCCTTTTAAATTTCTTGAAGCTTTATTACGGGCCAGAATATGTTCTATATTGGGAAATGATTCATGAGTACTTGAGAAGAATATGTGCGCTGATCTTGTTAGGTGGAGGGTCCAATAACGATCATTTGAGTCCAATTTAATTGAGTTGTTCAAGTTTGTTATACTTTTGTTTATTTTCTATTTGTATCAATAATTGAGAGAGTGTCATTAAACTAACTCTTCCTCTCTCCCTTCTGATTCTAATTCACAGATAGATGATACCAAAGCGGCCAACGAGTTTAAAACTCTTTTTGCGCAGTAGGAATGACTCCATGAAGATTTCTCATCATGGAGCCCAGACTAGATGGACCCAAATCTCCAGACTCCCAGCTCTTCTGTAAACCCCATCCTGATTCTCTGAGTCTCTGAATCTTTTATCCTCATTTTCTTCCCAACTGTCCATAATGTAGAATTTAAATAAAAGATTAAATGTAATCTTTATAACATTATTATATTATTGAACAGTTTCAGGTTTCTTGTTCTTATTTACAAAAAACTAATAAGTAGAAATTTTATACTTCTCTGAGCATAAAACTATACAAAATAAAAATTATATAAAATTAATTTGATTTTCACTTATGAGGTCTATAATTATTCCCTTCATGGTTAATTATCCTCAATAGGAAACAAATGGTTTCCTACCTTCTTACTAAGTTACAAAACTCTCATTTATTAATAATCATTTATATTAATAATAATTACTAAATTGAATATGCCAGCTCTTACCAGATTTATGCTAGACTTTAATAAGTCCCTCTCTTCCCAGAAGCAGGAACAAAGTAGAGATGCATCAAATGAGCTAAATCTAATCTAATTTTCCTTATTGAGACTGGTTCTTAGGACCCTTCTTTCATACTCTGGAAACTGGGACACACTTGTAAATATTAAGTGGTTGTAAAGAGATGGCCTGTGACATGCCTGCAATCCCAGCACTTTGGGAGGCCAAGGCGGGCAGATCACCTGAGGTCAGGAGTTAAAGACCAGCCTGGACAACATGGTGAAGCTAAGTCTCTACTAAAAATACAAAAATTAGCCAGGCGTGGTGGCAGGTACCTGTAATCCCAGCTACTGGGAGGCTGAGGCAGGAGAATCGCTTGAACCCAGGAGGCAGAGGTTGCAGTGAGCCGACATCACGCCACTGCACTCCAGCCTGATGACAGATCGAGACTCTGTCCCTCCCCCTTTCCCCCCCAAAAAAAAAAGAGATGGCTGTGAGTGGTGGGTCCTTGCATTTGCTCTTGTCCTCACTTTGAAGTGCCTACCTACACTCTTGATGCCCAGCTGAAGCTTCCATTTGTAGCACCCTGTATCATACATACCATTGTTTAGCATCAGGCTCACTTTCCTTCTGTAGAAAGACGCATAGGTGAAGTCTCCTTAATGCACTGAAGCCACTTCTGCACTTAACAGATGGTGGGCTTGAGTTTGGTATATGTATCTCCTTCCCACGGGTGTGACATCTTTCACCAGATGTCAGCCTCCACATGAGAACTTAACTCAGCAGCCGAGTTCTGAAAAAGGCACAGTGCCTTCTCTGAACCATCAAAGAATGAGTCTTCCCAATAGCTACAAATAACTACGAGTCACTGATAACTTATATCTGTCTGCTCTTTCTTGAAGGATATTTAAATTCAATCCTCAGATTAGAAATAAAAAACCTAATCAGATATTTCTGCCTCTATATACATATAGAGGTGCTAATCAGATATTAGCACCTCTATATAGAGAGAGACAGAAAATACACAGTCCTCACAAAAGTTCCAGGCATTCCAAAAGCAAATACCTACTGGTACCAAGTGCGCAACCCAAGTGACTGCAAGTGCATGATGAGCTGGTGAGGCTTGCGGTGCCTGAAGAGCATGGGCTCTCTTCGTGAAGACATTAAACATGAATTGGGCCAGACAAAGCTCTCTGTGGTCACATTAGTCCAGGTTATGGCCCCTGTGCATCGTAATGTGAAACTGTGATTAAGGCAAGAACACTTACCACAGTGTCTGATGGTGAATACTGAGTGTGAACTTGATTGGACTGAAGGACGCAAAGTATTGTTCCTGGGTGTGTCTGTGAGGGTGTCACCAAAAGAGGCTGACATTTGAGTCAGTGGACTGGGAGAGGCGGACCCACCCTCAATCTGGATGGGCACCATCCAATCAGCTGCCAGTGTGGCTAGAATACAGCAGGCAGAAGAAGTTGGAAGGACTTGACTTGCTGAGTCTTCCAGCCTTCATCTTTCTCCTCTGCTGGATGCTTCCTGCCCTTGAACATCAGACTCCAACTTCTTCAGCTTTTGGACTCTTGAACTTAACACCCGTGGTTTGCCAGGGGCTCTCGGGCCTTTGGCCGCAGACTGAAGGCTGCACTGTCGGCTTCCCAGTTTTTGAGGTTTTGGGACTTGGACTGGCTTCCTGGCTTCTCAGCTTGCAGACGGCCTATGGTGGGACTTCACCTTGTGATCGTGTGAGTCAATACTTAATAAACTCCCTTCCATATATACATCTATCCTATTAGGGAACCCTGATTAATACACAGTGTTTTCATGTGTGTTTGTTATACTTCAATCAAGATTATTATGTTATCATGATACCTGATACTTCCCCTCATGAAGGATTGAGTTTAGGTTTAAAATTGGAAGGCAAAGCAGCATTTATGAGGAGGCAGGTCTATGAGGCATTCTGAAATTCCAGAACTGCAAGCATCGCTATCTGCTTCTATTTCCTTAGGGATGCTTGGTCTTGAGCAGTTAAAGAAAAGTAAGTATGTTACTTGCCCATTAAAAGGCAGAATTGTAGCACAGAATCTTTCCAGTAAAGTGAGTAAAAGAAGGTACTTAATGGGCCGGGCATGGTGGCTCACGCCTGTAATCCCAGCACTTTGGAAGGCCAAGGTGGATGGATCACCTGAGGTTGGGAGTCCAAGACCAGCCTGACCAACATGGAGAAACCCCGTCTCTACTAAAAATACAAAAACTAGCTGGGTATGGTGGTGGGTGCCTGTAATCCAAGCTACTCCGGAGGCTGAGACAGGGGAATCGCTCGAACCTGGGAGGTGGAGGTTGCTGTGAGCTGAGATCGCACCGCTGCCCTCCAGCCTGGGCAACAAGAGGGAAACTCCATCTCAAAAAAAAAAAAAAAAAAAAGGAAGAAGATACTTAACAAATAAGTGAAAAGAGCCAAGGATGTTCCTGAAAAGAGATGTTGGTATTGATTTAGCCTATAGGCACCGTAAGTATACCTGAGGAAGGCTCACTGCAAACCACTGGCTTCTCCCGTTTCTAGATTCTGGGACATGTTCACGGTTTTTGGAGCCTTATGTTGGATCTGAGAAAGTCTCAGCACTCCACAAGTTATCCTTTCACCCAAATGCTTCTTAAGGACATTTTTTTAGAATTCCCCACAACCTGGATTTAAACTCAAGCTCTGATATTCACTACCTGTGTAGCCACTTGAGGTGTCACTTCCCTTGGACTCAGTTTCCCCAAAGAATAAGGATTGTAGTGGTAACTTCCTCCTGGGATTATGATGAGGTTGGATTAAGTGAAAAAGAAAAGAAAGCCCTTAGCTTAGGTCTTAACAGAAACACTCCTGATAATTATCCTCTCCAATTGTTCTGTTCAAATTAAACTCTATAGACAAAGCATGTTGTTTGGATATTATTTTTAAATCATCATAATCTTTTGAAATATGACATACATAACTAAGTAAATGTATAAATATATATGAGGCAGTGTCTGTACAATGACTGATATGGATAGTTGCCATTCGTGGTGATGAGAATCTGGGATAAATTCCCCATGACTGGTGCATGGGGTAGTTTGGAAAACAGAGGCAGGGGGGTTCCCTGAGGGCTGAACTGGCTAGAGTGGGCTAGGCCAAGTTTTAAGTGGGGATTAAGCAGGAGCTGGGTGTCAGGTAGGATGTCATGGGGACTGCTGTGAGCACAGGTCTGGGCTCGAGAGATTCAAAAATTGTGGGATTTCACTTTTAGGTCCCAGGATTTTCTCCGAAAGTGAGAAAATATGGCTACGTCTTATCCATCTTTGGATGCAGTAAAAACTAGAGAGAGAAATGAATAGGCAGTGCACAGAGGATTTTTAGGACAGTGAAGGTAGTCTGTATGTTACTACACTGGTGGATACACTATAAATTTCTCCAAATCCACAGAATGGACACCACCAGGAGTGAACCCTAATGGCAGTTATGGAGGCTGGGTCATAATGACTTGTTAATATAAGCTTATCCATTGTAACAAGTAGACTACTCTGGTGAGGGATGCTGAGAATGAGGGAGGCTGTGCCTGTGCGGGGAGAGGAGGGATATGGGGAATCTCTGTACCTTCCACTCAATTTTGCTGTGAATAGTTGGCCACGCACGGTGGCTCATGCCTGTGATCCCAGAACTTTGAGAGGCCACGGCAGGGAGGATTGCTTGAGCCCAGGACTTTGAGACCAGCCTGGGCAACGTGGTGAGACCACGTCTCTACAAAAACTTTTTAAAAATTACCAAGGTATGGGCCGGGAGTGGTGGCTCAAGCCTGCAATCCCAGCACTTTGGGAGGCTGAGGCAGGTGGATCATGAGGTCAGGAGATCAAGACTATCCTGGCCGACATGGCAAAACCTCGTCTCTACTGAAAAAAAAAAAAAAATTAGCTGGGGATGGTGGCACATACCTGTAATCCCAGCTACTTGGGAGGCTGAGGCAGGAGAATCTCTTGAACCAGGGAGTCAGAGGTTACAGTGAGCCGAGATCATGCCACTGCACTCCAGCCTGGTGACAGAGCAAGACTCCATCTCAAAAAAAAAAAAAAAAAATTACCCAGGTATGGTGGCATATGCCTGTAGTCCCAGCTACTCGGGAGGCTGCGGTAGGAGGATGGCTTGATCCCAAGAGGTTGAGGCTGCAGTGAGCAATAATTGTGCCACTGGACTCCAGTCTGGGTGACAGAGGGATATCTTGTCCCAAAAAAAAGTTTTATTAAAATAAAAATAAAATAATTAAATACACGCATAAATACATAATTGGTGAGCAAAAATAAATAAAGTTTATTTTTAAAAAATGAGTGTAGGTGAGTAGCAATTTGTGAATTTCAGTTGTCTTCGTGGCCTGGAAGCCAAATGGATTTGTAACTCTTTGGCAAGAGACTGTGGCATAGGGTGTGTCTGTGTATGAGAGAGACTGGGAAAATGGGAGATGAGTAAAACGGCTTCAGGCTTGGGGATGAAGTCAATTCCCTAATGAAATGATCAGACAGTGGAAACAGTTCATTTTCTGGTCTCACATTGTCCGTGTTTGTCTGTTTAATTTCCTCCACTTCTGTGTCCTCTATTGCGTTTTGTCAAAGCAGGAGCCTGCACCAGATACTCTCGTGAACTGTCTCCTAATAAAAGGAATCCCTTATCTTTGACAGGATATCATGGCAAACTTTTTTAATTTTATTTTTTTTGAGTCAGAGTTTTGCTCTTGTTGCCCAGGCTGGAGTGCAATGGCGCAATCTCAGCTCACTGCAACCTCTGCCTCCCGGGTTGAAGCTATTCTCCTGCCTCAGCCTCCAGAGTAGCTGGGATTACAGGTGCGTGCCATCACACAAGGCTAATTTTGTGTTTTCAGTAGAGACAGGCTTTCTCCATGTTGGTCAGGCTGGTCTCGAACTCCTGACCTCAGGTGATCTGCCCTCATCGCAAACTTAACCAATCAAGTGAGGAGGGAAATAATCATTATGAGACTACTGACTATTGTTACACTCTGTTAAATTTAGCAACACAGTCATTCCCATAAATGATTTAATACAAAGGGTCATGAAACATGTGGATGTTTAGATCTCAATCTCCTCATCCCATCAGCTTTTTGCAGTTTCATTGCCTTGGCTGCTGTACAGGTTCCATTTGAATGCCCTGATAGAGGACTATGGCACCTGACAGATAGCCAATGTGTTGCCTGAAGTTAGCGCACATTAAATGTCTTGTCACTCTGCAAAAAAAATGATAGTTGTGCAGGCTTCACTTTGGCTGGGGTAACAGAGGCTTGCCATAGGATCAGATGTACATCTGTTTTCAGTTACATTAGCTATATGCTGCTTTGCATGTTCTGTTTAATCATTCATTAAAATTAGTACCTGTTTTCTGTCAGATACCATAAGACTCTCAATAGGTGCCACATGTATAGCATATACACAGGGCGTGCTGTAGACTAAAAATATATTCATTGTTTGTGTGAAATTCAGATTTAGGCATCTATGCGAATCTGGCAGCCCTAGCCCTCAGTCGGTATGTAGTCTGGCGGAACCACCACCACATTCACAGACAGTCACAATGCAGTGCAGTCAGGGCTGTGAGGGAGAGACAGCAGTGAGCGCTTGAGACACTACAGCAGTGGCAGCTAAGCCAGGATGCTGGAGGCCAGAGAAGTCTGCCCTCAGGAGTTAACACACAAAATGAGGCACAAAAGACAATAAAAAATAGGCCAGGCAAAGGAGCTGAAGATGGGTCTTGAGAGAACAGGGACAGAAGGTATATCAGATATTCCCAGTGGGCCACCCTATCTATAGCTTTTGAAACATTCCATGTGAATATTCGACTCTACTATGAACTTATAACTTCTCATACATGTGCTTCTGTGCCTTACGTCTGCCCTCCTACCCACAACTGTGAAAAAGTCAACTATCTGACTGTTGGGTGGGTGAGACATCTGAAGAATAATAGGAACCTGTCCCTAGGAGCAGCCCCTCATGAATCACTCTTACTGGGTGGAGTATAAGTACCCCAGGTCCCTCACAGCTCAGATGGGAAAATTCTGAGACAAGTCTGCTGCAGTTTTTCCTGACACTTCCTCACCCAAAGATCTGGTGATCCCTGTGGTTGCTGGCCAGAGAGAGCACCCTCTGACATCTCTTTCTCTTATTCTACCAGGTTCCCACTTCTTGTCTAGTCTTTCCTGAACTTCTCAAATAAACACTCATCACTTGAACCTGTGCCTCAGGGTCTGTTTCTGGAAGAACCAAAGCTGGAGGTGAACACTGAGATAAGTAGCAGACACTGCCCGTGTAAGAACAACATACCCGCTTACAGCTGGGATATGGGATGTGGACAGTGAGTGCCCAGAGGTCAGGTTGGGCTTCAGATACAGTAGGGTATTTGGATTTATTCTTAAAATGGTAGGAAAATGTTTTATGGAAATAATCAGATGAGCAATATGATTAGATTAGTGTCTTACACATGGTTTTCTGCCGGGGATTTGGAGGAGCTGAAAGGAGGTAAAATGGAAGTCCAGGAAAGCAAGTAGGAGCTGCTTGCAGCAGCCATGCAAGGGGGCAGAGGAAGTTATGGGGTGCAGAAGTAGGCCCATGACACACCAGCAGCACCATGTGGACTAGGAGGATATGGAGATGATGGAGAGAAGCAATGGAAACACTGGTTCCTGCTTGCATGCTTGAGGAGACATCATCCCTTAAGCTAAACCAAAGGCCACGCAGGTCTCCATTTGATGGGAAAATGTTGGAATTAACTGCTTATTCTTCTGTGCTGCAAGGAAGAATCAGCATTCAGACAAAAACTTTTCTCAGCAAGGTAATTTTACTTTTGGCAGAAAGGGTGCTACCCGTCTGCAATCCTGCTTCCTAACCACAATGCGATTATCAAAATCAGGACTCCAGACATTAATCAAATACTGTTAACAAATTATCAAGTGCTTTTTACACTAATGTAATGGTGTTATGGTGGAGAAGCGTTTGTCATATACCTCACCTCACTTCTCTACCTGACCAATGGGGAGCCAGCTAGTGGGGGAAGGGTGGTTGACTCTCAGGGTCTCAGATTCCACCTGCGTGTCCTCTGCAGCCTGTGTCTTGTGCTGTATCACAGGCTATTACCCTCAAGAATGCATCTTTGCCCCATGAATTATCTCCCATTCCTTCCTTGTACAAAGAGGGACTCTGCAACCCAAAAGATAGAAGTATTTATTTATCTATTTATTTATTGAGACAAGGCCTTACTCTGTCACCCAGGCTGGGGTGCAGTGGTATAATCACAGCTTACTGCAGCCTTGAACTTCTAGGCTCAAGCAATCTTCCCACCTCAGCCTGCAGAGTAGCTGAGGCTATAGGCATGAACCACCTTGTCCAGCTAATTTTGCTATTTTCTTTTTTTTTTTAGAGATGGGGTCTTGTTATGTTGCCTATACTCGTCTCAAATTCCTGGCCTCAAGTGATTCTCCTAACTTGGCCTCCCAAAATATTGGGAATACAGGTGTGAACTACTGCACTTGACCAATAGAAACACTTACGTAAGTCTTGGGGTGGGTGCCACTTTGACCAAGAAATCTGTGATGATAGGTACGATGTCCACTGACCTGAAGCAATGAGTTTTTTTTTTTTTTTTTTTTTTTTTTTTTTTTGAGACGGAGTCTCGCTCTGTCGCCCAGGCTGGAGTGCAGTGGCGGGATCTCGGCTCACTGCAAGCTCCGCCTCCCGGGTTCACGCCATTCTCCTGCCTCAGCCTCCCAAGTAGCTGGGACTACAGGCGCCCGCCACTACGCCCGGCTAATTTTTTGTATTTTTAGTAGAGACGGGGTTTCACCGTTTTTTAGCCGGGATGGTCTCAATCTCCTGACCTCGTGATCCGCCCGCCTCGGCCTCCCAAAGTGCTGGGATTACAGGCGTGAGCCACCGCGCCCGGCCGAAGCAATGAGTTTTTACTCGTCCAATGAAATATACCCACTTAAATTCATATCTCTTCCTCTTTATGTTTTCTCTATATTCTATTCTAAATTGTTCAGATTAAAATATTAAAAATATGGCCAGGTGCAGTGGGTCATGCCCGTAATCCCAGCACCTTGGGAGGCCGACACAGGCAGATCACTCGAGCCTAGGAGTTCAAGACCAGTCTGGGCAACATGGTGAAACCACATCTCTATTAAAAATACAAAAAAATTATCTGAGCATGGTGGTGCACACCTATAGTCCCAGCTACTCTGGAGGCTGAGGCACATGAATCACTTGAACTCTGGAGACAGAGGGTGCAGTCAGCCAAAATTGCACCACTGCACTCCAGCCTGGATGACGAGCAAGACTCTGTTTCAAAATTATATATATATATATATATATATATATATATATATGAAATACTAATTATCTTCATATGTTCCTCACAATAATTAAGCTCCATGAATGCAAGCACTACATTTGCTTTATTCTTAGTGTCTGTTAGCTAATCAATGCTTGTTAGATATTTATCAATTGACAAAATCAATGAATAACTAATGCAAAACCAAGTACCTAAAGAGTTTCTTTAGATTCATGCCTTGGCAGAGGACAAAAGAGAAAAGGATGAGGCTGTTGCTGAACATTATTTGGTGCTTCTCACGTTAATAAACCCAGCAGATGGGAGGTGACAAGTGTTGGAAATTGTTCCTGGCCATGGTGTGAGTCACAGGGGGCCCTGTCTATGATCCTTTACATGATTAAGAGTTTACTAAGCAGAGGATATATTGGGTTTTATAGCATAGGGGGAATAGGTGGAGAGGAAAAAGATGAGAATTGGCCCATAAAGTGAGTTTCTTCATCTGTTTATAATTCATGTCTTGGCAGCAGATGCTCCCCTGCCCTGACGTTTGGAGAAAAGACAAACGCCGAGACGAAGTGGCAAGAGCTTCTTTTCTCCTTCCCCCGTGCCTGCTGCTTAATCAATATCAAAGTCCTGCTGCCAAGAGTGATGAATGGCTCAGGGGCATCACAGGTTGGTGGCTCCTAGTGCCATGTGAGCTGGCAGCTGCCACTGCCGTACCACCTGTGACCCACATGTGTCTTTCTGAGATGGCCAAAAACAAACTTTCTCTTCAAATGTTGCTTTTTACCCAATGTTGATCAACAAAGTTAATTAGTCATTAACCTCCAGGTATTCAATTAGGTTTTTAGGCTTTATTAGATGGAGGTGCCCTAAAACTAAATTCCCTTTTTTGAAAGATAAAAGTTGCTTTATAGCCAGTGATGGACACCAGGGTGGCTGGCGCACAGGGAGGAAGAGAAAGGACCATGAGATGAAGGTGCATGAGCTGGGGTCATACCACGCAGAGCCTCTTCAACCATTCTTGAGAGACGAGAGAGAGAGAGAGAGATTTAAATTCTAAGTGTAATGAGATGGAACTGAAAGCTCTGAAGAGACAGAGTGTCATGACACAATTTAATATTTAAAAGGATCTTTCTGGCCTAGGGCAGAAAGAACATCATAGAGACATACTAGGAAATTGTGATAAACATCCAGGAAAGGGTAGATCACAGTATGTGATATGGTTTGGATCTGTGTCCCTGCCCAAATCTTATGTTAAGTTGCAATCCCCAGTGTTGGAGGAGGGGCCTGGTGGGAGGTGATTGGGTCATGAGGGTGGATTTCCTTCTTGCTGTTCTCATGATAATGAGTAAGTTCTCAGATCTGGTTGTTTAAAAGTATGTAGCCCATCCCCCTTCACTCTCTTCCTCCTTCTCTGACCATGTAAGATGTGCCTGCTTCCCCTTCACCTTCCACCATGATTGTAAGTTTCCTGAGGTCTCCGCAGTCATGCTTTCTGTACAGCCTGCAGAACTGTGAGTCAATTAAACCCCTTTTATTTATAAATTACCCAGTCTCAGGTAGTTCTTTATAGCAATATGAGAATGGACTAATTCAGTGAGGAATAGGAAGCTGGCAGTGGACATAGAGATGTGTGGACTAATTTGCAATCTATCTTTGATGATTTTAATATCTTATTATATGTAAGGGAAGATTTAAAGCCTATTTAAAGTATACAAATTAAGATACAATTATTAACTTATTGCTTTGATATCACATGACGTTACTGGGCTTTGGAAGGTGAGCAGAGGCTGCCTGGTGACCTGCCTGCTGGGTAACCCATTGGTTTTGGTGGCACACAGCTGCAGAATGAAACCTGAACATCTGCGACCCTTAACAACCTCCATACTACCATCTCAGGTCCTGCAAAGTCTGTTCCTGGAGAGATTGCTTGGAGGAGCCCCAGCACGAACCCTACTGAAGATGTCAGCCACTTACGCACTAATGGTCATGCCAAAGGTGTTTTCTTATGATGTTCCTCAGCCGTGGACCACTGGGGTGCCAGAGTAGAACTGGGGATCCCTGCAGAAACAGAGTTATAAGCACTGGCCCCTCCCCACTCTAACCACAGTCACATCTGGGGTCCCTGGCAGCCAGTTCATCTCAGTTGATGGCATCTCTGTCCTTCCAGGTCAAAGCCTCTAACTCACTTTTGCCCCATTCATTTCTATCCAATCTGTCTATCCAATCTGTCAGGAAATCCTCTTGCCACCTCCTCCAAATATACACAGATTCTGACCACTTCTCACCGCCGCCCTGCTACTCCCGGTTCTCATCCACCATGGCCTTTCCCCTGGATTCTGCAGTGCACCCATGATGGTCTCCCTGCTTCAACCCTTGACCCCTTGATGAGTCAGGGTACTCCAGAGAAGCAGCACAGATAGGACAGGCCTAGATGCATCAAAGGAGATTTATTATGGGGATTAGCTCACAGTATTATGGAGGCTGAGAAGTCCCATGATCTGTGAGCTGAAGAATGAAGAAAGCAGATGCTTTGATTTAGTCTGAGTCTGAAAGTCTGGGAACCAGGAGAGCTCTGTTGTATTCCAGAGTCCAGAAGTCTGAAGGCCCAAAAACCAGGAACTCTGACATCCCAGCGCAGGAGAAGATGGATATCCCAGCTCAAAAAGAGAGAGAAGAGAACTCACTCTTCCTCTGCTATTTTGGTTTTTTTTAGGCTTTCAAAAAATTAGATGATGTTCACCCACATTGGTGAGGGTAAATCCTCTTAACTCAGCCCACCAACTCAAATGCTAATGTCTTCCAGAAACATCCTCCAGACACACCCAGAAATAATGTTTACCAGCTATCTGGGCACCCCTGAGCCCAGTCAAGTTGACAAATGTAGTTAACATATCATCCCCCATCCCCCCATGCACACTCAAGGGTGTGGCAGCAGCCAGGGGGCCCCTCCTAGAGAGAACATGAGGCAGTGCCATCCCATTACACTCAGAGTAAAGCTCAGTGTCATTTTACAGTGAGCCCTCCGTACCCACAGGTTTTGCATCTCAAATTCAAAAACGGTATTTGCTGGATGCAAAGATTGTAAATTTGGAGAGTGGATGTGAGCATCCCCAGATGTCAGTATCTGCTGGAGTTCCTGGAAGCAAGCTCTGGTAGATCCCAAGAGACTGTACCTCTCTCTCTCTCTCTCTTTTTTTTTTTTTTTTGAGACGGAGTCTTGCTCTGTCGCCAAGGCTGGAGTGCAGTGGCGGGATCTCGGCTCCGTATCTCTTTTAATATATTTCAAAGCTACACATGATCTCCTCCCAGGCCTTTTTGAGCATCTCTCCTCCTACTCTCTTCCTGACTGTGTTCTGCCCACACTGACTTCCCGGCCTGGCCTTTCTGGGAACACACTGGGCCTGCTCCCCACTCAGGGCCTGGGCAGTGTCCATTCCCTCTGCCAGGCACATGGTCTAGCTCAACAAGTCATTGCTCAAAAGTCATATCTGGCTGGGCGCCGTGACTCACGCCTGTGATCCCAGCTCTTTGGGAGGCCAAGGTGGGTGGATCACCTGAGGTCAGGTGTCCGAGACTAGCCTGGCCAACATAGTGAAACCCCGTCTCTACTAAAAATACAAACATTAGCCAGGCATGGTGGTGGGCACCTGTAATCCCAGCTACTCAGGAGGCTGAGGCAGGAGAATCGCTTGAACATGGGAGGCGGAGGTTCAGTGAGCTGAGATCGCAACACTGCACTCACTCCACTCTGGGTGACAAGAGTGAAACTCCATCAAAAAAAAAAAAAAAAGTCACATGTCCCATGGTTTACCCTCACAGCATGGTTTAAAATTGAAGCCACAGCCCTGCCCAGCCTGCATGCATTCTCAGTCGCCTTATTCTACTCTTTCCTTTGCTCCACAGTACGCATCTCTTTATAACAAGCCACATGATTATCTTCTCCTTTATTTCTGTTCTCCCTTTCTCCAGTCCTCAGAATAGAAACCCTACAAGTAGAGGAGGCTTTGTGTGTTTGGTCCCTGCCCTCTCGGAACTAACATTGCTGGAGAGGGAGAGATCACACACACACACACACACACACACACACACACACACACATCTATCACATGTGTATCATTTACAAGATGAGTAGAAATGATGGGATGTTTTTCTGGGGTTTAAGGCATATTATTTTCAACAGGATGGTTAGAGAAGATGCCACTGGGAGGGGACATTTGAGCAGATGCCTGCAGTTAAAGGGGAGGCTCTTTCAGATGTGAGGGAAGAACATTTCTGGCAGAGGCAACAGCAGGTGTGAGACGGGAACTTGTGCTGTCACAGTTATCGGTAGTGCCCTGCCCCACAGCTGCTGAGCCCACTTTCAAATCCATCCAGAGCTGTGGAGTTTCGATTCCATCCAGAGCCATGGAGGGCAGTTTCTTTGCACTCTGGAAGCTTCCTGGATCCTTGTACATCTTTGCCTGGGAGCTTTCTCCAGCCTTGCAGAAGATGCTCAGCCTGGTGCAAGATAGCTTGGAAATGCTGCCAAAAGCAACTCTCAGCCAAAGGGAGGGACGAGTCCTGGACAGACAGCCCAGTGTCTCTGTCCCACAGAGCATCTTTTCTGAGGCACATCATGCATCATTCCTTAGAAGGTTCCCAGTGGAATGTGGGCCCCAGCGACATAGGAGCAGACACCCTTTGACACATACCTGTTGACTTCCTCTTTCCCCCATCTCACTTCCCCCATTCTCTCACTTGTGATTTCTTGGGTCCACTTTCACCTCAACCTAAGTCCCTGTATCAGTGTCTGCTTTGGGAAGAATTCCAACTAAGACATATGCTAAGAATGAAGTAGCAACAACTGACTGCTCACCACAGATTGGAAAACAAAATAGAGTTGCCTAATCTCTTCTTTTCCGCTTGCCCTGGCTGGTGGTGGGGGGAGCTGCATTTGGGCAGAAAGGACCCAGAGACCAGACCCCTGGGGACAGGACAGGAACCAAGGGAGTCCCCGCAGGAGGAGTTGAGGGGCAGTGCCAGCCAGTGGGTGTCTATATGGTCCCTGTGTGGCATCAGAGCCTTGATGTTCAGACTGAGGTTCAGACCTGGGAGGAGAGAATGAGGGTCTGAGAAGAAGCCTAGACCTCGGGAAGCTGAAAGGGCAGGCAAGGAGCCCCTGCTCAAAGATGGTTGGAGGACCAGAGGATGGGGCTTGGCTGCAGGAAACAAGGCAGACATTCATTACGGGCACCATGGTGCAAAGTCAGAGATTCCCTCATTAACCTATTGATCTGATGCAAATGCATCCAACTCATCTAAAGCATGGGGCTAACAGTGTACTTTGCAAATTCTGGATACATATTTGCTAGGTGAATATGTAACTGTAGAGCAGCCAGGACAAGCCGCATTCAATGCTTTGCAGTGGTTGAAAGTGCAATTTATCATCTCATCACTCCACTCTTTTTATCTTTTTTTTTTCCAGAACTAGCAATAGCCAAGTCTCTGGTAATGCAAATTGGTATTAACTTTTTATTTCCTCAATATATCAGAAATTTAAGTAACTGCCATTCTTGTGTATTTATGCAGGGGCTTAGGTGCATGTATTATTCATCTGGAGATTTCTCTCT
This sequence comes from Homo sapiens, assembly GCF_000001405.40. NCBI lineage: Eukaryota > Metazoa > Chordata > Mammalia > Primates > Hominidae > Homo > Homo sapiens. Next base: position 127,169,897 of record NC_000012.12, on the reverse strand, counting down.
GTGTTCACGTGTCTACAGCTCCACATTCCTAAATGGAATTCAATGGAAGACAACTTAAGATCCATGCCTGCCCACAGGAATTTCACTAGTGTCAGCTTTTTTTTTTTTGAGATGGAGTTTCGCTCTTGTTGCCCAGACTGCAGTGTAATGGCACAATCTCAGCTCACCGCAACATCCGCCTCCCCGGTTCAAGCAATTCTCCTGCCTCAGCTTCCCAAGTAGCTGGGATTACAGGCATGCGCCATCACACCCTGCTAATTTTGCATTTTTAGTACAGACGGGGTTTCTCCATGTTGGTCAGGCTGGTCTTGAACTCACCACCTCATGTGATCCGCCCGCCTCGGCCTCCCAAAGTGCTGGGGAGATTCAGCGCTTTAAACATCCTCATTGACTGATGTTTGGCTCTCTGTGGAATAGTGTGCACGTGTTTGTGCAGGTGTGGGTGGAGGCTGAGTTACTCTGACCTTCTCATGCAGATATGCCCTTGTTCTCGGAGCAGGAAACGCCCATGGAAATTGAAGAAGCATTATCATCTCATGTGCTTTCCTCTCTCCTGCTCCCACTACTCACCAACTGAATGTAGGATGAGGAAGGCGTGAAAGTGTTAGAAAAACATTGTTTGGTTAAAAAGATCTTGACATCTGAAGGGGTATATCAACTTCAACTTCCATCTCCTGAGATGGTACCAAAAAAAAGATGGAACACAACTATTAAAACAAAGAACTTCAGATGGTTGCTTTTTACTGAAGTTGTCAGGAAATATAGCACTATCCAGACCATATTTCTTACTACCATATTTGTGACTGTTCCTAAAATTTCCACCAACACAGTCCCCCTTATGTTCCCAAAAAGCTCCCATTAAAATGGAAACTGACATCTGAATTTGGTCAATCTGCTAACAATTATTGAACATATTATTTCAAATCAGTTTTTCCATTATGGAGCTTTTATCTTGGAAATGACAGAGAGGGGTATTGAGGAAGTGACACACTGAATGGATATGTTTTGATGTGGAAAGGGGCAAAAAAAAAAAAAAAGAAATCCAAAGTATCTGAAGTCGTTTCTTTTGAAGTTTTCATTATTTTGACTTTCTAGTAAAGTTTTCCTTGGTTAATATTAAAGTATGCATGTTCATACACAGCATTTTAGAAATAAAGGGAGGCAGACTGGTACTGGAGGGACATTGCCTGAGATTTCTTCTGTTTAAAGCGATGAATCCTAACATATGACTGAAACTCGGAGTGTCTGCCATTGTGGTGGGCAGAACCTACCACTTCTGTTTCCACATTAGACTAAATATTGCACAGAACACAGTGGCAATGAGAGTGCTATCTTGCAAACATAGCTAAGATTGGAATTTTGGCTTTCCCTGTGGAAGAACTCTGTGTGTGACTATGTTTTTATATTTGAAAACGAGGAAAGAAATCTCTTTCATCTGATGATGAATTTTGTTTCTTACATGGGCCTTCAGCAAAGTTCAAAAACTGTGAGATGTCCTTCATGGAGCAACTGCTGGAATGCGCTTCATAGCAGCTGTTAAGATAAATAATTCACTGTTAATAGGTTCCAGGGGCATTCCTGAAACTGCCCACCAAGTTGGGTAATGGCATAATGGCGCAAAGCAAAGAGAAAATATGATTATTTATTCCCATTCACCCTTGCTGGTTATAATAAAAAAGAGACTCAGGCTCTATTTCCTAATCTTGTGTGTGTGTATGTGTGTGTGTGTGTGTGTGTGTGTGTGTTTAGATGGAGTCTCACTCTGTCACTCTGGCTAAAGTTCAGTGGCATGATCTCGGCTCAGTGCAACCTCTGCCTCCCGGGGTCAAGTGATGCTCATGCCTCAGCCTCCCGAGTAGCTGGGATTACAGGCGCCTGCCACCACACCCAGCTAATTTTTTATTTTTAGTAGAGACAGGTTTTCACCATGTTGGCCAGGCTGGTCTTGAACTCCTGACCTCACGTGATCTGCCACCTAACCTGGCTCTATTTCCTAATCTATAAGTCAATCATGACTGATGTACAGAGGAACAATATATCTTTGCAGCCTTAATTCTTTGGTAGAAGATAGTACCATTTTGGTTTTACAAGAAATCTATCCTTCTGTACTCAAGGTTCATTTCATTTTTAAAAATTGGCATCTCTACTGTCTAAATCACCCAATCTGAGGCTCAGTCATGCCATTTAAGATCCACAGCCGATTATGGAGTGGGGCAGAGAGAAAGTAGGAAGAAAACACATTAGATGCAGGTTTCTAACTGACCCACAGCCACAGATAAATGTATTTGTTAATATTTTGAAAGAGTTATACTTGCATGCACCTATCAGAAATAAGAATCTTTTTAATGGAAGCATTTAAAGTATAATACATTGTACATTTTTTTTTCCATTTGTCAATAAATTAAGATGGCTGAGCATGTGGGCTTGGACTGGGTCTCTCCCAGCCTCTGAGAGATGATGCCAAACCCCATCTCTGGATGTCTCTCCCCTTCCTTCTTCCACCCTATCCCACATTGGGCTGCATAATTCAACAGGGGCCTCCACTGACATTATCTCACAACAGAGTTATTGCAAGACCACTCATTTATTATAGGGCAACTCTTTGCTGCCTGTCACTTCCCTTAGGTTTCAACGTCAGTCAATGCAGGCACCATACCTGCTTTCCTGAGTGCCTCCTGCTATGTAGCAAGGGTCTAACCCTCACCATATATTTGAAAGTAAATTTGTGAGGTCAAACATAATTACATTTGCCTGGCATGGTGGCTCACACCTGTAATCCCAGCCCTTTGGGAGGCCGAGCCAGGCGGATCACTTGAGGTCAGGAGTTCAAGACCAGCCTGGCCAACGTGGTGAAACCCCATCTCTACTAAAAATACAAAAAATTAGTCAGGCATGGTGGCGGGTGCCTGTAATCCCAGCTACTTGGGAGGCTGAGGCAGGAGAATCGCTTGAATCCAGGAGGCTGAGGTTGCAGTGAGCTGAGACTGTGCCACTGCACTCCTGCCTAGATAACAGAGTGAGATCCTGTCTCAAACCAAACAAACAACAAACAAAATTCTCCAGGTGTGGTGGTGGGTGCCTGTAGTCCCAGCTCTTCAGGAGGCTGAGGTGAGTGGATTGCTTGAGCCGGGAGAAGGAGTTTACAGTGAGCCTAGATCACACCGCTGCACTCCAGCCTGGGTGACAGAGGGAGACTCCGTCTCAAAAAACAAAACCAAACAAAAAAAGATAATTGGAAGCTTTGACATGGTTGTATCTTAGAATATGTGCAAATAAAAATGCAAATAAAAAATGTGTACCAACTCACTGAGGCATTTTGTTGAGGTGATGTATCATTTTCCTCATTGCCAGCAGGTGACACAAGAAGAGTTTAAAACAACAGCGGCTTTTAATTGCTTACAGAGCTTTCTCAATTAAAAGTCTAGTGTTGTGACTGCTTAAAAAATCAGATCCCATTGGCTGAGGAGCCAATGGGGCGAAGCTACCATCTGTGGGATTATGACTGAACGCCTCTTAAGTCAGAATCCCGCCCAGGCGGAACGATACGGCAGCCCCGCGGCGCCTCGGTTGGCCTCGGTCGGCCTCGGATGGCCTCGGTCGGCCTCGGTCGGCCTCGGTCGGCCTCGGTCGGCCTCGGATGGCCTCGGTCGGCCTCGGTCGGCCTCGGTCGGCCTCGGATGGCCTCGGTTGGCCTCGGTCGGCTCGGTTGGCCTCGGATGGCCTCGGATACCTCGGATAGCCGGTCCCCGCCGGCGGGCCGCCCCGCCCCGCGCTGGGACCAGGGTCCGGTGCGGAGTGCCCTTTGTCCTGGGAAACGGGGCGCGGCCGGAAAGGCGGCCGCCCTCTCGCCCGTCACGCAACGCACGTTCGTGGGGAACCTGGCGCTAAACCATTCGTAGACGACTTGCTTCTGGGTCGGGGTTTCGTACGTAGCAGAGCAGCTCCCTCGCTGCGATCTATTGAAAGTCAGATCTCCACACAAGGGTTTGTAAAAAAATAATAATAATAATAAAAATAAAAAATAAAAAATAAAAAAACCATCAGATCCCCATGGCTGACAGATGCTTTAAAGGTAGTGACCCCATCCCTCCAGGCTCAGCTGCTTCCTCCACTTTCTCCTCCTCCAGGAAGCCTTCCCTGACCACAGCAGACCATGATGGTCTTTCCCTTCTCTCACTTCCACGCTCTGACCCCACAGTTGGGGTAAGCACCAGTTTATCCCAAAGCTAAGGAGCTCCGGGGCCTCTACGGAAAATAGAAAAGTTTCTTAACGTTACCCTAATAAGTTGTAACAAATGTAGTGGCTAAAAACAATATAAATTTATTATATGACAGTTCTTTTTTTTTTTTCTTGATATAGAGTCTCACTCTGTTACCCAAACTGGAGTGCAATGGCACGATCTCGGTTCACTGAAACCTCCGCCTCCCAGATTCAAGCAATTCTCCCACCTCAGCCTCCCGAGTAGCTGGGATTACAGACACCTGCCATCATACCTGGCTAATTTTTGTATTTTTGTAGAGACGGGGTTTCACCATGTTGGCCAGGCTGGTCTTGAACTCCTGACCTCAAGTGATCTGTCCGCCTTGGCCTCTCAAAGTGCTGGGATTACAGGTGTGAGCCATCGCGCCTGGCCAATATTACAGTTCTGAAAGTCAAAATGGTAACATGGTAATCTAGTAAGCTCAAAACGTTACTCGTGTTGGCTATGTTTTGTGTGTTACAAAGCATTGCCAGTATCTTTTTTTTTTAATCCTCAGATGGTCACTTCTTTATCCAGAGGGATGGCCTGTATAAAGGGATGGTCAGATCCCTGTATCTTTTTTGACTAAATTGCATTAATAGTTGACAATGTCCTTGCTTTCAATCATAACAAGATATACAGGTTCATTTTGTACCTTTTCAGACCAATATTTGGAATCAGCCATTTCCTTTTGGGGCTCTGGTTCTCTTTACTGGTCAATAGCATTTAGAGATCACAGTCTGGGTCCTGGGAGTAGCCATCTCTTCCTTAGTGCACCAATGTCTTGATTACTATCAATTAATAGTAAGTCTTAAAATTGGGTATGGCTTCTTCCAACTACTTTTTTGATTTTCGACATTGTTTTGGTCTTCTAATTCATTTTGTTTTCCATATATATTATAGAATTAGCATATCTATAACTATAAAAATCCTGGTGGGATTTTAAGTAGTATTGCATTAAATTTAAAGATCCATTTGGGGAAAAGTAACATCTTTACTATGTTGACATGAATTAGTTCTCATTTTATGTAGGTAGTCACTGATTCTGTTATCAGCATTTGTAATTTCCAACATACCAACCTTTACATGTCTTGTTAAATCTATATCAATGTATTTCACTTTAGGGGAGCTATTCTACATAGCAGTGGGGTGTGTGTGTGTTTTAATTTGAGTTTCTAATTATACACTGGTAAGATATAGAAATTTGGTAGATTTGGGGGTTAACCTTGTATTCTGAGACCTTGCTAAATTCACGCATTAATTCTAGAAGGTTTTTGGAGATTACTTAGGATTTTCAGGCTTCTCATTAACCTCAGGAGGCTGCTCCACAATGACATTGCTTGTCCTGACCTCTGAGCCAGACTTACTAGGCATTGCCTTTCCGGAAGATTGTTGGCTGTCATGGCAAAGAGAGACAAACGAGTAAGATGAAGCATGCAGGCCTCTAATATCTTACACCTGGAAGTGACCCACATGATTTCTGCTCACATTTAATTGGCCAAAACAAGACACATGACCACTTCTCAGTCAATAATTTTGTGAAGTGCTCTCTTACGTGTATGCCTGGAGAGAGACAGAAAACAACATATTTTCCAAGCACCCTAGTATGGTACAACAGAAGATGTTCAAATCTGTTAGGATTCCTTTCTGTAACATGGGCCAATCCTGGGAAATTAAAGGCCTTCGTGCTCTGGTTTTCTGTGAGGTGCAGAGAATATCTTAATATTGCATCTTTAATTGACTGAAATGGTAGAAGTGTGTGTTTTAAGGTAGTGGTTGTCAAACTTGCAGAGCTTTGTAAAAAAAAAAAATGAACTCCCCAGGTGACTACTGCTAGATCTTCAGACCTCTAAATCTGGGATAGGACTCAGGAATCTTTGTTTTAGAAAGCTCCTTAAGTGTTTTCATTATTAGAGCTGGGAACCACTCCATGAGGGATAGAAAGAGACCTGGGCCCCAGGTGGTAATGAAGTGAGCTGACCTGCTTGCCAGACCCCAGTGACTTCCTCTTCAGGAGAAGCCCTGTCTCTTCCTGTAGGTGACTCTCAGGCTGTCTCAGGGTCTCTCCCTGTTCCCCTCACTAACAGCAGCATTGGGGTAAACAGAAGAGGTGGATGTTTGCAGGATTCCAATGCCAGGAAACATTTTCTGCCGGATGTCTGTATCTCAATATTTCCCTCAGACACAAGCACATTGAAGTAAAGGGCATACAAAACCTCTTCAAAATTATGGTATGTTAAGGCAGAAAGAGACTAAAAGGTAGATTCATAACTATCTGCCTTCCTTTTTTTGCAGCTACCTTGATGCTGAACATCCCCTGAAGCAACAGGACTGCATGAGCTTGGTGTGGCTGAGCCCATGTCCTAATGAACATCCAGAAAAGAAAGACACTCAGAAAGCCAGGAAAATGGAAGAATTTTTTTTTTCAGCCAGCCAGGCACCTGACAGTAATCAAAATCTGTAAAGAACAGGATGTGGAGCCTCCTCTGCTTGTTCAGCACGAACATTTTGTGGTGGGTGCTGCAAAGATGACTCAGACACAGTCTCCACCCCAGGTCACTCATAGTCTAGTGCAGTACACCAAAGCTGTGAAAGCTAAAGGGCAGACCATTGGCCCATCCAGGGAGAGTGGTAGAAGAGGGAGCATTTATTTGAATAGCTGTGATGCTACCAGTCTGAAAAAAGGGGAAGGTATCTTGAGAATAAGAAGCAAGTTTTCAAAACACAGAGGCAGAATGGATAGAATGGGGTGAACACAGTAAGGTGCAGAGTGTGTGATGAGCGTACTTGTCAGGTCTCAGATGAAAGTGACCAAGACCTAGCTCCACTGTGATGAAGCCTGTAAAGAAAGACATACATGAACACACAAATAAGGCAATGCATTTTCTTACGCAGCTGAAAGGTACAAGAGAGGACCAGGTTATCAAAAATGTCTTCAGGTAATGGAATTTTCATATTTGGTTCTATTTTATTCTGTAATTTTCAGGTAGATGCTTCCCAAATAACACAAGATAAACACCGGCAGCTCCAAGCTATTCATCTATCAGCAGAGAAAACTGATGGAAGGAAGGACAACTTCCCTCAGTATTCTCAGCAAAGCCCCAGGAACAGATCTCATTGGCCATCAGGCCTGCCCTTTAAATACTCTCTAAGAGGTGTGACGCCCTGATTGGTCAGGCCTGGGTTAGGTGACTTCCCTGCATCCTGAGGTTGAAGTCAGCCCCATATGAAGGAGATGCATGGAGCTGCAGGGATGGAGGGTGACAAGGGAGAAGGTGAATCTACAAAAAAAAAAAAAAAAAAAAAATCAAGTGCTAATTTCAAAAGGGGGATTAATTGTGGTAAGAGAGAGAATAGAAACAAAACAAAAACAGCAAGTCACAGTTGCCTACTGCAAGCAGGCAGTCACTAAGTAGTTTTTTGCTATCTTGTGTTTATATGCAATGAAATTTTTCCCAATGTGAGGCATTGAGTCAGATAGAAATCTGCAGAAATGCGTGTTCTAGAGAGAAAAAGTAGGATGAATGCAGGGCAGGTAAATAGTTCTGCACAGTGCATGTGTGTTTGTTTTCATTTTGTTTTATTTTACTCTGCTTTGTTTTCTCTGTAATGAAAATAAAATGTTGAAGCATTCACAGAAACAATGATGCCTTCTTGGAGGAGAACACTAGCTGGCTCAGAAAACTGTTTCATTACCCACCCATTGTTTACAACATTGTAAGTGTAGAAGAGGTGCAGAAAATATAAGGGTGCCCTTAAAATACCATTTGAAAGATTTTGTAATGTTTATAAATGGTATACCAATGTTTCACTGCTGAGGACTCAACTCCACATTTTAAGAGAAAAAAAAGTGATAAATACTGGGTGTCTTGGCCCATTGGTTTGTTTATCTGTTTGTGGAAAGGCTGATATAACCACCCAACCTGTTCTTCCTGCCTGCTGCACAAACAAAATCAATTCACAGCACAGCATTGCAGCAAAGAAAATGTAATTGACATGAGGCCAGCCATGCCACATGGGAGAGAGTTATTACTTAAATCAATCTCATCAAAGGCTGGTAGACTGGGGGTTTTTCAAAGCTCATTTTGAGGCAGGAAAATAGGGTCTGGAGGCAGGGAGCATAAGGCTGATTCACACTTCAGCTATAACAGGAAATATCCTCTCCGTAGGGTGTATGCGGTAAATGACTTTGTAACTTTACTTCCTCCTCCCCATTTATATAGGGTGTACCCAAAGCAACCAATGGAACAAAGAATTGGACAAAACGCACAAACAAAGCAAGAAGGAATGAAGGGTTTTATTGAAAATGAAAGTACACTCCACAGTGTGGGAGTGGGCCTGAGCAGAGGGGCTCAAAGGCCCCATTGTAGAATTTTGGGGAGTTTAAATATCCCCAAGAACCTGAACAACCTCTGCCGTTAACATATTTTGGTGACCCGGGAAGGAGGAAGAGGTAAGCCCAAAATTTGGGATTTATTCTTCTCCTTTCTCCTTTTCTTTTCTGCTCCATACAGGGGAATCTCTTTCTCTCTCCTTTCCTTTCCAACCCGGGACCCTTGGTGGGCAGCGTCTAAACATGGAAGCAACTTCAAATTTCTGGCCATGGTCAGTGAAACTAAGGGGTTTCCATGTGGAGAAGCCTGACCCCCACCACCCGGTTCACTTAAGGAATGTGGATCTCTTTCATTTTTTTTCCACTTTCATTTTCAGTCTTTCAATGGCTGTCTCCTAGTACTTCCTTGGAAATTGAGGGCAATTGGCTGGGGTCACTCCCTGGTATTGCCCGAAGGCCTAAGAATGAATGGGAATAATTGGCCTGCCCCGAAGGGGGAAGGCTCTTTTTAATGTATTTTCGGTGTGTGGTCCCTGATCCCTATATGTGGCACAGCTCAGAGCAAACCCGCACATGTTTCAGGTGACTTAAACCTTCTTTTCCTATGCTAAATTCTTCCCTTCCCCTATTCAACTGGCTAAGGGTGAAGGAAACCCACCCAGCCTCCAGTTCCTATCATTAAAGTTCATGGAATGAGAAGCATGGAAAAGCGTCTCTAATTATAAGGCCTTATCAAATTATAAGGATGCTAAAATTTGGGGATTACACCCAGGTACCAAAGGAAAGCTCATAGTAGGCTCTGGAGGGAATGCTTGCAAAGTGGCACCAGTGCCCACCTAAGGCCAGAGACCTCTGGAGCGCTAAGATTAGACCCCACAAGTGGACACTCCTGGGGATCCTCCAGACCTCAAACTCTCCAAAGAGGATGCTCCTGGCAGAGGTTCTGAGATCTAGTAATAAGACCTCTTTGGAATTTTCTCTCACAGTTGCAATGCTGCTTGGCCCCAAAATTGCTTAGAATCTGAAGTTTGCTGTCGAATTGGAAAGTGGGATGGCATTGCATGTATTCAGGCTTTTGTGCTGCTGTTCTAAGCAGGGAGCCTGGTTAACGTGTGACGCCCTCCTTTGGTACTGTTTGGCCCCAGTGCTCCTTGGAGTCTGGGGAGGTTTAGCCTTTAAAAATCAAACTGCCATGGAGACTGATTTACCCAAAATTTTGGTTCTCAGCCTTCCTTGGATTATCTATTGGGGCAAAGTAAAACTGGCAAGCTTGTATTGCTATCTCACGGCCAAGGTTCCAAGCTATTGGATCTTCGTTTATGTGTGTGTATACATGTCTAGATGTGATTATTTGTATATACACTTATTGTTATATATTGTGTCTTCCAAATTGGTTATAAGTAAAAGAATGCTCATAAATTAAGTAAATAAGTCTGAGCAATTTTCAAGTTCACATGACTTAAGTATAACTTTATTAAACAAACTGGCTTTACAATTATTGGTGGAATAAAAAGAGAAATGCCATCAGAATTGTCAGCATACATTTTGTCTGAATTTTATGTTTGTCTTTGCTAGATATTTAAAAATGTTAGTGTTAGTCCAAGCTGGGAGCTGCTAGGGGCGAGCCTGCCTCCCATTCTATTCAAAGTGTCACTGAGATAAATGCATATATGATTGCTTTCTTTGGAAAGGCTAATCAGAAAGTCAAAGGAATGCAACCATTTGTCTCCCACCCATGATCTGAAAGCCCCAAGCCCCCTCCTCTCCTTGAGTTGTCCCACCTTTCTGGGCCAAACCAACGTTCATTTGACATATGTTGATTGACATCTCCCTTGTTAAAAATAAAAAATTGAGTACAGTGAAGAGGATAATTATTTTAAGTAAACTTTTTGTGTAAATTAAAATCTTAAAGTTATTTTTAATGCTCATTTGATATCTGGGTCATTTCCAATTAAAAATGGGTAGTAATATGGAGAAGCATGTTGCTAAAATTGTGGAATTATTCCTGTCTATAAATGCCCATATCTAATAGTTCAGGGTTTGCTTTTTAGGGTTTCACTAAAGTTTTAGGTTACTAAATATAAAATTCTAGTTAGCACATAATTCTGTATACAAAATGTGCCAGAAAGGCTTATTGGTGGAAAAAAGAATAATTTTGTCTAATTCTGAAGTTGTATAAAAGTTAGTTCAAATTACAGATTTGAAAAGGTTATTTATGAATCAGTGTAGTAAGGAATCATTAAGTAGGGGAGAAAGGAGTGGAAAAAGTTTAAATAATAAAATATTCCTCAAAACATGATAAAGAATTGGAAACATTTGGCTAATTAACATTTTCATAGTTAAAACTCTTAGTGTTGATTAAGGTAAGAAGTATTGTAAAAATGCATCGGCAGTTTCGCAATTCTTTTTTTACTATAGTTAAGCATGAAGCTGAATTTAGCGTAAAACCAATGTTCACACACATGCTTGCATCACTTCACTCTGTTCACCATTTTCCGTGAATAGTGCTGGAGCACTTATTGGTCATCTGCCTGAAGTGGATTTCTTGATTGCACAGAATGTCTAATGATATTGGTGAACTTAAGGATATTGAATTGTATATCAGGAATAAAATGTTCATTATATGGGTTTTGGGGGGCCCTAGGTAACACTGTAGTTTCCAGGGTAAGTTGAGTATGAAAATTTAGGTTTGTTTTTTGGTTTATTTGTTTTCTCTTCTAGTTTTCATTGGTTTGCTGTTATTCTCCTTTGGTTTGCTTGTGTGTCTCTCTATATAATATAAACCCATGCTAGTGGAAGGCTTTTATTTGGTTCTGTGAATAGTTATTTTGTTTCCTATGCATTTCTAGCAAGTGGTCATTCATTCCATTTATCTGGAATTCCTAAAGCTACCTTTGTTGGGCTACAGGAATTAATGGAATACACCAGGTTTTTATCTTTAAACAAACTTTGGATTTTAGGTTTCCTGATACTTGAAGTGTGTTGAGTGTACTCTCACAAATAGAATTTGAGTCATATTTATCTCTCTCTCTGCCTAGTTTCTTCAAAATTTGTAAAGTGTTTGTGAATATTCTTGATTCATGGCAATGTGTTTGTTTGTATACAGTCAGGCAGGGTCACCAGGGGTGCTCAGGGAGAGAGAACCCAGAAACCCGGCATGCAGGCAGAAGGGTAAGAATTTCTTACATCAGTCTCTGGTCTCTTTCTCTCTGTGCAAACTGGTTAATCGCCACTGTTAAGTTTTAAATTAATTGTGTCACGCGAGTCCGTGTTAAGAGAGTCCACCAACAGGCTTTGTGTGAGCAACAAGGCTGTTTATTTCACTTGGGTGCAAGTGGGCTGAGTCTGAAAAGAGAGTCAGCAAAGGGAGATAGGAGAGGGGCCGCTTTATAGGACTGGGGTAAGCAGTGGAAAGTTACAGTTAGAGGTGGTTATCTGTTGTCAGCAGAGGAGGGGGTCACAAGGTGCATGGTGGGGAGATCATAAGACTCATTGTCCAGAAGAAGAATGTCATGAGGTCGATCAATCAGTTGGGGCAGGGCAGGAACAAGTTATAATGGAATGTCATAAGGCTGGTCAATCAGTTAAGACAGGAGCTGGCTGTTTCACTTTTTTTGTAGTTTTGGGTTGCCTCAGACTTCTTGGCTCCTGCAGGCCATCTGGACATATATGTGCAGGTCACAGGGGTTACAATGGCTGAGCTTCAGCTCAGAGGCCTGACATTCCTGTCTTTTTACTTATAAAATATAAAGTTATAAGAAAAGATAAAGAAATATAAGTTTTACTGGGGATTATTAGGGTAGGGGTGATGTTTCTCGGGACTGCTTCAAGCATGACCAGGGACTGCATGGACACCTTAAAGAAAATTTTATAATGAGTTACAAGGCATAGGAATTTAGGTAGTGGGGAGATCTTGGGGCAGAGGATGGTACTGTGGGGTTGTTAAAAGTAGCATTTGTCTTATAGAATGATTGGTGATGGTCGGAATGCGGTTTTGTATAAATTGAGAAACCAAACTGAAGACACAAGGCCCAAATAACAGAAGGAAAAAAAACAGGTATTAAAGGACTAAGAATTGGGAGGACCCAGGACATCCAATTAAAGAGTGCCCAAAGGGGTTCAAAGTAATTATTTACTTGATTGGCGAGTTTTTGGGCTCTATCCTTGAGTTTTTTTTTATGTTGTCATATACCAGGCCAGATTGATTTAGGTAAAAACAACACTCTTCATTTAAAAATATACAGAGTCCTCCTTTTTCAGCAGTGAGTAAGTCGAGGCCTATTCCTGTCTTCTTATATTAATAATAAGAAAAACAAAACAAAATAGTAGTGAAGTGTTGGTGTCATGAGGGGAACAGGAAGCTGTTCGGTCCTGTTTGCGAATTGATTTTTGGGGGTAAGGAAAACTCGTGTACATGTGCCTGTGCAATTGATAGGTAGACACATGTAGGTGGAGAAGCCACAGAGGAAGAAGAGACTTTTCTAAGGCAAAACTGGAAATGTAAAGTGAAAAGATGAGAGGGAGCAGCAAAAGAGGTGTCTTGCACCCAGACTCTTAGGGATTTAGCAAGCGCAGCAGCCGTTAGAGGTTGTAATGGGGATTGATGAGGCAACTGGATAAAGGGGGAGATTTGATTTTTATGGTGTATGAGAAAGCGCACAGTGTCTGTAAGCAACCTTTCATTGCTATTCATGGGGCTGGGTATAAGTAAACAAGAAAGGGGGCTGGGAGGACAGTCTGAAGAACAAGAGGAAGGTAGCCAAGGATGGAGTGAAATGCAGGGCAAATGTCTTAAAGGAAATGAGAGGTTCTAAGTGGTGGACTAGTGGCTTGTAACCCACGTGGAAGAGGTTATGAAAGGATGATAGAATGGAATGAGCCTGTCAGGCTGGAAGGAGGAATTTTCAGTTGGAGAGTAAGTAGGAGTGACTGACGAGAAGGTGAAAAACTGGCCATGAGGGACAGAAGTAGGAATACTGGCTGCTTCTTTAGCCGTCTTATCAGCATAAGTGTTACCTTGAGCAGTGGGGTCTGAGGCCCTTTGATTGCCTTTGCAGTGAAGGACTCCAGCTTCCTTTGGAAGTAAAGCGGCCTTGAGAAGAGTTTTTATTAAAGAGGAATTAATGATAGAGGACCCTTGTGTAGTGAGAAAACCTCTTTCTGTCCACATAACAGCATGGTGGTGCAGGATATGGAAGGCATGTTGAGAGTCAGTATAAATATTGACACACAGTCCTTTTGCAAGAGTGAGGGCTCGAGTTAAGGCAATGAGTTCAGCTTGCTGAGAGGTAGTGGAGGGGGATAAAGTGGTAGCCTCAATGATAGATGTGGAAGATACTATAGCATAGCCTGCCTTTGCTGGTGAGTGCAATTAGGCCTGGTGGAACTGCCATCAATAAACCAAGTGTGATCAGGGTGAGGAACAGGAAAGAAGGAAATACGGGGAAATGAAGTGAATGTCAGGTGGATCAGAGACATACAGTCATGGGGGTCAGGTGTGGTATCAAGAATAATGTGGGGGCCAGCCTAAAACAGTAAGGTCAAGTTGTTTGGACAGAAAGGCTACAGGGTGCAGTCCCAGCTCTTGTGTAAGAATTCTGACCACACAGCCCTGCACTTCAGCTGTGTGTAATAAAAAGGGTTGGGATAAGTTAGGGAGAGCTAGTGTGGGAGTAGTTCTAGTGCTGTTTTTAAGGAATGGACAGAGGAGTGGGGAAAGGATTTAGGATCCATGGGGTCAGCTAGGTTTTCTTTTGTGAGTTTATATAATGGTTTAGTCAGGATGGAAAAACCGGATATCCAAAGGCAAAAGTACCTAAATGTGCCTAGGAAGGAAAGGAGTTGTTGCTTTGTAGAAGGGGTTGGGGTTTGGGAGATTAGCCAGACATGATCAGCAGGGAGAGCACGTGTGTTTTTATGAAGAATTATGCTGAGATACGTAATGGACGAGGAAGAAATTTGGGCTTTGGAGGGGGATACGTGATATCCCTTTGTGAATAGATGTTGGAGGAGCAGGAGAGTGTCTTGTTGGGAAGATATGTAGGAGGGGCTATAAAGTAGAAGGTCGTGAAAATATCGAATAAGACGAGAAGCAGATGGGCAGAAAGAAAGTAAATCATGAGAAAGGGTTTGACTGAAGTAATGGGGGCTGCCCCTGAAGCCTTGTGGCAGTACAGCCCAGGTAAGTTGCTGAGACTGATGGGTGTCAGAGTCAGTCCAAGTGAAAGCGAAGAGAGCCTAGAATGAAGGGTGCAAAGGAACAGTAAAGGAAGCATGTTTGAGATCCATAACAGAATAATGGGTTGTGGAGGGAGGCATTGAGAATAGGAGAGTATATGGGTTTGGCACCACTGGGTGGATAGGCAAGGCAATTTGGTTGATAAGGCACAGATCCTGGACCAGCCTGTAAGACTTGTCTGGTTTTTGGACAAGTAGGATAGGAGAGTTGTAAGGAGAGTTTGTAGGCTTTAAGAGGCCATGTTGTAACAGGTGGGTGATAACAGGCTTTGACCTTTTTAAAGCCTGCTGTGAGATGGCATATTGGCACTGAGCAGGGTAAGGGTGATTAGGTTTTAGTGGGATGATAAGGGGTGCATGATCGGTTGCCAAGGAGGGCGTAGAGGTATCCCATACTTGTGGATTAAGGTAGGGAGACATAAGGGGGGGATGTGAAGGAGGCTTTGAACTGGGGAAAAGGGTGGCAGTGAGGTTTGGCTGTAGCCCAGGAATAGTCAGGGAAGCGGATAATTTAGTTAAAATGTCTCGACCTAATAAGGGAACTGGGCAGGTGGGGATAACTAAAAAGGAGTGCAAAAAAGAATGTTGTCCAAGTTGGCACCAAAGTTGGGGAGTTTTAAGAGGTTTTGAAGCTTCACTGTCAATACCACAACAGTTATGGGGACAAGGGAAACAGGCCCTTGAAAAGAAGGTAATGTGGAGTGGGTAGCCTCCATATCGATTAAACAGGGGATGGACTTACCCTCCACTGTGAGAGTTTCCCGAGGCTCGGCGTCTGTGATGGTCCAGGGGGCTTCCAAGGTGATCGGGCAGTGTTAGTCTTCAGCCACTAAGCCGAGCAGATCTGGGAAGGAGTCGGTCAGAGAGCCTCGGGCCAGAGCTTTAGGGGCTCTAGGAGTGGCTGCCGGGCGAGCTGGGCAGTCGGATTTCCAGTGGGTCCCTGCACAGATGGGACAGGGCTTGCGGGGGAATCATGGGCAGTGGGCATTCCTTGGCCCAGTGGCCAGATTTCTGGCACTTGAAGCAAGATCCTGATGGAGGAGGTCCCGTAGAAATGCCTGACCACTGCGGCTTAGGCGTTTTGAAGTTCTTGGGTGCTGGAGGTCTGGCTGGGTTTTGTCTCAGAACAGAGGCAAGTAACTGTAACTCAGAAATGTGTTGTCACTTGGCTGCCTCCTCTCTATTATTGTACACCTTGAAGGCGAAGTTGATTAATTCCTGTTGTGGGGTTTGAGGGCCAGATTCCAGTTTTTGAAGCTTTTTTCTAATGTCAAGAGCTGACTGGGTGATAAAATACATACTGAGAATAAGACGGCCTTCTGGCCCTTCAGGGTCTAGGGCTGTAAAGAGCCTCAGGGTTGCTGCCAAACAAGCCAGGAACTGGGCTGGGTTTTCGTCTTTACCTTGGGTAGTTTATGTAAGTTTGTCAAAAAGTTGGGAGCAGAACTGGAACAGCTGTGGAAGAACAGAACTGGAACAGCTGTGGAAGAAGGGTCAAAGCTAATCCCCTCTTCCAAAGAGCAAGCATATCAAGTCTTTTTCAGGAACCATGAGTATTAGCAGATGCATGAAGAGAACTGATCCCGAGTTATGCATGTAGCCAATCCAACCAACTTTTTCAAACCTTTTGTTAGGGTAGATTCCTTAACATGCTGATCAGAGAGGGCGCCCGTCCTATCTAGGGAGACATGGTACAAAGAAGCTTCTTGAAGCACATAGTCATCAATTGGTCTTACACATATTTGCAGGAGAACACAGGTGCTATCTCACATTTTTAGCTCTATGAATGAGTAAAGCAACAAGTGATTTATGTGTCCTGTCAAACAAGAATCCCCCCCAAAATGCATAATCTTCTGGTATCTCCTATAATTCTAGGCATATATTTTATGTATGATACTGGTGATATTCCCTCTTTTGATTCTTTTATCTCTTTATAGCATTGGTTACCATAGAGACAAAGATAACACTGCCCTGGGCAATGCTTATGGAAATTTATCAGTAAAAGTGAACATCAATTTATTAGGTAGTGACTTTTCCTGTTCACACAATTAACTCTCAGAAGGTAGCCTGTTTATGAAACATAGATAAATAAGCTACATGGGTGAAGTTACTGTTCACATGCTCAAGCATTCAGATGGCTAGACAATTAAAAGTAAATGACCTGTGCTATTATTCAATATTGACTCTTCTAAAAATTCAGTATCTAGGTTGATGTATTTCTAGATCCCAATTACTCAGCAGCTAAATGTTTAAATTGCTTCATACCTCAGCTTTCAATAACTATGAAATATTTTCAGCCTCTTATGTTTGAAACAGGCTATGAATTCTTGTTTTTGTTGCTACGGTGATCTATAGCGTCACCATTGTAATAACCACATCAAATGCAGGCATTAAGTAGCAATGTAATACCTCTATATAATTTAACACCAACTATTTATAACAACCTGTGATATAATTGAAACTATTTCATAAGGAAATTTAAAGTAAATAGAAATAAATTACCCAAGACTGAAACATAAATATCTGAGGGATGAGCATGAACACAACATGAAAAAAAACTGATGATAAAAAAATCCATTTCTAATAGTTGGTGCAAATCTATGGTTAGTTGTAACCAGACCAGTTTGTTTTCTATCTTGCAAATGGAAAAAAATAAACACATACAAATTATTAGGGCAGGAGGCATCAGGGCCTTTTTCTACAGGCTTCAGTGATGCACTTATAGTCATTAACTCTTGGAGCATAGGTTACTAGTCTTTGGCAATACTGAAGACTGAAGTTGTATGGTAGATTCCTTAATGTGCTGATGAGAGGGAGACTCTTCTCATCCAAGGAGACGTGGTACAAAGGAGATCCAAAGGGTTAAACTAGAAATGAGGTCGTTTCATATTTCCTTCCCGCTGTATGTTTTCCTCCTGCTTGATGAAGAGACTTGCCTGTCTCTTCACAGCCAACTCCCAAGTGAAGATGAGTTGGAAACTGGTCAGATACGGGGTCCTGAAACATGGACCACAGAGTGGGAGAGCCAGGTTAGGAGAGAAAGAAGGTGAAGCAAGATGCTGAGAAGAAAAAGAATAAAATAATCTCCTGGAAAACAAACATACAAATCCCTTTCTCATTCCCAAGAGAACATTAATTTGATTTAAGATTTCTTCTCTTTTTCCTTGTACTTCAGAAAAGCTGACCTAATTGCCAGCTCCAAGATGCATAAACCCAGGATCCTGTTGATGACAATGTTTGATCCAAGGGTAAACACATGTCCTGAGTTGCCTCAATCAGACTAAAGGAAGGGACCTTACAGTTTTTGATTAGGGAAATGATTATTTCTCTGTCTTTTTGACTCTCTGTGATGATGTGAGCACATAGATCAAATGAAACTTCTAGTGCAGGGCTCCCCAACCCTGGTCTGTGGCCTATTAGGAACCGGGCCACACACAGCAGGAGGTAAGCAGCAGGTGAGCCAGTGAAGCTTTATCTGTATTTACAGCCACTCCCCATCACTTGCATTACCATCTGAGTTCCACCTCCTGTCAGAGCAGTGTAGGCACAAACCTGAATGTTAACTGCATATGTGAGGGATCTAGGTTGAACGCTCCTTATGAGAACTTCATGCATGATGATCTATCACGGTATCCCATCTCTCCCAAATGGGACCATCTAGGTGCAGGAAAACAAGACCAGGGCTCCCACTGATTCTATATGACGGTGAGTGGTATACTTATTTCATTATTTATTACAATATAATAATAATAGAAATAAAGTGCGCAATAAATGTAATTTACTTGAATCATCCTGAACCCATCCCCCCAACCTGCCCCAGTCTATGGAAAAATTATCTTCCATGAAACCAGTCCCTGGTGCCAAATGGTTGGGGACTGCTGTTCTAGTGGACAGCTGAACAGAGAGATGAAAAGAGCCCTATGTATTAAGGATTTGGTTGAACAGCTGAAGTGACTGAAGTTGGAGGATTTCCTTCTTTCGGCTTTGCAATGTGAGCTACTGATTTTCATGTTATTTTAAATAGGTGCGAGGCAGCCTTCTCAAGATCTGTAGCTGGAAGCAGCGTCTTGTCTGCTACAAGACTAGAGCAGTTGAGTCAAATATCCATGTTCCCTTGATTCAAGGAGCTTTCAGTTTTAGGGAAAATATGACATCTTCATGGTCTGGCTTTGAGCCTGAGGAGCACTAAGAAGTCACTCTAAGGAAGGTGCTGTTCTGGAAGGGAAGCAGGACCTTAAAACACTTCAGTGCACTCCATAAAATGGTTGGGGCAAGTCAGACATGCAGAGTTGACTTGGAGGCCCTCTCTGGAGGACAATAAATGTGTTTCCTACTTTATTATGCCCCTAAAAGAAAGACACGTAGTGGCGATGTCAGTCAGTGTGCTTTTTGTGGTTTCCAGTAAACAGCTGGAATAATTGGTGAAATCTTAAGGCTAGTACTAATAAAGAACATTATTGCCACCCACAGGCCTGAAAGATAAGACAAAGAGGTTCCTACAACCTGGAGACCGAGAAGGCTGCCAGGCAGGAGCTGTGATTGCAGCTGAAAGATGCAGCCGGTCTTTAGCAACTCCACATGGAGGAAGCCAGGAAAATAAATACTCCAATCAATCACAATTTCTTTTTCTGCTATGTCTTGCCCATGCTCTGAATTTTTCAAAATCGACTGGAAGCTAGAAAGCAAAGGAGAACTTTGGTGAGTCTACTCTGAATATGGGACACAGAGCAATGGGGAGAAAGGTTATCAGGAGACACCCAGTTCAGGCACCTACCTCTTCCACAATAACAACTTCTGTTTCACTCAGCATTACTTTGTGCCCAGCTGAGAAAGGACTGCATTCTCCATTCTCTTACATTTGCGTGACTGTGATGTGGAACTGGAACTAACAAAAAGGAAGAACATCAGAGGAGGTGCAAGAAGCAAGAGAGGGAAAGCACCGTGGTGGAACAGTGGCTGATAGTTTTCTGGTAGAGTGCTAGAAAAACATTTAATAATGAGCATGTTCCATATCCAGTGATTTTATTTATTTTTTTATTTTGATAGTTAAGTATTTAAGTGTTCCCTTTGTGCCAGGGAATGTATTATGGACCAGAGAGTAATGAAATAAAGATGCCATTTCACTTCCTGCACTCATGGAATATGTTAATGTGGAGAAAGGGAAGACAAACGATATCCATATATCTATATTTATATATCCTTCTGATAAAGATGATGCCAGTATGAAGTAAAGCAAAGCAGAATGAAATGCATGAAAATTGCCAATCTGTAAGTGACAGATCTGTAAATAGTCAGAAAGAGCCTCTTTTGAGGACAAATTGTTGGCAGGTAGCTGGAGAAGAGCAGAAATAGCAGCTTTCCTGGGGCTAGAGTTCCTTCTTGGAATGCTATCCACACACACAAATTTTTTTCCCCTTCTTTATGTGGATCAAATACAAATACAAAAAAATGTAATACATCTTTAGGCTTGAGAAATACAAGTTCTCTTAGAGAAGTTTAGGTCCACACTCACAACATCCATAGAAATAAAATCCACATGTTTTAGTGCAAAGGGCTGGCTACTGGGAAAAGACTTGGCTGCCCTATCAGGAGAGCCTGTGGAATTTACCAAAGAGCCCTGTTGCTTATCCTGTGGTTTCTTGTATTCACCAAAGCAATGTATCACCAGATGACAGAAGTAAAACTCTTCTCTTCTTTTTTCTCTGTGGTTCACTTAATGGAGATAAAGCCTCCCAGTAGAGCAGCCAGTGAAGTGTACTCTTTCCTAATAACCTGATGAAAGATGCGTGGAAAGATGGAACAGAATTGGACCAATCCCTCATCCTGGAGCAAAGTCTAGCTGATTTCAGCAGGATTCACAGATTATGGACAAGAAAAATAAGTACTTGAATTATAAGCAACTGAGATTCGGGTAGTGTTATGTAGCATTATGACAACAATGGCTGCCTTATAGAATACATCACCATTGCAAGCCAGTTTATTGCTGCATTAATTCACAAAACAGGGGCAATATTAAATACACTTAATATTAAATACAAATAATATTAAATGCATATTTATTAGAAATTTTTCAGGATTAAAAAAGGTACAAAGGTGTGTTTATAATAGTGCCTGGCATAGTAAGAGTTTTCTAATTGTGGTAATGTTCTTGTTGTTAACATAACTTATTTAACCAACACACATTTTTTTTCCTGCCAATTGTAAGGTCTTGGCAATTTTTTCATCAGAAGAAGTGAATATTCAGAATATCAAACTTGTTCAGGCCTTTGTAAATCAGTCTGCTTAAGGATTATTTACATTATCATAGTCAATATTTGGGTATCTGAATCCAAATTGTGCTACCAATGTTTTACATACAATTTAATACAAAACTTTAGAGAAGTTAAATTTAACCAATTTTATGTGACCAAAGAACAATTCATATATAAGGCAGCACTCCAAACCAGAAGAGGTTTAGACAGCTCTGCTCAGCAGTCATAAGCAGCAAATTTGTACAGGCTGAACAATTAAGCAAAGTAGAAAAGTTACCTGATTGGCCTCGCCTAGGTGGCTGCCTTATTTGAGCATCATGTGATGAGGCATTTGCCTTATTTGGGCATAGTCTTGTTAGCTGGAAGCCTGTGATTGGCTGAAATCTGGCTATCTGCTACAAAAAATTTACTCCTAAATTAGGTTTGGGTTTATGTACTAAATTAGGCTGCAATTTATTATGTAGGAACTCAAAGTAAAGAGACAACCTCAGGTTGTCTTCCTGCTTACTTAACAGTGCTGATGGGTGTGAAAGAAAATAGACTCTCAAGACCCCAAACTCACCATGCCAAAGGGAAAGTGAAGCTGGGAAACTAAGTCATGCAATACTGCCTTCCTTTTGTTCCCAAAGAGCTGTAATTTCACAATCCTGTGTCGTAGATTCATCCATAAGCCAGATTCCCACAACAAAAGAAAGCCACAGATCTCCTCAGATGGCCTCCCTCACACATTGCTCCCAAGGAAATTCCTTGCCAGTCGCTGAATCTTCAGGATACACAGCTCCTCTGTAAGTTAGTCCTAAAACTGAGTTCTGCTGAATCTCACCCTGACAATGTCAGTTACCAGCTTATCTTCACAGGGCAAGGACAAGATTAAAAATCCACGTGGGCCTATCCTGAGAGGAATGCATTATTGACTATTTCCTTTACTCCCTCTTTTCACATGTAAAATGCAGATTTACTAGGGTAAACAGAGTTTCACAAGAATGTGAGCATCTGTCATTGCCTACACTTCCTCGCTTTTTTTCCTCACCTGCTTGCTGTTTCCCCTTTAAATACTGAAGTTCCCAAAACCCTCTTTGGAAAAAGTAGAAGGCGCAGATGCTCCTGTGATCCCGTATTTTTTCCTAGATGTGTCCTTGGACCTTGGCTAAATAAATCTCTATGGATTGAGGTCTGTCTCAGTCATGTTTTGAACATAGGCTTGGTCCAACACTAACTGAGAAGTTGGTGACTGAGGATACAGAAGACAGGACTAGTCATTCCCTTGAATAGGCAGGAGATGATGGCCTACCCCGTGCACAAATGACTGGGGAACAGGAAGGCTTACATAGGAGCATGACCCTTTACCTATGGTAACGAGAGAAAAGCAGAGTTCACCACAGAGCAGTAGGATTGACCTTGGCCACCTCTGCTGTCTCATAAAGCAAGCAAGGTCATAGGGTAAAATTCACACAACTGAAGTCAGTGAATCCCCAGGTGTCTTCCTCCCCTAATGTGGGGTGTTGCTCCTGTTGGCTTTTCTCTGCATGAGTCCTGATCTGAGTAACTTCAAGTGTTCTTTTTTTAAATTTTTATTTATTTTTTTATTTTTTCCTCCCTTGAGACAGGGTCTTGCTCTGTTGCCCAGGCTGGCATGCAGTGATGCAATCTTGGCTCACTGTAGCCTCCACTTCTTAGGCTCAATCAATCCTCCCATCTCAACCTCCCCAGTAACTGGTACTACAGGCCTGCAGCCCCATGCCCGGCTATTTTTTGTGTACGTGTTTGTGTGTGTACATATATATATATATATATATATATATATAAAATCTTATTATTATTTTTTTTGTAGGGAGTCTTGCTATGCTGCCCACGTTGGTCTTGAATTCTTGAGCTCAAGCAATCCACCCGCCTCGGCCTCCCAAAGTGCTGGGATTACAGGCTTGAGCCACCGTCCCAGCCACCCAAGTATTTTAAAAGACCCCCTACTTGGGGGACTTGACCACCGTAGCCTGGCCTTTGGCTTGAGGTTCAGGGAGCTCCTAGGGACACCTCAGAAGGAACGGATCCTGACCTCTGGGACTCGCAGGCTCTGGAGCTCTCGCTGCGTTCAGGCCCGGGTGCTGGGGCAGGCGTGCTCCTAGGCAGGGAGAGGGGTGGCCATGGTCTCCGAAGCCCATTTCTCCTAGCCATGCCTGGAGGCGTAGTTTCCGGGTCTGAATCATGGTGCCCGCGGCCTCTTCTTCTTCCCGCTAACTCCCAGCCCTCGAGGAGGGGAGGTTCCAGGGACGCGCCCAACTCCCACTAGGGGCCAGTTCTCCCTCAGGACGCCCCGCGACTCTAGGCGGCGGGTTCTGGAATCCACGCTGGACATGGCCCGCAGCTAGACTCCCTCCCGGGCTGAGTCCACCGTGTCGTGCTGCGGGTCTACACGGCCGCCAGCGTACTCCCCGCCCTGTCTCCACACTACGCCTGATTGGCGAGCCGCGGGGCGACGACCTCGTCCGCGCGTCTCCTGGAGGTGCTGGGCACATCCTCCGGGTCCTGAGGCTGCGACCTGGGGCTCCAGGTCCTTGGGTGCTGGGGATCGCTCAGCAGCCCCGTCCTCTTCGTCATCGTCCTGTGCTCGCCTGCAGCGCCGCCGACCGCGCAGAGAGCGAGGCCGGCGAGGATCCCGCGCGCAGGCGCACACGGCTGCGACCACGGCTAGGAGGGCGGGGGCGGGGCTTCGTGCCGCGGTAGTTCCGGCGAAGCGGGTGGGCTCCCTTGCGCAGGCGCAGACGGCGAAGCTCACGTTCTCAGGAAAGGGTGGTGGGGGCCCGGGGTGCGTGAGAGGCGCCTGGGCGCAGGCGCAGACGACGGGGGTCGAGTTGGGCAGGCGGTAGGGGCGACCTGGGAGAAGGTCCCTGCTGCAGGTGCGTGGCCATAGGAGCATCTGGGCCGTCCCTGAGGTGTTGCAGTTGATAATTTTATTATTTTACAGTCTCTAAAAGTGTTTTTGTTTTTCTTTGTTTTGTTACAGACGTGGAAATGCATCTTGTTCCAGTACATCACATTCCAGGGAGCAAAGAATTCTTTTACAAAGCCGGGTGTCATCATTTTCTTAGAAGAAGAACCATTGCAACAGGGCTCAAAGTTGACTCTGCTGGAAAGGCAAGGGACAGGGAAATGATGATAACATAAGCAGCCGGCTGTGTCATTCCTTCCATTTGTATCTTTTTTTCCCAGTAATTTGTGCCCATGGCTTTGTTTAGAGTCTCCTGCTTGTTTACCTACTCGCTATATATCTATATCTATATCTATATCTATATCTATATATATATAGAGAGAGAGAGAGAGAGACAGAGAGAGAGAGAGAAAACCCTACTGATAAATCAGCGTTCCCATCACAGATTGCCCTTCATTTCTAATTAATGGGGAATTCTAAAGAGGGAAAGCTGTGAGCTGGAAGCATTCCCTGAATAGCAAGTGCATAAGAAATGTTTTTGTTGCATGTAATTTGTATGAAGGTGCCTAAAGTAAGGCTTCATCAAGTTTTAGTTTCAAGTTTTAGTTTATTTGTGAAAACTGATTTCCAATTTAAGCCATTTATTAATTCTGTTTTTCAGAGAAACTTGACCGAGCACTTGCCGTGCTTCAGGCATCGTTCAAGGCAACAGGGTTATGGTCTTGAATAGGAGAGACAGAGTTCTCATCTCTAGACAGACTGGCAGTAAGCCCGAAAATAGATCAATACACAATATAATTTCAGATAGTGACTTTTTGCTACAAAGCCAAAAGTAAATTAAGGTGAACAGATAGCGTATTTTTAGAGGGGGTGCTACTTGAGATACAGACGCGAGGCTTATATCTTACTCATGCAACCTGCCTTTCGAATGGAGCTGGAGTGCTGTACTTTGCATTGTTCTCATCTCAGGACTGTCAGACATTATAGAACAAAGGAGAGAACTGGCAGTACTTGCACTGTCTCTTAAAGCTTCAGTCCAGAAATGATACCATCCTTGCACATATTTCACTGGTCAAAACAAGTTACAAATGTAAACTGACCTTCAAATGGGAGAGAATGTAGAATCCCACCATGTGCCCCAAATAAGAGAAAGCCAGAATATGTATGAGCAGTCCTAATGATTATAACACATGAAAACATCTCCCCAAAATCGCTGCCTAGAGAGGACAATATACTATTCTCATTTCCCCTAAATTGAAAGGGGAACTGGTTATAAATACAGAATATTTTAGGATGGTGCAGCCACAGTGAAAAATGTAACTCGAAGGAGAGGGGTTGGAATAGCGATGGTGGTGGTGATTCTGCACATTGAGTATTTATTTTCAGACTGCCACGACCTTTCTACCTCATGCTACTATAATTTGCATATATAGTTATTCATGATCCTGTATGCTGTGGAGGGCACCAAGATAGCATCCTAAGCAGTGGTTTACAGAGGTAGCAACTGTGAATTCCAGATGCAAAGTTTGGCATGAAGCTGGGGTTGGGAAATATAATCAAAGCTCTCACAGTGATAAATGAGGTACATAATTTTATGTCTGTCACTGGGTAGCTTTGAAATATTAACCACAAAAACCTCTCTGAACTGTAAAGTTTTGCAAGCAGATATCTCTTCTGTGTAATGAAGGTGGCAAGAAGTTACATCTAGAACAAAAGCATTGCTCATGAAGTGGAAGTGTAATTTTGTCTTGTGACAGTAATGCAATAGTGTCAAAAACTCAGATCTCCATAAGGAAAAAAAGATCATCAGAAAAAGATAAAACTATTGTTCTTTCTTGTAATTGGACTAAATGGTAACTGTTAAAGTAACAATATTAACAATACATTGGGTGATTATAGTTTTTGGATAAGTGAAGTCAGTAACAGTAATGTCATATGAATCAGTCATATTGTATTGGAAGATTTCTGTACTACATGTGAAATAGTATAATGCTATTTGAAGGTGGACTTCGATTATTTGTGAATGTATATTGCAAACTCTAGGGCAAGCATACACAAAAATTAAAAAGAACTATAATTCACATACTAAGACCAAATAAAATATAGAATCAAATAAAATGCCCAATTAACACCAGAAAAGGGGAGGGGCAGGGCCAAGATGGCCAACTAGAAGCAGATGCATTCAGAGGCTCCAAAAAAAAAAAAAAAAAAAGAAAAGAAAAACATAATAAGTGTGTGAATCCTTCACTGGCAACCAAGGTATCCAGATTCTCTCATCAAAATTGACTAGAAGGGTGGCGTGACTCACGGAGAGAAGGAAGATCGGTGTGGTGTGGCAGCCCACCTGAGAGCCACCGCAACCCCCTACCCCCAGCCAAGGGACGCAGTGAGTGAGCATGCCACCCAGCCTAGGAAACTGTGCTTATCCCACGGAAGTATGCAACCCACGGATCGGAAGATCCCAGTCACGAACCCACCCCACCAGGGCCTAGCCTCCCAACCCTGGAACACGCAGATTCTTACATCCTCTCAGCTGGAATCTGCTTAAGCCTGAGGAACTCCTAATGGGAGGGGCGACTTGCACCTGCTTCAGCTGCCTGCTCTCTAAGCCTTTTAGCCTCATGGGGGAGGGGCAGCAGCCAGTACTGGGACTCGCAACTGCCTAACAAGCTAAGCTCCATGGGCAGGGGAAGGGTGCCACCCATTTCTATAGCTCCAGGCTGCGTTTTTCTGCTGGTGGAGCCAAGGAGGCTGGACAGCTTGGTCCCAAGACTTGTCCCACAGCTCAACGCATGGGCTGTGCCAGTCTGTGGCCAGAGTGCCTCTTCAGGTCTAACCCTGACCCATCCTTCTTCAGTGGGCGGGGCTTCCCTGCAGAATCTCCAATAACTCCAGCCAGAGGATCTCCCTGGGCCTGAGCCCCCAGGGGGAGGGGTGGCCACAGTCTGCAGATCAGCAGACTTAGCCTCTCCTCTTGGTAGTTCTGAGGAATCTGGGCAGCCTAGACAAGTGGGCTTCCCCCAGTGAAACACACCCTCTCCACCAAGGGACAAAGTGCTTTGTTAAATGGGTCCTGCTCCCTGTGTCACCCAACTGGGTGAGACCCTCCAGCAGGGGTTGTTAGACACCCCATACAGGGGCAATCCTACTGGCATCAGGTTGGTGCCCCTTGAGGTCAGAGGTCCCAGAAGAAGGAGGAGGAAAACATCTTGGCTGCTCTCCAGCCTTGTCGAGTGGCATTTCCAGGCACAGGACCGAATCAGATGAATAAGACCTGAAATGAACCCCCAGCAAATTGCAGCCACCCTACAGAAGAGGGACCTGACTATTGAAAGAAAGTAAACAAGCAGAAAGGAACAACAACAGCATCAACAACAACAACAACAACAAAAAGGCCCGCATAAAAACCCCATCCAAGGGTCAGCAGCCTCAAAAACCAAAACTAGACAAACTCATGAAGATGAGAAAGAATCAATGAAAAAATGCTGAAAACTCAAAAGGCCAGAGTGCCTCCTCTTCTCCAAATGATCCCAACATCTCTCCATCAAGGGCACAGAACTGGACAGAGAATCAGATGGACGAATTGACAGAAGTAGGATTCAGAAGATGGGTAATAAAAAACTATGATGAGCTTTTTTTTTTTTTATGAGCTAAACAAGCATGTTCTAACCCAACATGAAGAAGCTAAGAACCTTGATAAAACATTAGAGGAATTGATAACTAGAATAACCAGTTTAGAAAGGAACATAAATGACCTGATGAAGCTGAAAAACACAGCAAGAGAACTTTGTGAAGCATACCGAAGTATCAACAGCTGAACTGGCCAAGTGGAAAAAAGAATATCAGAGTTTGAAGACCACGTTTACTGAAATAAGACATGCAGACAAGAATAGAGAAAAAAAGAATGAAAAGGAATGAACAAAGCCTCCAAGAAATATGGGACTTCATAAAAAGACTGAACCTACAATTGATTGGAGTACCAGAAGGAGACAGGGAGAATGGAAACAAGCTGGAAAACACACTTCAGGATATTATCCAGGAGAACTTCCCCAGCCTAGCAGGACAGGCCAACATGCAAATTCAGGAAATACAGAGAACACCATTAAGACTCTCCAGGAGAAGATCAACCCCAAGACACATAATCATCAGATTTTTTCAAGGTCAAAATGAAGGAAAAACTCTTAAAGGCAGCCAGAGAGAAAGGTCAGGTCACCCACAAAGGGAAGCCCGTCAGACTAACAATGGACCTCTCTGCAGAAACTCTACAAGCCAGAAGAGATTGGGGGCCAATATTCAACATTCTTAAAGGAAAGAGTTTTCAACCCAGAATTTCATATCTAGACAAAGTCAGCTTCATAAGTGAAGGAGAAATAAAATCCTTTCCAGACAAGAAAATCCTGAAGGATTTTGTTACCACCAGGCCTGTCCTGCAAGAGCTCTTGAAAGAAGCACTAAACATGGAAAGGAAAAACCGATACCAGCCACTGCAAAAACACACAAAAATATAAAGACCAATGACACTGAAGAAACTACATCAACTCGTGTGCAAAATAACTAGTTAGCATCATGATGACAGGATCAGATTCACACATTACAATGCTAACCTTAAATGTAAATGGGCTAAATGCCCCAATTAAAAGACACAGACTGGCAAATTGGATAAGGAGTCAAGACCCATTGGTGTGCTGCATTCAGGAGACCCATCTTACATGCAAAGACACACACAGGCTCAAAATAAAGGGATGGAAGGAAAATTTAACAAGCAAATGGAAAGCAAAAAAAAGCAGGGGTTGCAATCCTAGTCTCTGACAAAACAGACTTTAAACAAATAAAGATAAAAAAAGACAAAGAAGGGCATTACGTAATAGTAAAGGGAACAATTCAATAAGAAGAGCTAACTATTCTGAATATATATGCACCCAATACCAGAGCACCCATATTCATAAAACAAGTTCTTAGAGACCTACAAAGACACTTAGACTCCCACACAATAATGGGAGATCTTAACACCCCACTGTCAATATTAGACAGATCAATGAGGCAGAAAGTTAACAAGGATATTCAGGACTTGAACTCAGCTCTGGATCAAGTGGACCTAGTAGATGTCTACAGAACTATGTACCCCAAATCAACAGAATATATGTTCTTCTCAGTACCACATGGAACTTATTCTAAAATTGACCACATAATTGGAAGTAAAACACTCCTCAGCAAATGCAAAAGACCTGAAATCATAACAAACAGTCTCTCAGATCACAGTGCAATCAAATTAGAACTCAGGATTAAGAAATTCCCTCAAAACAATACAATTTCAGGGAAATTGAACAACCCGCTCCTGAATGACTCCTGGGTAAATAATGAAATTAAGGCAAAAATCAACAAGTTCTTTGAAACCAATGAGAACAAAGAGACAATGTACCAGAATCTCTGGGACACAGCTAAAGCAGTGTTAAGAAGGAAATTTATAGCACTAAATGCCCACATTAGAAAACTAGAAACTTCTCAAATCAACACTCTAACATCACAATTAAAAGAGCTAGACAGCAAAGAACAAACGAATCCAAAAACTAGCAGAAGACAAGAAATACCTAAGATCAGAGAAGAATTGAAGGAGATAGAGACATGAAAAACCCTCTAAAAATTAATGAATCCAGGAGCTGGGTTTTTGAAAAAGTTAGCATAATAGATAGACTACTAGCTAGACTAATAAAGAAGAGAGAAAAGAATCAAATAGACACAATAAAAAATGATAAAGGGGATATCACCACTGGCCCCACAGAAACACAAACTACTATCAGAGAATAATATAAACACCTCTACGCAAATAAACTAGAAAATCTAGAAGAAATGGATAAATTCCTGGACACATACATCCTACCAAGACTAAACCAGGAAGAAATGGAGTCCCTGAATAGGCCAATAACAAGGTCTGAAATTGAGGCAGTAATTAATAGCCTACCAACCAGAAAAAGCTCAGGACCAGACGGATTCACAGCTGAATTTTACCAGAAATACAGAAAGGAGCTGGTACCATTCCTTCTGAAACTATTTCAAACAGTTGAAAAGGAGGGACTCCTCCCAACTCATTTTATGAAGCAAGCAACATCCTGACACCAAAACCTGGCAGAAACACAACAGAAAAAGAAAACTTCAGGCCAATATCCCTGATGAACATCCATGCAAAAGTCCTCAATAAAATACTGGCAAACTGAATCCAGCAGCACATCAAAAAACTTATCCCCCATGATCAAGTCAGCTTCATCCCTGGGATACAAGGCTGTTCAACATAAACAAATCAATAAACGTAACATAAACAAATCAATAAACGTAATCCATCATATAAGCAGAACCAAAGACAAAAATCACAAGATTTTCCCAATAGATGCAGAAAAGGCCTTTGATAAAATTCAACATCCCTTCATGTTTAATACTCTCAATAAACTAGGTATTGATGGAACATATTTCCAAATAATAAGAGCTATTTATGACAAACCCACAGCAAATATCAAATTCAATGGGCAAAAGCTGAAAGCATTCTCTTTGAAAACCAGTAGAAGACAAGGATGCCCTCTCTCACCACTCCTATTCAACATAGTATTGGAAGTTCTGGCCAGGGAAATCAGGTAAGAGACAGAAATAAAGGGTATTCAAACAGAAAGAGAGGAAGTCAAGTTGTCTTTTTTGCAGATGACATGATTTTATATTTAGAAAACCCTGTCATCTCAGCCCAAAAACTTCTTGAACTGATAAACAACTTCAGCAAAATCTCAGGATACAAAATCAATGTGTAAAAATCACAAGCATTCCTTTACACCAACAATAGGCAAGGAGAGAGCCAAATCATGAATGAACTCCCATTCACAATTGCTAAAAAGAGAAAAAATACCTAGGAATACAGCTAACAGGGGATGTGAAAGGCCTCTTCAAAGAGAACTACAAACCACTGCTCAAGGAAATAAGAGAGGACACAAATAAATGGAAAAACATTCCATCCTCAAGGATGGGAAGAATCAATATTGTGAAAATGGCCATACTGGCCAAAATAATTTATAGATTCAAAGCTATTCTTATCAAACTACCATTGACATTCTTCAGAGAATTAGAAACAAAACTATTTTAAAATTCACATGGAATCAAAGAAGACCTTGTACAGCCAAGACAATCTGAAGCAAAAAAAAAAAAAAAACCTGGAGGCATCATGCTACCTGACTTCAAACTATACTACAAGTCTACAGTAAGCAAAACAGCATGGTACTGGTACCAAAATAGACACATAGACCAATGGAGCAGAACAGAGATTTCAGAAATAACACCACACATCTAAAACCATCTGATCTTCAACAAACTGGACAAAAACAAGCAATGGGGAAAGGATCTCCTATTCAGTAAATGGTGCTGGGAAAACAGGCTAGCCATATGCAGAAAACAGAAACTGGAACCCTTCCTTACACCTTATACAAAAATTTACTCAAGATGGATTAGAGACTTACATGTTAAACCCCAAACCATAAAAACCCTAGAAGAAAACCTAGGCAATACCATTCAGGACATAGGCATGGGCAAAGGCTTCATGACAAAAATGCCAAAAGCATTTGCAACAAAAGTCAAAATTGACAAATGGAATATAATTAAACTAAAGAGCTTCCTCACAGCAAAAGAAATTATCATCAGAATGAACTAGCAACCTACAGATTGGGAGAAAATTTTTGCAATCTAACCATCTGACCAAAATCTAATATCCAGAATTTACAAGGAACATAAACATATTTACAGGAAAAAAACAAACAACCCCATCAAAGGATATGAACAGACACTTCTCAAAAGAAGACATTTATGCGACCAAAAAACTTATTAAAAAAGTTAAACATCGCTGATCATCAGGAAAATTCAAATCAAAACCTCAATGAGATACCATCTCATGCCAGTCAGAATGGCGATTATTAAGGAATACTTGTGATTATTAAGAAGTCAGGAAACAATAGATGCTGGTGAGGCTGTGGAGAAACAGGAATGCTTTTACACTGTTGGTGGGAATGTAAATTAGTTCAACCATTGTGGAAGACAGGATGGTGATTCCTCAAGGATCTAGAACCAGAAATATCATTTGACCCAGCAATCCCATTACTGGGTATATGCCCAGTGGAATATAAATCATTCTGCTATAAAGACACATGCACACATATGTTTACTGCAGCACTGTTTACAATAGGAAAGACATGGAACCAACCCAAATGCCCATCAATGATAGACTGGATAAAGAAAATGTGGTAAATATACACCATGAAATAGTATGCAGTCATAAAAAGGAATGAGATCGTGTCCTTTGAAGGGACATGGATGAAGCTGGAACCCAACATCCTCAGCAAACTAACACAGGAACAGAAAACCAAAAACCACATGTTCTTATTCATAAGTGGGAGTTGAACATTGAGAACACATGGACACAGAGAGGGGAATAACACACACCAGGGCCTGTTGGGGAGTGAGGGGTGAGGGGAGGGAACTTAGAGGACAGGTCAATAGGTGCAGCAAACCACCATGGCACACGTATACCTATGTAACAAACCTGCAGGATCTGCACATGTATCCCATTTTTTTAGAAGAAACAAAGAAAAAGAACACTAATTAGCATATAGAATTAAAAAGTAAAAATAAAGACAAAACCAGAAAAGGCAGAAGGAAACGGAAAAGAAAAAAAGAACAAAGGAATAGTAAACAGTAACAAACATGTAATATTTATATATATATGAGTGTGAATGGTCAAATTATACCAATTAAAAGACAGAGACTGTTATAAACAGTCTATAAACAAACAAGATTTGACTATATATTACCTATAAGAAATCTACTTTAAATATAGAGAATCAGAAAAGTAAAGAGATGGAGAAAGGCATACCATGATAACAACAATCAAAAGAAAGCTGTAGTATCTACATTAATTTCAGGAAAAGCAGACTTCAGAACAAGAAATATTGTCATTGCTAAAGAGCAACATTACATACTGATAAAAGCACAAGGAGTGAATGTATACAAATCAGAAAATATTAGGAGTGCAGGAAATCACAGGATGAAATGCAGAACGTGCCAAAAAATTGAACCATATTACAAATACATGAAACAACTTCTCTGAAGCTTCAGGGATGGGGGTTACTGACCTAAATTACTTTGGAAGTTTAGTGGAGTCTTTAAAACTCAACAAAATGTACTGCACAGAAACATTGTACTTTATTTGATAGAACTGTTTTTCACATGGGTTGATGTTGACAATTGTAAAACCACTCTAACATGTATTCTGGAAATAAATATGTAAATGGACTGTATACAGTGGGGTCCAGGTTTTTCACATTAAGAACTTACAGCTGAACAAGGAAGGAGGGTGTGATGATCTATATAATAATAGATTAGAGCTGAGAGCATCCATATGAAATAATATTTACTTCAACATAGATATATCTGTGTAAGGTAGCATGTGGATATATTCATAGATGCATGCATGTGGGTTAGTATATGCATATATATTTCTTTGCTCTGTCAGCTCAGAGGAAATAGAAAGAACACCCCAATATGAATGAGCACACTACAGCCCCAATGTTGGTTTCTTACATCATATAAATAACAGAACCTAGTATCTTTGGAGAAATGTCTGACTTTATGACCAGGGTAGGAAATACATAAGATGATCCTGGAGCATCTCATAGTACAAGTAAGTAACGAAGAGCTTAAAAAAAAAAAATTGTGATGTCAACATGATGGAGAGCCAGCTGAGGGCTCCCAAGGGCCAAGCCTGGGACAATATGAGCAAAGAAATAAATGAAATAGTATTATAACCCAAATATGAAATTAACATCCAGGAGTGAACACTGACATAACTGGGAGAGAATGGACAAATCTGTGCAGAGGCATTCCATGTCATTTATGTAGATAGCCAATCTTCAAGAAGTGAGTATAACTTACTGCTCCTTAAGCTTTGGACTATGCATAGTAACGTCCTTCCAAAGAGAAAAGTATGGAAATCAGAGGGAAAGTAATTGTACAGTGGAGAATCACAACAAGCACTACTTAGCCAAAGGATCAAGTTTAATAACATCAGTAGTGATAAAGTCACATGATGATATATACCCTTGATATGATATGACAAGAATGGCACTTGACTGTGTGGTCTTTCTCCCCCAAACACATCACTCCTGTCTATTCACAAGAAAAACACCAGGTGTATCTCAATGGAGGGACATTTCACAGACTACCTGATCATTTAAGGAATACCAGAATTTCTTTTTTGTTGGTTAACTTGTATTTTAAGTTCAGGGGCACATTGTGCAGGTTTGATGCATAGGAAAACATGTGTCCTGGGGGTTTGTTCTACAGATTATATTATCACCCAGGTATTAAGCCTAGTACCCATTAGTTATTTTTCCTTATCCTCCTCGTCCTCCCACCTTCCACCCTCTGATAGGCCCCAGTGTGTGTTGTTTCCCTCTATTTGTCCATGTGCTCTTATCATTTAGCTCCCACTTATAAGTGAGAGCATGCAGGATTTGGTGTTCTGTTCCTGTGTCAGTCTGCTAAGGATAATGGCCTCCAGCTCCGTCCATGTCCCTGCAAAGGACATGATCTCATTCTTGTTTATGGCTGCATAGTATTCCATGGTGTATATGTGCCACATTTTCTTTATCCAGCCTGTCATCGATGGGCATTTAGGTTGATTCCATGTCTTTGCTATTGCAAATAGTGCTGCAATGAACATAACTGTGCAGGTGTCTTTATAATATAATGATTTAGAACTAGAGAAAAGTATTTTAAAATTCATGATGAACTATAAAAGAGCCCAAATAGCCAATGCAATCCTAAGCAAAAAGAACAAAGCTGGAGGCATCATGCTAACCAACTTCAAACTATACTACAGGGCTACAGTAACCAAAACAGCATGGTACTGGTATCAGAATTTCTTAAAAGTGTAAAGGTTATCAAATAAAAAAGAAAAGAAAAGTCTGAGAAATTGTTACAGGCAAGAGAAGCCTAAGGAGACATAACTAATGTGATATTCTGGATAGAATAGTGGAACATGAAAAGGATATTAGGGAAAGACTGAGGAAATCTGAAGAGAGAATGGACTTCATTTAATGACAATATACTTGTATTTTGTCATTCATTGTGGTAAGCATATCATGATAATGGAAGATGTAGTAGAGTAAGAGTGTATGGGAAAACTGTATCATCCAATTTTCTGTAAATCTAAAACAGTTTGAAATTAAAAGGTTTATAGAAAGAACAATAAACTTTAAACTATCAAAAAAAGAAAAGGAAAATCAGAATCATAATTAGAAAATAGGTTCAGGAAATGAAAGCCACTTGCTGTATCTGTCTGTGTTTTCTCACAAAGCTTTTTGTTTGTTCATTTGTTTTTCTTAACTTACCATGTTTAAAATAATTATAGTGATATAACGTGAAGGTCAGGAGTTTCTGTGCTGCAGCCTGAATGTGCTATAGAAGTAAGAAAATTGCAAGGTATCAGACCCTTTTCAGGCAGAAATTTGTTTCTATCTAGGTGTTAAAATGAGTTGTGATAATAGTGGAAAGCTTGATGCTGTGTAACAAAGACCAAACGTGTGCTACATATACCCAGGTATTCCCCTACGCTTCCCGGGGTCCTCTGGTAGTAAGTTGGGGCCATCTGGCTATTCCTCACCTGTGGACTCAGCATGATTGATTTGCGGCAATCCTGGCTGAGGCAGGTAAGGGCGGGTGCGCCTCCTGTGGATCATTGTTTCACTTGCTGCAATGAAAGGAGTGGCCTGACCATGCCGGACTTACAGGAGAAGTAAAATTTCACTGCCTTAAGGCAATAAGGTCTCAGGAGTTCCCTTTTTCAGCAACTGGCATTAATTCCTCTAATGAGGAATGCCTCGTACTGACTTTCCCCAAGTCACAGAGCGCATTCTATCCAATACAGGCATGAAAAGTGTGCAGGCAGGGGGAGCCAAAAATAGGATTTCTGAGCCAGAGCCTGTGACTGAGGTGAGAAAAGTAAAGGTCCCAGTCTTAAAATAGCCTGCACATTTCAGAATGGCATTACTCCCAGCCCCAGGGAGGAACACAGCTCCCTCTGTGAGGAGTGATGAATTATGACCACGTGGGAGATGCATATTTCATAAGTCCTTCTACTTTTATGAATGGTGGCTGAACTGTAAATATAGCTGGAGCTAGAGTCTGACATTTCACACGTCTTAAATTAAAACAAAAAAAAATGACTCCTTCTTTAGCCTTTTACTTCTAAGTAAAATAAAATATCCTGTAATCCCAGCACTTTGGGAGGCCGAGGCCAGCCGATCACCTGAAGTCAGGAGTTTGAGACCAGCCTGACCAACATGGTGAAACCCCATCTCTAGTAAAATACAAAATTAGCTGGGCGTGGTGGTGCATGCCTGTAATCCTGGCTGCTCGGGAAGCTGAGGCAGGAGAATAGCTTGAACCCAGGAGGTGGAGGCTGCAGTGAGCCGAGATCACACCAATGCACTGTAGCCTGGGCGAAGACGGAGCGAAACTCCATCTCAAAAAATAAAATAAAATAAAATATCAGGGATTTTAGAACAGTTGTTTTCTTATTCTTGCAGGTAAGGCATATATTTAGTTGCTACTATGTGACAGAGACTGTGTAAAACCCTGAAAATTCAGGTTTAAATAAGAGACATTCCCCTTCCTCAAGGAGTTCATATTTTAAGAGACTGAGTAATACATAAGTAATTTAGATATACGATGTCCAGTGCTACAATAGAGGTCTGCATAGAGTGTTAGGAAACACAGAAGAGGTGGACTTAGCCAGCAAAGAGGTTCACAAAAAGTTTTCAGAAGAGATAATGACACTGGCAAAAGGAATGGAAGAGGAATTTCAGGTTGAAGATGTGTGAGCAAGAACAAACATTTGAAAAATTATAGTATGTAGGGACATGATTATCACATAAGTCACTTATGTGTTACTGTATGTCATAGACTATTTTAACTTTTCTTCCATGTGTTAAGTTGTTTAATTACATTTCGTTTGGTATCATGAGACTACTAAGTACAAGGGTAGGAACAGCATGAGGTCAGATTTAGTGGTACTAATCACAGGTAAAATTACACTTTATTGATGGGAAATATATGTGAAGTTAAACTTAGAAAACAATAAGCATTTGATTAAAGGGCTTCTAAGAACACACTTTTGTGGTATGTATATTGGGAAACAGGCTGTTATTTAAGTAGGATGTATTATACCTGGAATTTTAATCATATACCTCTTATCAAAGAGTGTACTTTCATTTTAGACTGGGATGACATATATTTTAAAGCTCAGAATCATTTTCAGAAATACTGTGGCTCATGTGATTAAAAGCTAAACTTGTATTCAAATTATTTTTTAGATTTTTAAAAAATAAGGTGTAGAATTGGAACCTTTGATAATACCTTTGACATATAAAGAATCCAAACAAATGAAAAAGAGACAAATGAACAAATAACAAGAATGGATAATTGACTAAAGAAGAAACATAAACAAGCACTACAGAAATGAAAGATGTTCAAGCTTACCAAAAATCAAATATGTGTGAATTTTGATGACAAAATTACTATACATTAGTTACATTAATACATATGTAGAAATACAATCATAGTAAAAAGTGTGAAATATATCAAGAGACCAACACCCACATATGCTGCTAGTGAGGTCCTGAGTTATTTCAAGTGTTTTCTAAGACATTTTTACAACACATATCAAAAACTTTGGAAAATAGATTACCTTTAACAGAAGTCTCAGTTATTGACATTTACCCTAAGGAATTAATCACATATTGTTTTCAAGAACTTCAGTTCAAATATTTTCACATCCACATTGTTTATAATAGTGTAAAATTGGGGATAACCTAAAGATCTAACAATAAATGGTATTTTAGTCACATGCTGCAAATTAGAAGGCCAAAAGATAATTATAGCCTGCAGACACTGTTTGTTTCTACAATTCAGTGATTTAAATTAAATTCGACTGGTTGCAAATACTTATATTTGCAAACACCCATCCCTCTACATTTTGTGTGTGTGGTAAGAGGCACCCGATTTTATGGAGTGAAGACTTCTCCCCTATTCTCAGTCCATGTGATTCAGGTGGTCTCTACGTCCAGACTCAGGGATGGATCATGGAACCCAGATATGACTAGTCAGATGGTTCCCACAGTCACAGATATTATCGCTGGATGGGCCCAGATTGGTCTAAGCAGAGTGAATCTGGGTATTTTTTTTCTGGAGCCACGAGAGAGAGATGATTTCTTTTCTGTTTAAAATGTTAAAAGTGGATGGTATGTCCTGAATCTATAAGGCTACATCAAATGGACTCACCCAGCCCAGCAGAAGATGGAATGAAGAGAGGGAGTAAAACTGAGTCACGAAGCCCAGGTTCTAGGCAAGCCTGAGGTGAGCCAGTTCAGACCCTGGTCTTTTCAGTGATGTGAGTCAACAAACAACAACCTCTAGTAGCTGTTTTTCCTTTTTCAGTTAAAACATGTGGAACTGGAATTTATGTTACTTGTGTCTGTAGAATGTTCGAACTGAGAGAGAGAAAACAAAACAAAATAAAAACATCCACCAGGGAACAAAATCCCCCCCCTCCCACCTTCATTACTTCTTTACAAAGCCACACTGAAGCCTGCTCTTCGTGGCAATTGGCACCAATGACGGCATTTTCAATTTCTTTTTAAATCTATTGACTTAGCTGACATTACAAAGATGGAGAAGACTGTAAGGGCAAGTCATTGCTGTAGTATTGCAGAAGAAGATCAGTGCATTTGGAATTTCTGAACCCCCAGAGATAATGATTCCAGCAGCCTGCAGAGATTTCTGAAATGCATAAATACAAACCTCAGCAAACCATGGCCCACACAAGAGGGAGGGGCCGAGGCTTCAGCGCACGGTTTTAACTGGAAATGAGCGGAGATAAATAGATTCTAGGGCCATGCCTTTATTTAAATAGAAGGATGATTTAGCCAGCCACGGTGACTCACGCCTGTAAGCCCAACGCTTTGGGAGACTGAGGTGGGCAGATCACTTGAGGTCAGGAGTTCGAGACCAGCCTGGCTGACATGGCAAAACCCCATCTCTACTAAAAGTACAAAAATTAGCTGGGTGGTGTGGCAGGTGCCTGTAATCCCGGCTACTCTGGAGGCTGAGGCCAGGAATTGCTTAAACACAGGAGGCAGAGGTTGCAGTGAGCCAAGATTGCACCACTGCACTCTGGCCTGGGTGACCGAGTGAGACTCCATTTCAAAAAAAAAATAATAATAATAATAGAGAAAAGTGATTTAGTAATATTGTATTAACAATTCACAAAAGGGCATTAGGAATACAGAGAAACTTTAATAATCGCCACAAAATACAGACAACTGGAGATAAAATGAGTGCATATGATGATCTATTAGGGATTTGCATTCTTTCACGTCTCTCTCTCTCTCTCTCCCTCTCTCTCTCTCTCTTTCCCTTCCATTCAGTAAAGACAACCATCTTAAGTAACACCTGGCTCTTATTGAGAAAAAAAAATCTGCCTATTTTCTGTATCATAAAACATTTAGTTAGTAAAGTTCAAGCAATTTTATCTGGTCCCCTTCAGAGAAAAAAGAATATGCTACTTACCTGCCCATAACTTCATCCTCTCTCTATTCTCTGCCTCTCCAGTAGGGCTGCTCTGTTCTGAGACCTTGGTGGTCAACAGCAGCCGGACATCCTATGCTAATTAGGTACAGCCCCCAGGACTGGCCATCCTTGGTTGGCTATGGAAACACTGACTCTATGAGCCTAGAGATTGGACTTTTCCCCAGAAAATAATAAAAACTGTATCTGTCTTTCCATATTTTATTTGTTCTTGTACATTGATCCGCCTCTGAGCTGAGGAAAGGGAAGCGGGAAGCTGCTTTTTTTTTTTTTCTTTGAAACTGTGTCTCACTCTGTCGCCAGGCTGGAGCGCAGTGACGCAATCTCGGCTCACTGCAACCTCTGCCTGCCAAGTTCAAACGATTCTCCCGCCGCAGCCTACTGAGTAGCTGGGATTACAGGCATGCACCACTACGCCCTGCTAATTTTTGTATTTTTAGTAGAGACAGGGTTTCACCATGTTGGCCAGGATGGTCTTGGTCTCCTGACCTTGTGATCCACCCGCCTCGGCCTTCCAAAGTGCTGGGATTACAGGCATGAGCCACCGCGCCCAGCAGGGAAGCTGCCTTTAATCACCTGTATTCCTAAATGGCTAAGATTAGATGAGGCCACCAACGTAGACTCATCCAGTTCCTTCACTCAACTTTGACTTCCATGAGGGCAGCATCAACACTTTAGACAGAAAAAGAGGTAGAAATGAATAGTAAACTTCACTTGTAGGAGAAACCTTTCTTATTTTCTCCTGTGACTCCAATGCTATTTTTAAAATAAAAAAGATAGATTTCATTTGAATTAAAATAAATAGATCCAAAGAATGCTTAGACCTGCAGCCAATGGCTCTTGGTGGGTCTGGTTCTCTGGATGAACATGCAGTAACTAATTTATTATTCCAGGAAATCCACTTCCCACCTTTGTTTCAGAAGCACAAATATTCTTTATTGTACTGTGTCGGGGTGCTGCAGTGGCTGTTGATGCTAACTTTTGCTTACTTGCAAATAAGTTTGTGTATGTTTTGTGCACACCAGGCATTTGAAGATTCAACCCTGTCACTAAAAGACAGCTTTTATTTTAACCCTGTTGTGAGCCTTTCAGGCCTTAGGTGCACAGAGGGTTTACCTGGAGGAAGTCATGGGGAAGGAGCTGGCCCCAGCTCTGAGGGCTCCTGTTTTTGTAGGTTCCTCACCAGCCTCCAGGGTTACAGCCTGAAGCCTGCCTGGCATCCTAGAGAGGCATAAACGCCTATAATGCCTCTCTAGTGGGCTCCTCTTAGACTCGGGGAAGATCTCGTTTCATGATGCTTGAGGAATCTCAGTTTTCCCTTGCTCTGTAATGAAGGCTTGGAAATGTTTCCTATTACATCACAAATCCCCGCTCTTCCTTAGTGAGCCTTTGATTCCTGAAGTAGCTCTTATGTGCCTGAAACCATGGAATGTCTTCTCATGCGACAATTAGAGAGAAAGGCTAGCATTTGTTTACTCTTTGTGCATGTAATTGTATTGCCAACCTTTCCTTAGAGTTGTATCTTGTTAATATTTTGTCAGTTGAATTTTGGCATCGTTCTCAGGTTTTGGCAGAATTGGAATAGTCATTAGCTAGCTGTCCCCATTCAAATAAGACTGCAGAAAAAGGAAGGAACAAATGTGAGTAAATCAAAGAGCTTTTCCTTTTCCCTGATTTTGTTGATTGCAATTCCCATATCTTGGTTCAGCTATCTCATTAGTGGATTCTGATGAAATTATTGAAGAAATTGAAGAGCTTTTGATACTCCTATACAGACCAATGAAAACAAGTCATTTGTAAGTAGTTTCTCAACACAGATTGCTGGATCCTTTAAAATCTGTGTTTCTCTTGCTCAGAGAGGAAACTGAGATCATCCCTCTCATTGTCATCAAGATAGAGCAGGCAGAGGGTGCCACCGACTCATCTGGGTGCCTTGACTGAAGTCCCAGAGGCCCCTCAGCCTCAGCGCACGTGCAGACCTGCAAGATTTCTCAGGGGGTTATTTCCTGATAGAACATCTTTCTCTTTCCAAGGCATTTCTTTGACTTATTCATAAATTTAACAGGTATCTACTGACTTCTGTCTGTGGCTTGGCCTTGTGCCCATCCCAGGGGTTAGAGTCAAAAGTCAGCCTCTATGCAGCCCTCATGGAAGTCAAAGTCCAGTGTAGGAGCTGGACGAGTCAAGGGTGGTGGCCTCTACTCCTTTTTTTGTATGGGGATGTTTTGCAAAAACAGCTGCTTTCAACATGTGCCCTGCCCAGAGAGCACCTGCACCATCTCATGCCAGTCCTAGGCAGGTAGCCTCTTTCTTGCATCTTCTATCTTCTCCCTCTACAACTCATCACCAACCTGGATGGA
The DNA here is from genome assembly GCF_000001405.40 of Homo sapiens. Classification (NCBI taxonomy): domain Eukaryota; kingdom Metazoa; phylum Chordata; class Mammalia; order Primates; family Hominidae; genus Homo; species Homo sapiens. The sequence goes on along the minus strand of NC_000012.12, from coordinate 127,127,880 downwards.
AGGGAGGGGAGACAAAGCAGGAGAAAAGAAGCCCCCTCTCTTCTCCCACAGCGTGTCCAGAGGGATAAGAGAGAGTCTGGGTATGCAGGTTGCTAACCCAGGATGGCTTATTTAAACAGTAAGCAAGAACATACACAAAAACAAACAAAATGAAAACTTTCATTGGACTTCTGTTGAAAATCCAGGAGACTATTATGTCTCAGAAGCCCACATTTCTATGGGGTGACCACTGGCTGGAGCTGTCGCCCCCTTAGACAGATCAGTTCCTCCTCCTGTCACTGCAGCCCACTCTGCTGCTCTGGGTTCTGTCATGAGCTGGATTGTGTGTGCTCATAATACGTATGTTCAACTTCTCACCTTCAGGACCTCAGAATATAACTGTATTTGAAGAGAGGGTCTTTAGAGAAGTGGTAATTTAATAAAAATGAGGTTGTTATGGCAGGTCCTAATCCAATCTGACTGGTGCCTTTATAAGAAATGGAGATTAGGCCAGACACGGTGGCTCACACCTGTAACCCTAGCAGTTTGGGAGGCTGAGGCCAGCGGATCACCTGAGGTCAGGAGTTTGAGACCAGCCTGGCCAATGTGGTGAAACCCCTATCTCTACTAAAAAAAAAAAAAAAAAGTAGCTGGATGTGATGACAGGTGCCTGTGAACTCTGGAAGCTGAGGCAGGAGAATCACTTGAACCTGGGAGGCGGAGATTGTAGTGAGCCAAGATTGCACCACTGCACATCAGACCGAGCAACAGAGTGAGACTCCATCACAAAAAACAAAAAAAGAAAAGAAAAGAAAAAGAAAAAAGAAAAAAAAAGGAGATTAGGATACAGACACTGAGTAGACTATGTGGGGACACAGGGAGAAGACGGCCACCTACAAGCCAAGGAGAGAGGCCTCAGAAGAAAGTCACCCTACAGACACCTTGATCTCAGACTTCCAGCCTCCAGAACTGTGAGGAAATGCATTTATGCTGTTTAAGCCACCCAGTCTGTGGAGCTTTGTTATGTCAGTTTGAGCAAATTAATATAAATTTCCATTGCTATGCCTCTTCCTTTTGACCCATGTATCTGATCTTCCTGGAGATTGTAGGCCATTTGGATGTGTGATTTTGATTTGAACTCATTTTTCATAGGTTTAATATACAAAGTTTTGCAATATGCAAGTGTAGTAGGGCTCCTAAAAATGTCCATAGGCTAGTCCCTGGAGCTGTTGAACATGTTATTTTGTAAAAGGGACTTTGCAGATGTGATTCAGTGCCTTGAATTGGGAGATCACCCAGGATTATCTGTGTGAGTCCTGTGTAATCATGTTTTCTAATAAGGAGAAGGACTGAGGGTCAGAGTCAGAGGAGAGGTGACCACAATAGCAGAGGTTAGAGTGTCAGGAGTGCTGGCAGAGGGACCTAAGGAAAGGACTGCAGGTGGCCTCTGGAAACTGGAAAACACAGCCAGGAGTACGCTCTCCCCTGGAGCCTCCGACAGGAACACAGAGCCAGGAGTAGATGCTCCCCTGGAGCCTCCAACAGGAACACAGCCCTGCTGATAGCTTGATTTCAGCCACACAGACTAATTTCTAGACTCTGACCTCTAAAAGTATAAGACAGCAAACTGATATTGTTTTAAGCCACCTTGCTTATTCATTTGTGAATATGGGCATCACTGACTCATCCCACTGGGATGTACACTGCCCAAGGCAGGAATCTTGCCTATCTTGTTTCATGCTGTGTCTGTGGCACCTAGAACAGTGCCTAGCACACACAATTACAAAAACAAAACAAAACAAAAACACAAAGTGCTCAGTAAAGTCCTGCTAAGCAAATGACTCATCCACATTTCCCAGCCATGGAGGAGTAGAGATGACACGCCCATCAGGCCATTCCACTCACTGGGAAACCCCCATGACTTGCACCTTTGCCTGAGGTTGGATGCAGAACCCTGTGGGCAGGAAGATAGACCGATGCTGTTGAGTGAATGATGATTAACTGAGTTCCATGTTTATGCATTTACAACACAGCAGGCTCTAAGTTAAGCATCTCTCATTTACTTCTCAGGACAGTCCTACAATACAGGTACTTTGATCATCCCCAGAGTGCCTAGGAGACAGGCTCACCAGTGAGGAGTGATGCAGCCCAGGACTCACAGTGGTGAGTAATATTCAAAATGCAAGCTGTTGCCTGCATATGGTCTGTGTGTGTCTCCATGACCGTGTTGTATATGGCAGCTGCTGTGGGGTAGAAACCCCCTAGTGGTTTTGGTGTCCTGAGAGCTGAGTTTAATATTCTACATCACTGCTGTGATACAGAGTCTGATTCCATTTTTAATGGTTGGCCCCTGACCCCTTTCAAGCCCCCACCCTCACCTGTCCTGGTAAGAAAGTCCAGCATCGCCTCCCTCAGCACTGTAGGGAGTTGAGCCATGCAAGCCAGGACTTGTGCACTGGAGCCCACCCCAGCCTGCCTCCCATTAGCAATCAGAGGCAAGGCTGCCCTCCCTCTATCCCCCACCCTCTATCCCCCACCCTCTATCCCCCTCCCTCTATCCCCTCCCTCTATCCCCTCCCTCTATCCCCCACCCTCTATCCCCCTCCCTCTATCCCCCACCCTCTATCCCCCACCCTCTATCCCCCACCCTCTATCCCCCCTCCCTCTATCCCCCACCCTCTGTCCCCCCCTCTATCCCCCACCCTCTATCCCCCACGCTCTATCCCCCTACCTCTATCACCCACCCTCTATCCCCCTCCCTCTATCCCCTCCCTCTATCCCCCTCCCTTTATCCCCCACCCTCTATCCCCCCTCCATCCCCCACCCTCTATCCCCCTCCCTCTATCCCCTACCCTCTATCCCCAACGCTCTATCCCCCTACCTCTATCCCCCTCCCTCTATCCCCCACCCTCTATCCCCCACCCTCTATCCCCACCCTCTATCCCCTCCATCCCCCACCCTCTATCCCCCTCCCTCTATCCCCCACCCTCTATCCCCCCTCCCTCTGTCCCCCCCTCTATCCCCTCCCTCTATCCCCCACCTTCTATCCCCCACCCTCTATCCCCCACCCTCTATCCCCCCACCCTCTATCTGCCACCCTCTATCCCCCTCCCTCTATCCTCCACCCTCTATCCTCCATGCTCTATCCCCCACCCTCTATCCCCCTCCCTCTATCCCCCACCCTCTATCCCCCTCCCTCTATCCCCCACCCTCTATCCCCCACCCTCTATCCCCCTCCCTCTATCCCCCACCCTCTATCCCCCTCCCTCTATCCCCCCACCCTCTATCCCCTCCCTCTATCCCCCACCCTCTATCCCCCTCCCTCTATCCCCCACCCTCTATCCCCCACCCTCTATCCCCCTTCCCTCTATCCCCCACCCTCTGTCCCCCCCTCTATCCCCCACCCTCTATCCCCCACACTCTATCCCCCTACCTCTATCCCCCACCCTCTATCCCCCTCCCTCTATCCCCTCCCTCTATCCCCCTCCCTCTATCCCCCACCCTCTATCCCCCTCCCTCTATCCCCTCCCTCTATCCCCCACCCTTTATCCCCTCCCTCTATCCCCCTCCATCCCCCACCCTCTATCCCCCTCCCTCTATCCCCCACCCTCTATCCCCCACCCTCTATCCCCCACCCTCTGTCCCCCCCTCTATCCCCCACCCTCTATCCCCCATGCTCTATCCCCCTACCTCTATCCCCCACCCTCTATCCCCCTCCCTCTATCCCCTCCCTCTATCCCCCACCCTTTATCCCCTCCCTCTATCCCCCTCCATCCCCCACCCTCTATCCCCCACCCTCTATCCCCCCTCCATCCCCCACCCTCTATCCCCCTCCCTCTATCCCCCTCCCTCTATCCCCTACCCTCTATCCCCAACGCTCTATCCCCCTACCTCTATCCCCCTCCCTCTATCCCCCACCCTCTATCCCCCTCCCTCTGTCCCCCCCTCTATCCCCTCCCTCTATCCCCCACCCTCTATCCCCCATGCTCTATCCCACACCCTCTATCCCCCCACCCTCTATCTGCCACCCTCTATCCCCCTCCCTCTATCCTCCACCCTCTATCCTCCATGCTCTATCCCCCACCCTCTATCCCCCTCCCTCTATCCCCCACCCTCTATCCCCCTCCCTCTATCCCCCACCCTCTATCCCCCTCCCTCTATCCCCCCACCCTCTATCCCCCTCCCTCTATCCCCCACCCTCTATCCTCCTCCCTCTATCCCCCTCCCTCTATCCCCCACCCTTTATCCCCCATGCTCTATCCCCCTACCTCTATCCCCCACCATCTATCCCCCTCCCTCTATCCCCCACCCTCTATCCCCCTCCACCCCCCACCCTCTATTCCCCTCCCTCTATCCCCCACCCTCTATCCCCCACCCTCTGCTCCACTCAAGCCATGGGCTCCATTGGTACTAGGAACAATCCTGCTGTCCCCAAAAGTCCCAGTTGTGACTAATAAACTGTTACATACATTTTATGTGCATTTTTGGATCAACAATCTCAACACTGGTCTCAGCATCCTAACCAATGTGTGGAGGGACTGGGGACAGGTAGGTCTTCCCTCCACCAGAAAACCACAAGTCAACTACTTAATATCTGAGTTACCTTGCAACGAGTGTCTCTAACCACACCTTACTTTCCTGGATCGTAAAATGGTGAGAATGAAATTCCCTACCACAGAAGCTCACAGGGAAAAACCCTCTTTGAAGCATTGCATATAGGGTATGTACTAGTGATGCTAATAGTGACGGCAGAGAAGAAACTCATATTTAGAATTTTATTTTTTTACTCCATGAAGCCATGGGAAACAGATGAGAACAATTTGGGCTCTTGCTAAATGAGGATGAAAAAGAACTAACTGTCCTGACATGTCACCATGGCTATGGTTATTTAGGTCCAGTCCTCACTGAAGGACTGATGAGTTATGCTGAACCTCCTTGAGGGCAGACAATCTACATAAATTACCTGGAATTATTCTACACAAGAGACTTGTTTCTTCTCTTCTATTGATTGATTTAAGCATTTATGTCAAGATGTCTCATGAATATTTTCTTTGTACTTTGGGTTACCCAAAAGTATTTTATTTATTTTGTTGCATGAATTTGTCTAGCACTGGCTGCTGAGAACGCTTTCAGTTTGTACCTTTGCATACCCCCAACAATGATTTTTTTTTTCTTTTGAGCACTTCCTTACGTTCTGGCACAACAAGATGCTCCAGCCTCATTTTACATATTCTCTGTCTCAGTCCTAGAATCAGTCATTTTCCCAGGAAACTGTGGTTCTTTTCATGGGAGAATGGTATTAAAAATCAACATCTGGATTCTGGGTAGGCTTGCTTCTAAATAGGTAGACCTTCTTTTCCTATAATGGAGTTACATCACACACGCATTGCATCAATTATGTGTGTGTGTGTGTGTTTGAAAAAGAGAGAGAGAGATCAGACAGTGCTGTGTATTGCTCTACTAAAGTAGCTCATGTGAGATGTACAGCAAATGCTTCCTCAACTTGTCAAGCCATTATAAAATAACTTATATATTAGTTTTCTATACTGTCTAAGATCTTACCGTAAATTTGGAGGCTTACAATTTATGAGCTCGTGGTTCTGGGGGCCAGAAGTCCAGGCAGACATGACGAGGTTCTCTGTTCAGTCTCACAAGGCCGACATCTAGGTATTGACCTGATGGGGCTCTTTTAATCTTTTTTTTTTTATTTTAAGTTTTCTCAGTCATCTCTGTGTCTCTCTCTGGTAATGGTCCAGGACTTATGTCTATGTATTATGTGACAGCTTAGACAGTGCTGAGGATTCAGTCTTTGCCCTGATGAGAAAGCATATACCTCCTGGGCTTTCTTGCAGTCATTTCTTGCCCATTTTTCTTATGAAAAATATTTGGCTGCTCCAGTCACTGCACTTGATGAGATTAAAGTCTGTAGCTGTCTCAGGCGCAACTAGCTAAAAACACATCATGACATCTTTCTCCAAAGCCATTTTTAGAACAAATTATTGAAGCCTTGGCACCCCTCCATGACATTCCCTGGGAAAGACAGCAGGACTCTGTTTCTGTCCTGGGACATACCAGGTAAAGGCTCAGGATTGTTGAGGGAAGATAGAAGGCTGAAAGCGGGACCCTTCTCAGCGACACACACTCCCATATTTCCGTGTCTTATTTCCCTTTTAACTGCCCTTCCTTTGTGAAGCAATAAAGACCCCCTGGTCTTAATGGAATGAGAGAAGGATAACCTTATGGGCTTTAGTGCCACAAAATGCATTAGTTGTCATGTCAAAATGAAATCCCCTATAATGAGCAGAGAGAAACCCAGAAGTGAATATTGATGTGATGTATAGGCAAGGAAGGCTTCTGTATCATACAAGCTAAAGAATAAACCATAAAAAATAACTTAGCTACAAAACAGTTTAAAATATCTGTTTATCACATTAGACCAAAATCAAAACTAAAATTTAAATGACATGTTGGGAAAACTATTTTCAAACTTTTTAACAAAGAACGAGTATGCTTAAGACAGGGAATCTATAAATTAATCAAGGTAAAAGCAAATGCATCAAATAAATAGATAAAGGACATTAACAGGCAAGTCAAAATGGAAAAAGTAAGGCAGTAAATATTTGAGAAAAAATACTTAGTTTCATTAGTACTATAATGAATATAAAATAGGAAAGAAGAATAGTTATTGTTCTGTTGATCAAATTAGAAAGTGGCTTTTAATCCAACTCTCCTTGCTTCAGGTTGTGTTGAATTGGGCACTTTATGAGTAGTACTGTATATGAATATCACCTTTCTTAAGGACACATTGGGAATTAGAATTGAAAGGCTTGTAAGTGAATATGCCGTCTGACTCAGCAACTTCAGTGTTGGACACTTACTTGAAGCAAATTATCAGAGCCCCACAACAAGGATAGAGGCTACCAGGGAGACAGTGAGTTCCCATTTCAGAAAATGTGCAAGCATGAGGGGCGATTGATGAGGCTATTGATGATACCGGGAGAGGGTTGGGTTAGATTAATCAATAGTAAGGTCATTCCAAGTTTTAAATTTTATGACAACCACTCTGTTGTCAGAACAAAGTGTTTGGAGGACCATAAAGATATTGAAAGCCTTAAATTATTATTATAGTTAAAATAGCAGCACAATTGCTATGTGCCAGGCATTGTTTGAAGCACTTCACAGGTATTTGCTTATGTAAGTTTTATGGCATGATGAGAGGTGGGTATTATCATCCTTATTTTATAGATAAGCAAAGTAAGGTACAGAGAAATAAAGTCACATTCTTCAGGCCATGCAGGAAATAAATAGAAGAGCCAAGGTGTCAGCCCAGACCGTTGCTCTGCACACACACAATCTTAGGTCTTATGCCAGCCTACCTCCTATTTCTTAGTTCTGCTGTAATTCAAGGTCTGAATAATTGTTTTTTCTTCAAAATAGGATCTAGAAAGTCACCAGGTCTGTACGACACTTTACAGTGTATAAAACACTTTCACCCAGAGTTATCTTATTTGATGCTTTCAATAAGACAGTGGAGTTGTCCCAGGATAAGAATGTCTCCATACTAGGGGAAAATGAAGTTCCAAGGAGTTGTGGTTTGTCTTTCTTCAGTTCACAGTGAGGTAGAGGAGATGGTCTCTTGTTAAAACCTTCCATGTCACTCAGTGGCATACAGGGTGATCAATACATTTGCTTTATTCGCTTTGAGGCTGGTGCTTCCAACAAGGGAACTGTAGTGCATTCAAAGCCTGGACCTGGACCTACATGAGCTGTTTATCCATGGGGCTTTTAAAACTGCACCTGCAATACTTCTCAGCCACAAAGGGAAAGAAATATTTGTGTTTGCTTCTCATCCACACAAACCCTCCACTGTCCTTCTCCATTTCTGGAAAGTAAGGTTCTGCATGCTTGCTTCAGCTGTCTATTGTAATGGAACAAACCACCTCTAAACATAGTAACATGAAAGAACAACCATTTTAGTTCCTCATGATTCTTTGGATGAGAATTTGCTCAGGGGAGAGGGGATATGGATCATCTCTGAGCCACAATAATGGGAGCCGTGGCTGCAATCATACAAAGGACTGGGATGACTCAGCTGGTTTCATGTCTGGGGTCTCAATTTGCCCTGTCCACTGGGTTCCTCAGTTGTCCACCACATGGCCTCCCCACTGGGCTGGCTTAGGCTTCCTCCCTGCATGGCGGCCTCAGTGTGAGTTGACTTCTTACCTAGTAGCTGACTTCTCCTCCAGAGGAATCAGAAGCTGCAGGTATCAGAAAAGCTGGCTTGGAGCTGGTACAGTCTCCCTCCTATCATATTGTACAGTCATGGCACGTTCCAGGCCAGCCAGACTCTAGGAAAGAGAAAGACACTGTTTATAAGTGGAAGAAATGTCATGAATATCAAAGCCTTGAAAAATAGATTTTTCATTAAACTTTTATATGTGCATGTAACAGACATTTAAAAAAACTGCAAAATGTAAACAGCTCAAATTATTTTTTCTCTCTTATTCCATTACTTTATGTCCTTCTAAATAGCAACTATATCTACAAACCTACATATATTTAGATTTTTCCTCTTTCACACAAATTGGAACCTATCATATCTGCTCTTCCACACTTTCCTTTTCTTCTATTACCATAGTGTTTCAGAATGCACACACATGCAACTACTCATACTGATGCAGGTGACCCTTGACCAATGTAGGGGTCAGAAGCACCAACTCCCCACATGGCAGTAAATCCGCACATAATTTTCAACTCTTTCAAAACCTAACTACCAACAGCCTTCTGTTGACCAAAAGCCTTACTGATAACATCAACAGTTGATTAACACATAAATAGACTGGTATCTATGTATATTTTATGCATTCATGACGTACCTAACTTTTTCTTATTTTGTTTTGCTATTTATTGGTGACGTGGTTTCTGAGTTTTTCCAGATTGCTGAAAATCTCCAGATCATTTTGTAATATGTTTATGGAAAAAAACTCACTTGTAAGTGGACCTGCACAGTGCATAGCTGTGTGTTGTTTTAAGGTCACCTGTCTATGTAAATATAATTTTATAACATACAAATACACATACATATATAAATGTATGTACCCATAAATACACACATATATAAATATATCTGCTTATGTAAACACATTGTTAGGACACACAAAAAAAGGAAACAATTGTTTGGGCGAGGAACTAGGGAGCCGAATGACAGGAATGGTAGAACAATGTTCATTGTAAATCCTTTTCAACATTTTAACTTTGAGCCTTGTGATATATTAATACATATATTTTCATATTTATCAGCATTTTAAGTATAAAATATAGCTCAGAAACATTTTCTGGTAAGCTTTTGGAAGTGGCTTTTTAACTGCTGAAAAATATGTCATTTAATGGGCACACCATTGTTGACCTAACCGTGTCCTCACATCCTTAGCAGCAACATTAAAATTTTTTTATGACCGAATGTGTCTTATGGACCAACTACTAAGTCACTAAATATAATTTAGAGGAAGAAATCTATTTGTATACATTATTGATATAAGTATGTATTTGTTTGTGTATGAATAATGTAGCTCCTGGCCAACATTATCAAACATTTCTAACGTCAAATCAGTGTTTATGGACCTGTCTGGTGATACAGTGTAATGGCAATGACAGAAGAGCAGGATCATTTTTCAATATAATCCCAGGTCTCTTTGAAAATTGAAAACACTTTTTCAATTAAAGAGTTGTCAGCAGGCCTTGTGGCTTGGCTGGAATGAAAGTGCTCTGTTGTAAATTTATTTTAAACTCCTGCTGAAAGCATATGAACTGAGATAATTAAATAAAATAGGCTAACAGGAAACTGTAATCCCAAACAAGGCAGTGGGATGCAGGCACAAGACCACCTGATGTGCCTGAGGCTCCCCTCTCTATTTAGGCACAGACAGGTGGAAGAGAATTAGAATTCAGCACCCAGAAAAGAACCCTTGGGAAGTGCTTTATCTTGTTTTGTTTCTTCTGTTGTCCAGTAAGTAGATATCTGCTGTTTATGGCTTCCTTTCCTTTCCTCTTCTGATGATACCACCATAATGTTCTACTAAGAATGTCTTTCCTCCTCTAAGCAGTGTCTGTAAATAGTGGGTGATTCTTCCCCACCTCCCTGCTTTAGGAGTGAGCCTGTGACAGACCTGACCAGTCAGTAAATTCTCTCCTGCTAAGACCAATTAGGTCAGAGATGGGAACATGCCCTAAGTTTACCCAATGAGGCTCAGCAGGAGCCTTCTATTGGGATTGTTGGGAAGAATGTGGCACCTCTCTATTGGGGTGATGGAGCTGTGTCAGTGTAGATGTGGAGCTCCTAAACATCACCAATGGAGAGGGTTTGCTTGAGAATGAAGCCCATACAAGGAAAGACACACTGAGAGAGGAGACAAGCTCACTGATAATCTAATCGAGGAACCAAGGGGTGCACTAACCCTGGTCTTCCCAGTGACAACTGATTCATTCTGATTAATTCATTAATCAACTGTGAGCTGATTAATAGTTGATTAATTACCACTTTTTGCTGAAGGCATTCGAGTGGCGTTCCTGCTATTTTTAACAAGAATCCTTTTGGATTCAGTACACACAACTGTGAGCCCTCATCTCCTCTGTGTACCCCTAGGTACAGAACAGAGGGAAAGGAGGCAGTGGGGCTGAGCCCCATCCCTGTGTGTACTCTTTTTGCCTTACTGCAGATAGCACTGCCTCCTTCTGGTCTGTGGCTTTTGTCTCTGGTAGACAGAATCTTTGGTCCCCAACAGTATCTACGTCCTAATCCATGGGACCTGTCTCCTGGCACAAGAGACTTTGCAGGTGTGCTGGAGGTAAGGATTTCGAGATGGGGAAATTATTATGGATTATCCAAGCAAGTACTAAATATAATCAAAAGAAGGAGACGGGAGTATGAGAACAAGACAAATATGTGACAGTGGGTGCAGAGGTGAAAGGAAGGGATAGGGAGAAAGAGGAAGAGAGGGAGACATTTGACTCTTTTGGCCTTGAAGATGGAGGACTCTACTCCGAGCCAAGGAGTGCAGGCAGCCTCTAGAAGTCGGAAGAGGCAGGAAAAGGATTTCTCTCCTAGAGCCCTGGTGGGGATGCTGTCTTGCTGACACCTTCATTTTGAGAATTCTGACCTCCAGCATGATAGAGCAATAAATGTGTTTTAAGCCACTGTGGTTGTGGTCATTTGTATAGCAGTGATAAGAAACTAATATCATCTCCTAATCATTCTTTCTGGGCCATCTGTGTCTCCCTTTAAATTACTCTCCTCTCTGCCACAAAATCCTTTCTAAGACAGAGCTCAGATCATGTCACACCCAGCTCAAGGTTCCCCCAATGCATATGGAATAAGATTGGACCTACTGGCGTGGCATTTCATGATCTTCACCATCAGTTCCAACTCAGCTTCCCCCTCTTGCCTTCCTTCAGTCTCTCCCATATACTGTGTCTCTGAAAGCTGCAGCATCTCACTATTTCCTGAGCAACCCTCATCATTGTTTCCATGATTGTTTCCTCCAGTCTGTGCATCTATTCTCTCTCCTTGCATCTCCAAATCTGTGTCTCTTTCAGAGCCTGACTTGCATGGCACTGCATGCATGAATCTTTTCCCAATATTCCTCTCTAGTGAAAAAAATGTTTTCCAATAATTTTGTGTCTCTCTTGCCATTCTTTTTGACTTTTATCTTCTATTGCTGTAATGTATATATGTCACCTTTCTTTCCTGTTACATGGGAGCAGGGTCTTTTTTATTATTTCTCAGAATGCCTAGCAAATACTGTGCTAAATATGTGTTTCTGGAATCTGTTTGTTCATCAGAGTTTTGTAAGGCATTGAAATATAGGTCAAATGCCCCCATGAGCCAGGAAGGTGACACACAACAATGAGTGAAGTGAGCTTGTGTGAGACAATACTGAGTGGCGACTACTGGTTAACTGGAAAGCCAGGGTCCCTTTCCAAGAGGAGCAGCTGCTCCTCTGCTCTATTAGAGACACATGACACTTTTGGTACATTTTCTAACTGTTCAGTGAAAGCCTAGCATCCATAATTCTAAGTAAAATGTTCTCCTGGCTGAGCAGCCTAGCTGGTGGAATGCTCTGTGTGACTTATTCCCCTGTGGAGATCCACGGATGCGTGGATTCATTAATAAATGGGAGCTTGGCTGGCCTTTTAAAACTACATCTCTCAGTTTGGACAGCACAGCCCTTCCAGGTGGCACCTTGAGATTTGTATTTGCAGGCAACTTGGAATGACTCATCTTGAAATGACCTCAGATGTCATTTATCACAGCCAGAAGCTTAAATATATACCTAATTGCACTGATGGTGATTATGATTCCTGGATAAAATATTTGGATGTCCTTAAAAACAAAAAACAAAATAAAAAACAAACGCTTTTTTTTTTTTACTGTTCTTTATTTGGGACACAATTTTGGAAAAAGCATGGAAGGTTCCTGTAGATGAGAGGGGCAATGTGGGTGGGCGAATTTGCAGGCTCAAAACCCATTCTTCTGTCATCAGAATATTATCAGAACTTGACCATCATCCAAGTACAGAAACTACCAGGAGAAGATCACAGGGATCAACTCACGATTATCCACCACCTATAAAATTCAAGACACTCTGTTTTCATATATTTGCTCTTATTTAATGGGTGTGCAAAGGAGCCCATTATTTTCTGTCAGTTTGAAATTGGGCTCGTGCAGACCTTCAGTTCTGATTTTAACAGGATGATCTTTGTGGAAGAAAGGAGTCTAAATGACACTGAGCCAAGCCGTGGGTCAATTGTGTGTGTGTGTCTCCACGCATTCACACACTGGCAGAAAGAAAGAAGTAGAAAATAGAAGCCTACAATGATAAACATTGTTTTCTCCACTGGTGAAACTCTATATCCACTTTTAATCTCACTCTGTTTAACTAAACAATGTTAATATTTTAAAATTTTATTTGGGAGCAATTCTGTGAACCAAAATCTAGATAAAAATGCAGAATGTCCCAAATCAAAAGAACTAGAATGTACCATAGAAGTGGAAACTGGTTTGAGTTAGTGAGACATTGTTCTTTTCTTTTAACTAAAATGGTTGGAAGGGAAAATCGTGCAGTAGATGAAGGTGTAGTCTTCCAAATGAGACAATCCTGGTTTTGCTTTTGACCTTGAATAAGTAGTTGGTATATTTTAGCTTCCATTTCTTTATCTATAAAATGGGATAACAATACTAATACATAAAGTATAGGGTGATTCTGAAGATTAAGTGACATAAAGTTTTCAAAATAGGTGCTCAAAATGTAGGTATTATCTTAAGACATATTGCAATATTACCATAATGCATTGTGGAACAAAGTGAAAACAAGACATATTTTGGAAAAACATTGCTTTGTTTCTTTCTGTATGCAAAAACAATCATAAATCACTCACTGATTTATTTTGAGTTAAAGTAACTTTGATTTGGACATGTGAATGATGCAAGCTATGCAGACAAATGGAGCAAAAACTCAAGAAAGTATGTGGATTGTTTTTTCTTGCTTTCTTTTTATTTTCTTTGTTTCCTAATCTTTGCCTCACTTGTTCTTAGAGTGAGAGCTGAGTTGTCAAAAGAAAGACAACAAAATTTCTAGAAGTCTAAATGTCTCCAGGCATTGTTCTGTAATAACAGCCATTGCTAAAAGTGGAGGTCTCCTGCAGTAGCAATGTGGGCAGGTCTCATCAGAGAAGCCTTGCTAGGGTTTCAAACACAAAGCAGCCCTGCTGCCAGGCGAAACCCCAGGCTGAGAGCAAGAGCAGAAGCCAGGTCTCGGCAGCATTGTTTTGTTTTAGTTGTTGGTCTTTTTAATTTTTTTTCTTTTTTACCTTTCTAATTGGGAAAATACTTTGGATTAATAAAAATATTCAAAAAGAAATCATGTACAAAAATCCTAACTGTACACTTTTGCCCAGATTAATATTTTGCTTGGTTTGATTCCTATGTCTCCTTCCTGTCCTCTTCCTTCCCTCCCTTTCCCCCAGTTTCCCTGTAAGGACAGTATTCATTTGAAATGCAATTAGGTTCATTTGTTTTAGCCTGCTTGAAATGTTGTTTTTCCCTTCATCATTCCTATAGATTTAATTTTACTTTTGAATACATATAACATTAACTTTAACTTTTGAAGATGTATGATGTTCCTTCTACCTCCTTCTCCCCACTTCTCATAGTTAATCAGCTCGTTTTCTGGGTTATTCTTTCTCGTGATGGTTAATTTTTTGCGTCAACTTGACTGCGCTAAGGGATTGCCAGATAGCTGGTAAAACGTTATGCTGGGTACATGTGTGAAGATATTTCCAGAAGAAATTTGCATTTGAATAGCAGACTAAGAAAAGTTGCCCTCATCAATGGGGGTGATACTACACAATCCACTGAGGGCACAGATAGAACAAAAAGGTGGAGAAGGCATGAATTCAGTCTTCTTGAGTTGGAAGATCTTTATTCTATTCTTGGACATTGGAACTCCTAGTATTGGCCCTTCGGACTCAGACCAGAGTCTCTCATCAGCGGATATGTGTCGCACCTGCACCCCAGCCTCCTTCTGCCTCCCAGCCCTTTGGCTTAGATTGAAAGTTACACTATCTTCTCCCCTAGTTCCCAGGCCTTCAGCCTCACTCAGACTTAACTACCCCTCTGGCTTCCCTGGTTCTCCAGCTTTCAGACGCATATTATGGGACTTAACCTCCAAAACTGCATGAGCCAATTCCCATAATAAATCTCCTCTTAAATATCCAGATATAGGCTGGGCGCCGTGGCTTACACCTGTAATCCCAGCATTTCGGGAGGCCAAGGCGGGTGGATCACCTGAGGTCTGGAGTTCGAGACCAGCCTGACCAACATGGAGAAACCCCATCTCTACTAAAATACAAAATTAGCCTGGTGTGGTGGCGCATACCTGTAATCCCAGCTACTTGGGAGGCTGAGGCAGGAGAATCACTTGAACCCAGGAGGTGGAGGTGGAGGTGGAGGTGGAGATGGAGGTGAGCCAAGATCATGCCATTGCACTCCATCTTGGACAACAAGAGTGTAACTCCGTCTCAAAAAAAATATATATATATACATATATCCAGGTATGTTCTGTTGATTCTGCTTCTCTGGAGAGCCCTAATACATTTCTGTAATTATTTCAGTAAATATATGCAGATATATGCGTATTCTCCTATTTTTTTCTTTTATCTTACATAAAATGTAGCATGCTACATATGTTCTTTTTATTATTTTTTAAATGTGGTACAATGCATAACAAAAGGTATCATTTTAATTATTTTTAAGTATACAGTTCTGTGGCATTAACTACATTCACATTGTTTGCAACCATCGCCACCATCCATTTTCAGAACCTTTTCATCATTCCAAATTGAAACGCTGTACTCATTAAACAATAGCGCCCCATCCCTCCCTTCTCCCCAGCCCCTGACAAACACCATTCTATGTTCTGTCTCCAAGAATTTGCTTATTCTAGGTACCTCATATGCGCGTAATCATACAATATGTGTCCTTTTGTGTCTGGCTTATGTCAATTACCATAATGTCCTTAAGCTACCGCCATGTTGCGGCATCTGTCATAATGCTGTTTCCTTTTAAAGCTGAATAATTTATAACCTCTTTTGCACTTACCTTTTAAATTTTTTTAAAATAACATCTCCTGGAGAGCATTCTATATCAGTTCATTAAAAAATAAAAAGTCTGCATGTTTTTTACAGCCGCAGAATACCCAACTGCAGTAGATAGCCCAGTTTATTCAACTGCTCTCCCATACTTGAATATTTAGGCAGTTTCTAATATCTTGCAATCACAAATCATGCTGCAATGCATAATCTGTGCAGATGTATTTTTTGTACGATTAGATGCATGTCTTTAGGATGAATTCCTAGAAGTGGCATTTCTAGGCCAAAACATAAATTCATACGTAGTTCTACTAGATATTGCCAATCACTCTTTCTCTGGAGTTAAGTAGTTTACATTCTTGATACCAGTGTTGGAGAGTTTTTTTTTTTTTTTTCCCTCCTGACAGCCTTGTCAAAAGAGTCTATTGTCAAGCTTTTGGCTTTTTGTCAATCTGATGGGTAGACTATATCTCAGAATAATTTTTATTTTAATTTTTCCTAGTATGTGTGAAGTTAAACACTTTACATATATTTAAGAGATATTTTTATAACTTTTTGAGTTGTCCAGTCATCATTTTTGCGAAATTTTCTGTAGCATTTTACATTTTTTTCTCATTATTTAAGATGTCTTTATGATTCTGGAGTTTGTAATATATATCATCAATATTTTTTCCTGTTTATTATTTGTCTTTTTATGTTCCTCATAATGGATTATTTTTGCCATGAAAGTAAAATATATATATATAGAGAGAGAGTCAAGTTTTTAATTTTTCAGTTACATGTGGAACTTGGTCATAGTTGAAAAAATTTTACCTAGACCCAGATGATATAGGAATTCACCCTTTTTTTCTTTCCATTTCAGTCTAATCCATTTGGAGGATCATCTAGTGCATGGTGTAAGGAATGCATAAAATTATAACTCTTTGAACAAATAACTATAATTTATTCCAACACCATTTATTAAAAAGTCTCTATTTTGCCCCCTTGAATTGAATACTGTGGTAACCATATACTAGATGTTTATATGCAGTTATGGCTATTTTGAGACTCCCTGTCCTGTCCCATTGATCAGGTTGTTTCTGCACCAGATCCTCACTGCCCCCTTTGATTTAGTACCTGGCATGACTAGTTCCCTTCCAGACTTGCATTTCGGACTTTCCTGGTTATTCTGGTTTATTTCTTTTGCTATATAAATTTTAATATCAGCTTGTATAGCTCCAAGAAAATGTTCATTACAATTTTTATTGAGGTGGCATTAAAGTTATACATTAAGTCAGAGAGAATTGAAATATCAGTGATGTAAAGATGCCCTATCTAGAACAAGGAAGAACATAGCTATTCAAACCTCCTCTTATCTTCAGGAGAGTTTTATACTTTTCTGCTTGTTGGCTTCAAACATTTCTGGTGTATTTATCCTTAAATGTATTGTTTGTTTCTTGTTGCCGTAATAAATGAGATCCATGGATTCATTTTATCTTCTAACTGGTGAATATTTGTGTCTACAAATGCTATTGATTTTTGTATGTTAATGTTGTACATTGCTGTCTTGCTGAAATCCTGTAGTGTTTTTGTTAGTTTTATCATTGATCCTCTAGATGTATGATCAGGTTCTCTGCTTATGGAGTTTTATATCTTCATCTCAGTCTTTATGTCCAAATTGTTTCCTTTTGTCTAATTGCCCTAACTAGTTCCTCAAGAACATTGTGAAATAATAGTGAAATTTGTTCATATTCTTGCTTTGTTAATGATCTTGGTGGAGGTCCTTCTAGGGTCCCCTCATTATGTAAACTATTGGCTTTTAATATTAAAGTCTATGGCTGGGCGCGGTGGCTCATGTTTGTAATCACAGCACTTCGGTAGGCCAAGGCAGGTGGATCACGAGGTCAGGAGTTCAAGACCAGCCAGGCCAACATGGTGAAACCCTGTCTCTACTAAAAATAAAAAAATTAGTCAGGTGTGGTGGTGCGCACCTGTAGTCCCAGCTACTTGGGAGGCTGAGGCAGGAGAATCGCTTGAACCCGGGAGGCAGAGATTGCAGTGAGCCAAGATCACACCACTGCACTCCAGCCTGCATGACAGAGCGAGACTCTGTCTCAAAAAAAAAAAAAAATTAAAGTCTATACCCACCATTTTTATTTTCTCAACATTTTTTTGGTCAATGATGTGTGTTTTTCAGCATTTATTAAGATAACCATTCTCTCTTTCTTCTCTTCCCACACCCACCCTTCCATCAGCCTGTCCGTCAGTTTCACACCTTCCAGGGGTTGAATAAGAGAGAAAAGAGGGAGGGGACAGTAAAGATCCTAGAGGCATCACTAACTTCCCAAGCTGGCTTTACTCTCTGGCCTTAGTAGAGGCTGCTGCTTTCTCTTATGGGTACTTTCACATATTTCTCAATGGTTCCCTGCTGGACCCCAGTGATAATTCCTCTGGTTCAGGAATAATTTGCTTTTACTGCCCCCAATTCCTTGCCTGCTTCTATTCATCCTGCCAACCACCCCACATAGATGCTCGCTCACAAAGGCTCCAGCTTGGTTTTCCATGCTGCATGTGTAGGGTGACATCCATTCCAGTTTTCCCAAAACTGTCTCAGGCAATTTCTGGTGTCTTGGCATAATTATTAATATTCTCCTGTTCACTTTCAAAAGTCTCCCTATTTGGGCAATAAGAGACCTAGCTTCCTTAGAACTGGGCACACCTGGAGTACAGGTACACATGGCCTTCTTAGTTTTGGGGCACTCTGAGCACCCAGGTCTCTCCTCACAGAGCAGCCCCCAGACAGCTCTGCCACCAGACAGGTAACGAGGCCTCCTTAAGACCTGCATATCTCTGGGGCAGGGATCATATCACAATCCATGGTGTCTTCCTGTTTCGAGCTCTTCAAGGGTCCATCAAGCAGTAAATAAAGCAAGTAGCATCTCCCCTTTCTCCCCACTTTAGGAACTACAGAGCTCATCGAGGAGTTGTTTGTTTTTTTCTTTACAATCTCCTCCATTTTTTTACAATGGCATCTGGATATTGGCCCCTAGGTTGTGTCCATCTTCACAGCAGCCTGGGACACATTAGCATTTAAAAGCATACCAGAGCCAGATTCAAATTTTTACGCATCCAACTGTTTCCAACATAGCTGGTATTTAACCATTTAGAACTGTCCTGCTTTGTATACGTTGCAAACTGCATCCAACATCTGCTAGTCATAGATAACGACAAACTTAGGAGCTCTAAAGCCCACCAGATGGCTCTTGCCCTTTGGAGGTCTCTGACCCAGAGACTCCCTACTGGGCTGCAGGACAACATCACCTGGACAGGTGAGTCTCACCTAACCCAGGAGTTCCCTTCTCCTCCTTTTTATCTGGGTGATGGGCCACACACCACAGCCTCTGGACCAGCTGGTGCTGTGAGGGACCTCCTCTGTCTGTAGCTATGCTAGAGTTCAGTGGATAACCACGGGTGCGCTCCTGCCACCTGGTGGTAATATCTCCTCTCTTTTGAAACCCATGATTTCCCCATCTGCTCCCTCCTCCTGACATTTTTTATGTTTTTAAAAAGGTTGAAGAGCATTAGGCATTATTGAACAAATTTTCAGACATTCCTTTGAAAATCTGCATTTTGGTCTGTTACTTTATTTTGAAAATCCTGATGTTTGGCCAAAACTTCCTGCTCCACCTGTGTTGAGCATCTTCTATAGAGCGTATTGCAACATCACAAGTGCATTTATTAGCTGGAATGAATACTTAATCCGTGGGTGAGGTGTTACCCTGGGATCTCATTTAATACTAACAACAAGGAAATCTATGAACATGTACTTAGGCTCTAAAAGTGTTAAAGGAAAATAAGTAAATCCTGAAAGCAGGCTGAGACTCCTGGGGATTTTTACCATCACTCATTGACAGCTAAAGATTTGATAGTGATGTGAAAGGAAGAATGGTTTGATTTTACAAATGTCTGCTTGTAGCTTTTCTGTTTTCTTTGTTGTATCTTGGTAACTTTCATCCCTCATGAGGCATAGTTATTACAGGGAACATCTTATGTATGCAACAAAACCCTTTGCACCATATACTTTAGAGTTATTCTAAGAGGTTTTCAAGGGCAATTTTACTACACGCCGTATTCCACTTGTATTCTGAATTTAGAAAACTTGTGTAAGGTACAAGAGTAGGAAACATGCCAGAAAAGAGAAAAAAGAAAGTAAAATGTTACACCTGTGCCCAGAAGACTTAAGTGCTGAGAGGGGAGCTGGGCTGTCATTGAAGTTTTGTTCTAATCCCAGTCTAAAATGACTCATTGTGGTTGGCACACATGAAGATGCCAGTGTACTGAGAGGTAAGGAGCAAAGGGGAAGATGGTGATACAAGATGAAAGAACAAGTCAGCTCATGCCCCGAGGCTGGTGTTTGAATTTTGTTCTAATCAAAAGGAGAAGGCTCTGGAGGGTTTCAAGCGGAGGAGAGATGATGCTTGATTTATTTTTCTAAGTGATCCCTCCAGCAACTCCACGGAGAATGTATTGTGGGACTTAAATATCAGTGATCAGATGGATGTATTGAAAACCATGGAAGGGCCAGGGGTAGTGGCTCACACCTGTAATTCCAGCACTTTGGGATGCCGAGGCAGGTGGATCATGGGGTCAGGAGATCCAGACCATTCTGGCTAACATGGTGAAACCCTGTCTCTGCTAAACATACAAAAACTAGCTGGGCTTGGGGGCAGGTGCCTGTAGTCCCAGTTACTTGGGAGGCTGAGGCAGGAGAATGGCGTGAACCCAGAAGGCAGAGCTTGCAGTGAGCTAAGATCACGCCACTGCACTCCAGCCTGGGTGACAGAGCGAGACGCCATTTCAAAAACAAAACAAAAAAAAAAAAAAACATGGAAGACAGTTGAGAGATGTGGACTCAAGTCAAGTCAAGATAAGGGTTTCTTTCTAAGCTTTGCCTTCCGTTCCCCTTCTTAACCTGTGGACAGCCAGGCACTGCCGTGATGAATGTGAATTTTAAGCACTAATGTTCTAATGAAATACATACACTAATCAGCACTGTAGAATTGAAGATCAGGTCTTCAGGTAGAAGTAATTGAAGGCTGCATTCAACCCCCAAGCTATCGATCTGACTGCCAGGCAAACTACACTATCAGATTGAAAGAAATATCCAGAAGCTAATTGCTGGAGTCGTGAATCTCTACACAGTTATTAGACTCACAATGAAACCTCATGAGAAAAAATATATTAATGTGGCTCCAAAAAAGTTGCCTGGTTTCTATTTACTTTTCATTGTTCAAATAAAAGACTGTCTCTGAAATGAAGAAACTGAAATAAATGTGTTGACTTAGCCCTGGCTGCCCATCTACTACACTATCACACACACAAATGCAACATGAGCATAAAAGGATCCTGGAAACAGCATAGAAAAAACTCAGCAATGCCAAAGTCTCAGTAACATACCCCAATCCCCAGAGATACCTCAGCATGGGAAAAGACACAGAAAAGAAGGCAATGTTTATTGTTAAGCAAGTGCTGCAATTGAGTCCCAGAAATTCAGACATTTCTCCAAACTTCCTGGAAATTCCTGCTATAAACAGTTCTTTTAGGATAGCAGGCCTGCAATCTCAGTTTCCTACTCTCAGAACTTTTCCTTCCAGTATGTTCTTGTTTCATTTACTCATGCAGCAGCGTAGACAGAATTTTTCCCCCTTTGAACTTGAGCCCCTTGGACCATGCCTTTCAGAGAGCAAAGCCTGTATCTCCTATTCACAGCATGCTATTTTAATGTGTCTGGCATTTCACATTACGGCGTCTTGTTAATGTTTTTCTGGATGTGTTCTTCTAGGTGTGGCTGTCACCTGCTAAATAGTTTGAAAGCTATTAGCAGAAAGAAAGAATATGCAATTCTAACAGGTGCACAAGTGGTGAGCCTGGGGTTTAAATGTATTAGAGTTAGAATCTCATGCTGTTCGTGAAGCACATTTGCGCTTTCTCAGGCAATGTATATTGGTGGCTGGCTGGCAAATTGGAAGTTGGATAAGGGTATTTAGAACAAAACATGTGATAGTTAAGCTGTCTCTGAAATTCAACCTGTGAAAATATCCACTGGGGGCCATTAGAATTTCTAAATTGGGAAAATGTGGCAGTGTAATTGCATGGAAGCTTTGAATTAGGTGAATTCTGAGACGATCCCAAAGGTAAAAGTGCTGCTACAGTGATGATCAGGAGACTCAAAACAGTGTTTTCTCCCTAAGCAAAAATCCTGTTATTGGGACCGAGGGGTATATCAAAATATTAAAAAATTCATTTAGATATGTTAACATAGATATTAAAAAAAATTCATTTAGACATGTTAACATAGATATGAGTTGTATTTGCTTACTATGTAGATAGATAAGATTCTTTCCATAGGTTTGCTAAGATCACTCAGTAATAAAGAATTATCTGATTTTATAAAATGTATAGTTTTCATACAATATTATCTCATATTCTTCTTTAATTTAGTAGCATTTCAATTTCTTCAAAGACCTGAAATGCTAAGATTCTCCAACTCAGATTAAGAATATCTTGTTTCAGCCTGGTGTGGTGGCTCATGCTTGCAATCCCAGCACTCTGGGAGACTCAGGTGGGTGGATCGCTTGAGCTCAGGAGTTCAAGACTAGCCTGGATAACATGGCAAAACCTTGTCTCTACAAATAATACAAAAATTAGCTGGGCATGATGTTATGTGCCTGTAGTCTCCGCCACTCGGGAAGCTGAGGTGGGAGGATTGCTTGAGCCTGGGAAATCAAGGCTGCAGTGAGGCATGATCACAGCTCCTGCACTCCAGCCTGGGAGACCCTGTCTCAAAAAAATAAAGAAAGAAATAAAAAATCCCCATTTCATTGTGGATTTTCAGTAGAACCTTAAGAGTGAAATGGGCTAGGTGTGGTGGCTCACACCTGTAATCCCAGCATTTTGGGAGGCCGAGGCAGGCAGATCACCTGAGGTTGGGAGTTCGAGACCAGCCTGACCAACATGGAGAAACTCCATCTCTACTAAAAATACAAAATTAGCCGGGTGTGGTGGCGCGTGCCTGTAATCCCAGCTACTCGGGAGGCTGAGGCGGGAGAATCACTTGAACCCAGGAGGTGGAGGTTGCAGTGAGCCAAGATCGTGCCATTGCACTCCAGCCTGGGCAAAAAGAGCGAAACTCCATCTCAAAACAAATCAAAACAAAAATAGTGAAATGGTTTTCCTCACTCCCATTCCATCATCATCCTCCACTTTCCCTCCCCGCACTATAATTGTTTCCACCTTAAATAAGGAAAAAGACTTTCTAATATTAAGCTCCTTTCTCTGCAAAGAACCAACACTTCAGAGTGATGCACTATACACCCCCATCTCAATTTCTTGTCAAAATAATTCAATCACTGCTGCTGATTTTTTTTTCTATTTTGTTGATGATCCAAGGCCTAGAGGAATCAGGACCTGGCTCAAGGTCATTTTTATGGGTTGAATTGTCTCCCCAAAAAGACATGTTGAGGTCCTAACCTCTAGTATCTGTGACTATCACCTTATTTAGAAATAGGATGTTTACAGATGTCAAGTTAGGATGAGGTCATGAGGATGAGCCTTAATCCAATAAGACAGGTGTCCTTATAAAAAGGGGGAATTTGGATACAGAGACAGAGATAACACAGAGGGAAGACAATGTAAAGACACTGAGAGAAAACGGCCATATGCAGATGACAAAGGCAGGATGACAGCGATGAACCACAAGTGAAGGCTCCTGGAGCTACCCTAAAGTGGGAGAGGTGAAGAGGAACCCTCCCCAGGGGAACCCTCCCTAGAGGAACCCTCCCTAGAGGCTTTGATGGAAGCATGACGACTGCCTACACTTCAATTTTGCACTTCCAGACTCTAGAACATCTGTAGTTTAAGCCACCAAGTTTGTGACTCTTGGTTATGGCAGGTCTAGGGAACTAGTACGGGCATAAAATCAGTAAGTGGTCGAGAAGTAAATAACACGTGGATTCATATAACCCCAAAGCCTGAGTCTCATCTGCTGAACAACTCTGCCTTTTTGTTGAACATGCTCCCATCAAGACTTGCTATATGCATTCACTGTGATGGTTAGATGTGGGGCCTTTAAAACAAGCCAAAATGTGATGTCTGTACTCCAGTGTCTTATAGGCAGGTTAGAAAGTGAATAGTAAATCCAGAATACTATAAAAGTTGAATACTATAAAATACTATTTTTGAATACTATAAAAGTTATATCAATGCCTATATAGAATTTTTGCAAGTATACTTTAAAATTCCTTTGAAATTTTCAGCAACTGGAGATCCTAAGTACATGCAAAGGGAAATCTTTTTTTTTTTTTTTTTTTTTTTTTTTTGGCGGTGGGGAGTGGGGGACAGGGTCTCACTCTGTCGCCTAGACTGGAGTGCTCACTGCAACCTCTGCCTCCAAGGTTCAAAGGATTCTTATGCCTCAGCCTCTAGAGTAGCTGGGATTATCAGCGTGCACCACCACGCCAAGCTAATTTTTGTTTTCTTAGTAGAGACGGGGTTTTGCCATGTTGGCCAAGCTGGTCTCAAACTCCTGACCTTAAGTGGTCCACCCAGCTTGGCCTCCCAAAGTGCTAGGATCACAGGAGTGAGCCACCACACTTGGCCTGGAAATCATTCTAAATATAGCTTTTCCTTAAACCAAGAACAATTTAAAAGTCCTAACTAAGTTTATCAGTACATTATCAATTCTTATCTCTCAGTAGATTTGGAAGTCACTGAAGCATTGAGTTTGCTGTAATACACAGTGATTATAAATTAGTACTGGTTAATAACTTGAAATTTGGTTGTTTATAATTGTATTTCCAATAAAACAAGTTGTAAAGAACATACCTTGCATATTATTTTAGAATACAGTGTTTACATAGTTCCTTCAAGGTATTTTCACACAGCTGTTTGATGTAGTATCCCAATAGCCACCTTAAGTGCCTGTGATCTAATAGGTGCTTAAGAAGTATTTGCTCCGTGAATTAATTCTGCTTCATCATCTTTTAGGGTGATTAAAATAATAAGGTAATACTCATAGATTTACCAAAGTGATTACAATTTCAAGTCCTCTTTATTTTTTTGATTAGGTCCATGTTTTCATCTTGTATTATTTTTTATTCTATTGAATTATCATTTATTGTAGTGAAGTCTTCCAGTAATAAATTCCTTCAGCTTTTGGCTTTTGTAAATCTAAAAACATCCTTTTGTATTAAAAAAATAAGTATATATGAGTGCACACAGAATTCTAACTTGGCTACTATTTTCTTTCTTTCATGTGAAAATGGTGTCTTTCTGTCTTCTCATTTGCATTGCTTTTGACAAGAAATATATTGCAACTCTTAGAGTTCTTCCTCTCTATATAACATTTATTTTTACTTTGTTTTTAAGATTTTTTTCTTTGTAAACTGTTTTGGACAATTTGGTTATAATATTTCTTTGTGTATTTTGTATGGTTCTTGGGCTTGGGTTTTATTAAGCTTCTTAGATTTGTGTGTTTATCATTTCATTACATTATTCATTCAAATGTTTTTTGTACGTCCTTATTTGGGGAACTCCAGTTACACAATTATTAGGCTACTTCTCCTAAGCACAGTAAATCTCTGTTCTTTTTTGTTTTTGTTTTCTTCTCTCTCCCTGTCTCTCTCTGGTTCAGCATGGCTAGTTTTTTATTAATTTGTCATATTCACTAATATCTTCTTCTGTATTGTCTAATCTGTTGCTTACCATATCCAACATAATTGCTCATTTCACACAATCTATACAAATTTTTTTTTTTTGAGATGCAGTCTCACTCTGTCACCAGGCAGAGTGCAGTGGTGCGATCTCAGCTCACTGCAACCTCCGCCTCCCGGGTTCAAGCGATTCTCCTGCCTCAGCCTCTTGAGTAGCTGGGACTATAGGCGCCTGGCTAATTTTTCTATTTTTAGTAGAGATGGGGTTTCACCATATTGGCTAGAATGGTCTCGATCTCTTGACCTTGTGATCCTCCCGCCTCGGCCTCCCAAGTGCTGAGATTACAGGCATGACCCACTGCACCCAGCCTCATCTATACAATTTTAACTTGTATCCTTTATTTATTTATTTATTTTGAGATGGAGTCTTGCTGTGTCACCAGGCTGGAGTTCAGTGGCGGGATCTCAGCTCACTGCAACCTCCAGCTCCCGGGTTCAAGCGATTCCCCTGCCTCAGCCTCCCAAGTAGCTGGGACTACAGGCACATGCCACCATGTCTGGCTAATTTTTTGTATTTTAGTAGCGAAGGGGTTTCACCATGTTGGCCAAGATGGTCTCGATCTCCTGACCTCGTGATCCTCCCACCTCAGCCTCCCAAAGTGCTGGGAGTACAGGCGTGAGCCACTGCGCCCGGCCAACTTGTGTCCTTTTTATGTTTTGTCTCCCTGCCACATCTTAACACTTCTCTCCGCTTTCTGTACACACTGAATGACTGTTATAATGTCTTTTTCTTCTAATCGTAACACACGTGTCAGTTTTAGATGTTTCGATTGAGGTTTCTTCTCATCATAGGCATGCCTGGTAATTTTTGATTGGATGCAAGATATTTTGGAATGTATCCTTCTGGGGGATATACACATATATATGCTATATAAAATTATGTAATTTATATAGATATTGAGTTTTGTTGTGGAACACAATTAAGGTATTTGGAAATAATCCTTTTGGGTAAGGCTTTTAAGATTTATTAGACAGAAATAGAGCAGCATTAATTTAAAGCTAAGAGTTCATTGTAATTCAGTAGGTAGTGAAGACCTTTTAAGAGTATCCTACCTTATTTCTCATTGAATTATGAGGTCTCTGTGTTTAGGTGATGGGCCAACCATGCTAAGCTTGCATGTGGTATCATGGTGCTGTCCTCTCGAATTCTTCCACATAATGTTTCCCCTGGCCACAGTCAGTTTCTGCATCACTGTGCTGATTAACAGCCAGCTGAACAGCTGGAGGGGCCTCTGGAGATTTCTCTGGATCTCTCTCCTCTCCAGTTCCCAGTCAGATGGCTCCTCTCTGAGATATCCCCCATCCCCTTCTGTGGACTGAAAGGTTTCTCAAGGCAGTACATGTGGGGAAATTTGGGAGTTTACTTCATTATTTTCCCTTCTCTCATAAATCACTACTTTTTGCCTATATCTATGTATTTAAAACTGTTTTATATATTTGTCCAGTTTTTTTTCCTGAAGGAGGGTGAACCATTTCCTACTACTTCCTCCAGAGAAAGCTCCTGCCTATATTTTACTTGGAAAAAAAAATTAAGTTGCATCTCACTATAGAACACACACACAGACACACACACACACTCACATACACACATACATACTTTTTTTTCCTCATTTAGTTCCTAGTTAATAACTCCAGATGCATTCTTTCGGTTTGGTGTTTAAGCATGTTATTATGACCATTAATTGCACTTCGTATGTTACATAGCACCAGTTTGGAAAGATGAAAATTACATATTTTATCTGCCCTTTGAAAATTCTTTAACTAGTTGTGAAAGTCTGTTTTATATATTTAATACCTAAGATTAAAAGGACTACACATGCAAAACAAGTAAGGTGAAATAAAATATTTAAATGCATTCTTAAAATACCAGGGTGAAGGGGAGGAGCCAAGATGGCCGAATAGGAACAGCTCCGGTCTATAGCTCCCAACGTGAGCGATGCAGAAGACGGGTGATTTCTGCATTTCCATCTGAGGTACCGGGTTCATCTCACTAGGGAGTGCCAGACAGTGGGCGCAGGTCAGTGGGGTCGCGCACCGTGCTCGAGCCGAAGCAGGGCGAGGCATTGCCTCACTTGGGAAGCGCAAGGGGTCAGGGAGTTCCCTTTCTGAGTCAAAGAAAGGGGTGACGGATGGCACCTGGAAAATCGGGTCACTCCCACCCGAATACTGCGCTTTTCCGACGGGTTTAAAAAACGGCGCACCACGAGATTATATCCCGCACCTGGCTCGGAGGGTCCTACGCCCATGGAGTCTTGCTGATTGCTAGCACAGCAGTCTGAGATCAAACTGCAAGGCGGCAGCGAGGCTGGGGGAGGGGCGCCCACCATTGCCCAGGCTTGATTAGGTAAACAAAGCAGCCGGGAAGCTCGAACTGGGTGGAGCTTCCACAGCTCAAGGAGGCCTGCCTGCCTCTGTAGGCTCCACCTCTGGGGGCAGGGCACAGACAAACAAAAAGACAGCAGTAACCTCTGCAGACTTAAATGTCCCTGTCTGACAGCTTTGAAGAGAGCAGTGGTTCTCCCAGCACGCAGCTGGAGATCTGAGAACGGGCAGACTGCCTCCTCAAGTGGGTCCCTGACCCCTGACCCCCGAGCAGCCTAACTGGGAGGCACCCCCCAGCAGGGGCACACTGACACCTCACACAGCAGGGTATTCCAACAGACCTGCAGCTGAGGGTCCTGTCTGTTAGAAGGAAAACTAACAAACAGAAAGGACATCCACACCAAAAACCCATCTGTACATCACCATCATCAAAGACCAAAAGTAGATAAAACCACAAAGATGGGGAAAAAACAGAACAGAAAAACTGGAAACTCTAAAAAGCAGAGCGCCTCTCCTCCTCCAAAGGAACGCAGTTCCTCACCAGCAACGGAACAAAGCTGGATGGAGAATGACTTTGACGAGCTGAGAGAAGAAGGCTTCAGACGATCAAATTACTCTGAGCTACGGGAGGACATTCAAACCAAAGGCAAAGAAGTTGAAAACTTTGAAAAAAATTTAGAAGAATGTATAACTAGAATAACCAATACAGAGAAGTGCTTAAAGGAGCTGATGGAGCTGAAAACCAAGGCTCGAGAACTACGTGAAGAATGCAGAAGCCTTAGGAGCCGATGCGATCAACTGTAAGAAAGAGTATCAGCAATGGAAGATGAAATGAATGAAATGAAGCGAGAAGGGAAGTTTAGAGAAAAAAGAATAAAAAGAAATGAGCAAAGCCTCCAAGAAATATGGGACTATGTGAAAAGACCAAATCTACGTCTGATTGGTGTACCTGAAAGTGATGGGAAGAATGGAACCAAGTTGGAAAACACTCTGCAGGATATTATCCAGGAGAACTTCCCCAATCTAGCAAGGCAGGCCAACGTTCAGATTCAGGAAATACAGAGAACGCCACAAAGATACTCCTCGAGAAGAGCAACTCCAAGACACATAATTGTCAGATTCACCAAAGTTGAAATGAAGGAAAAAATGTTAAGGGCAGCCAGAGAGAAAGGTCGGGTTACCCTCAAAGGGAAGCCCATCAGACTAACAGTGGATTCCTCGGCAGAAACCCTACAAGCCAGAAGAGAGTGGGGGCCAATATTCAACATTCTTAAAGAAAAGAATTTTCAACCCAGAATTTCATATCCAGCCAAACTAAGCTTCATAAGTGAAGGAGAAATAAAATACTTTACAGACAAGCAAATGCTGAGAGATTTTGTCACCACCAGGCCTGCCTTACAAGAGCTCCTGAAGGAAGCACTAAACATGGAAAGGAACAACCAATACCAGCCGCTGCAAAATCATGCCAAAATGTAAAGACCATCGAGACTAGGAAGAAACTGCATCAACTAACGAGCAAAATAACGAGCTAACATCATAATGACAGGATCAAATTCACACATAACAATATTAACTTTAAATGTCAATGGACTAAATGCTCCAATTAAAAGACACAGACTGGCAAATTGGATAAAGAGTCAAGATCCATCAGTGTGCTGTATTCAGGAAACCCATCTCACGTGCAGAGACACACATAGGCTCAAAATAAAAGGATGGAGGAAGATCTACCAAGCAAATGGAAAACAAAAAAAGGCAGGGGTTGCAATCCTAGTCTCTGATAAAACGGACTTTAAACCAACAAAGATCAAAAGAGACAAAGAAGGCCATTACATAATGGTAAAGGGATCAATTCAACAAGAAGAGCTAACTATCCTAAATATATATGCACCCAATACAGGAGCACCAAGATTCATAAAGCAAGTCCTGAGTGACCTACAGAGAGACTTAGACTCCCACACATTAATAATGGGAGACTTTAACACCCCACTGTCAACATTAGACAGATCAACGAGACAGAAAGTCAACAAGGATACCCAGGAATTGAACTCAGCTCTGCACCAAGCAGACCTAATAGACATCTACAGAACTCTCCACCCCAAATCAACAGAATATACATTTTTTTCAGCACCACACCACACCTATTCCAAAATTGACCACATACTGGGAAGTAAAGCTCTCCTCAGCAAATGTAAAAGAACAGAAATTATAACAAACTATCTCTCAGACCACAGTGCAATCAAACTAGAACTCAGGATTAAGAATCTCACTCAAAACCGCTCAACTACATGAAAACTGAACAACCTGCTCCTGAATGACTACTGGGTACATAACGAAATGAAGGCAGAAATAAAGATGTTCTTTGAAACCAACAAGAACAAAGACACAACATACCAGAATCTCTGGGACGCATTCAAAGCAGTGTGTAGAGGGAAATTTATAGCACTAAATGCCCACAAGAGAAAGCAGGAAAGATCCAAAATTGACACCCTAACATCACAATTAAAAGAACTAGAAAAGCAAGAGCAAACACATTCAAAAGCTAGCAGAAGGCAAGAGATAACTAAAATCAGAGCAGAACTGAAGGAAATAGAGACACAAAAAACCCTTCAAAAAATTAATGAATCCAGGAGCTGGTTTTTTGAAAGGATCAACAAAATTGATAGACCGCTAGCAAGACTAATAAAGAAAAAAAGAGAGATGAATCAAATAGACCCAATAAAAAATGATAAAGGGGATATCACTACCGATCCCACAGAAATACAAACTACCATCAGAGAATACTACAAACACCTCTACGCAAATAAACTAGAAAATCTAGAAGAAATGGATAAATTCCTGGACACATACACTCTCCCAAGACTAAACCAGGAAGAAGTTGAATCTCTGAATAGACCAATAACAGGATCTGAAATTGTGGCAATAATCAATAGCTTACCAACCAAAAAGAGTCCAGGACCAGATGGATTCACAGCCAAATTCTACCAGAGGTACAAGGAGGAACTGGTACCATTCCTTCTGAAACTATTCCAATCAATAGAAAAAGAGGGAATCCTCCCTAACTCATTTTATGAGGCCAGCATCATTCTGATACCAAAGCCAGGCAGAGACACAACAAAAAAAGAGAATTTTAGACCAATATCCTTGATGAACATTGATGCAAAAATCCTCAATAAAATACTGGCAAACCAAATCCAGCAGCACATCAAAAAGCTTATCCACCATGATCAAGTGGGCTTCATCCCTGGGATGCAAGGCTGGTTCAATATACGCAAATCAATAAATGTAATCCAGCATATAAACAGAGCCAAAGACAAAAACCACATGATTATCTCAATAGATGCAGAAAAAGCCTTTGACAAAATTCAACAACCCTTCACGCTAAAAACTCTCAATAAATTAGGTATTGACGGGACGTATCTCAAAATAATAAGAGCTATCTATGACAAACCCACAGCCAATATCATACTGAATGGGCAAAAACTGGAAGCATTCCCTTTGAAAACTGGCACAAGACAGGGATGCCCTCTCTCACCACTCCTATTCAACATAGTGTTGGAAGTTCTGGCCAGGGCAATTAGGCAGGTGAAGGAAATAACGGGTATTCAATTAGGAAAAGAGGAAGTCAAATTGTCCCTGTTTGCAGATGACATGATTGTATATCTAGAAAACCCCATTGTCTCAGCCCAATATCTCCTTAAGCTGATAAGCAACTTCAGCAAAGTCTCAGGATACAAAATCAATGTACAAAAATCACAAGCATTCTTATACACCAACAACAGACAAACAGAGAGCCAAATCATGAGTGAACTCCCATTCACAATTGCTTCAAAGAGAATAAAATACCTAGGAATCCAACTTACAAGGGATGTGAAGGACCTCTTCAAGGAGAACTACAAACCACTGCTCAAGGAAATAAAAGAGGATACAAACAAATGGAAGAACATTCCATGCTCATGGGTAGGAAGAATCAATATCGTGAAAATGGCCATACTGCCCAAGGTCATTTACAGATTCAATGCCATCCCCATCAAGCTACCAATGACTTTCTTCACAGAATTGGAAAAAACTACTTTAAAGTTCATATGGAACCAAAAAAGAGCCCGCATTGCCAAGTCAATCCTAAGCCAAAAGAACAAAGCTGGAGGCATCACACTACCTGACTTCAAACTATACTACAAGGCTACAGTAACCAAAACAGCATGGTACTGGTACCAAAACAGAGATATAGATCAATGGAACAGAACAGAGCCCTCAGAAATAACGCCACATATCTACAACTATCTGATCTTTGACAAACCTGAGAAAAACAAGCAATGGGGAAAGGATTCCCTATTTAATAAATGGTGCTGGGAAAACTGGCTTAGCCATATGTAGAAAGCTGAAACTGGATCCCTTCCTTACACCTTACACAAAAATCAATTCAAGAT